>NC_000006.12:44605454-44908484 GCF_000001405.40 Homo sapiens | reverse complement strand
TGCCCAGTGTCTAGCTTTTAAAAATGGTATTTCTGGCCAGACACGGTGGCTTATGCCTGTAATCCCAACACTTTGGGAGTCCTAGGTGGGCGGATCACGAGGTCAGGAGATCGAGACCATCCTGGCTAACACGGTAAAACCCCGTCTCTACTAAAATTACAAAAAATTAGCTGGGCATGGTGGTGGGCGCCTGTAGTCCCAGCTACTTGGGAGGCTGAGGCAGGAGAATGATGTGAACCCAGGAGGCAGAGCTTGCAGTGAGCTCAGATAGCTCCACTGCACTCCAGCCTGAGTGACAGAGCGAGACTCCATCTCAAAAAAAAAAAAAAAGAAAAGAAAAAAAAGTTATTTCTAAAAATCTTGCTACATTTTTGCACTGGTTAAAATTAAATTCTTTGGACACATGGGGAGTTGTTAAAATTTTTTCCTTGAGAAGGTCAATGAAATGGATTTCAGCAGTTTTGGTTATTTCTTGCTACTCTTTCAAGTTCTCCTGGCTCTTTGGTCCTCCACAGTTCCTTACTTTACCATAGTCAGAGCCACATCATCAAAACTTATCTTCAGAAAGTAACTAAGCAAGTTTTGTTTTTCTTTTTCTTTAACTTAACATTGAGGAAAATATAGATAAACATTCATTACTAATATTTTTAGCAAATCAGAAATTTTGAAAGCCTGTGAGGTCAGCATCTCACAAAATGGAGACAGCCATGTTGTGTACAAGATGAAAAATATCACCTTCCAAAACAATAATGCCTGTAACAACCGCATACAAATTAGAGTATAATAATTTTACTGTTTTCCTTTTTTGAGACAGAGTCTCACTGTGTTGCCCAGGCTGGAGTGCAGTGGCATGATCTGGGCTCACTGCAACCTCTGCCTCCCAGGTTCAAGCAACTCTCCTGCCTCAGCCTCCCAAGTAGCTGGGATTACAGTTGTGTACCACCATGCCTGGTTAACTTTTTGTATTTTTAGTAGAGATAGGGTCTCACCATGTTGGCCAGCCTAGTCTTGAACTCCCCACCTCAGGTGATCCGCCCGTCTCAGCCTCCCAAAGTGTCGGGATTACAGGCATGAGTTACCATGCCCGGCCACTGCTTTTATTTTATAGGTAAGAAAACTGAGACATTACATAAAAAATGAAATCCATTGTACAATGCTAATACAGTCAAATATCGTGAAATAGATTTGGTGGCTTAACCATCATTTCCCACCTTTAAACAATAAACATTATTCCCCCGTAAAGGAGGTGAAAAATTACTCAGATTAAATATAGTGAAAATAAACATCATTAATTAAATACCACTGTCTAATCTCTGCATTCATTTACACTCTGGAGTAAAAAACATAATGGTTTTTGTTATGGCTTCATATTTCTTTAAAATAACAAATAGTTTTCTAATTTGAGAAACATAACTAGTGTCATTTGGTTTTTAAAAGAATTGTATCTTAATCATCAAGGTAATGACACAGCAAGAAAACAATGACGTTAATCACTTGAAGGTTGTGTCCGTCTACATTCCACATCTAATCAGACACCCTTAAATTCCAGCAGAAAGTCTATGAAATTCATGGGTCAACCTCCAAAGTACATCAGGAAAAGTACTAATGCATTTGAGAGTAAAAACAACAATGGCCAAGAGCAGGAGAACATCTTATTTAAACTTTTGAGATAATAAAACAATACAGACTGGGAACCCTTGTGAATTTTTTTTGTTTGTTTTTTGAGACGGAGTCTCACTCTGTTGCCCAGGTTGGAGTGCAGTGGCGCAGTCTCGGCTCACTGCAACCTCTGCCTCCCAGGTTTAAGCGATTCTCCTGCCTCAGCCTCCCAAGTAACTGGGATTATAGGGGCCCACCACCATGCCTGGCTAATTTTTTGTATTTTTATTAGAGACGGGTTTCACAATGTTGGCCAGGCTGGTCTCAAACTCCTGACCTCGTGATCCGCCCAACTCGGCCTCCCAAAGCGCTGCGATTACAGGCATGAGCCACCGCGCCCAGCCACTGCTTTTGTTTTATAGGTAAGAAAACTGAGATATTACATGAAAAATGAAATCCATTGTACAATGCATAATACAGTCAAATATCGTGAAATAGATTTGGTGGCTTAGCCATCATTTCCCACCTTTAAACAATAAACATTGTTCCTCTGTAAAGGAGGTGAAAAATTACTCATATTAAATATACTGAAGATAAACATCATTAATTAAATACTACTATCTAATCTCTTTGCATTCATTAACACTCGAGTAAAAAGCATAATGGCTTTTGTTATGGCTTTATATTTCTTCAAAATAACTAAAATAGTTTTATTATACTTTAGGTTTTAGGGTACATGTGCACAATGTGCAGGTTAGTTACATATGTATACATGTGCCATTTGATGTGCTGCAACCATTAACTCATCATTTAACATTAGGTATATCTCCTAATGCTATCCCTCCCCATCCCCCCACCGCACAACAGGCCCCGGTGTGTGATGTTCCCCTTCCTGTGTCTATGTGTTCTCATTGTTCAGTTCCCACCTGTGAGTGAGAACATGTGGTGTTTGGTTTTTTTGTCCTTGCGATAGTTTGCTGAGAATGATGGTTTCCAGCTTCATCCATGTCCCTACAAAGGACATGCACTCATCATTTTTTATGGCTGCATAGTATTCCGTGGTGTATATGTGCCACATTTTCTTAATCCAGTCTATCATTGTTGGTTGGACATTTGGGTAGGTTCCAAGTCTTTGCTATTGTGAATAGTGCCGCAATAAACATACATGTGCATGTGTCTTTATAGCAACATGATTTATAATCCTTTGGGTATATACCCAGTAATGGGATGGCTGGGTCAAATGGTATTTCTAGTTCAAGATCCCTGAGGAATCGCCACACTGACTTCCACAATGGTTGAACTAGTTTACAGTCCCACCAACAGTGTAAAAGTGTTCCTGTTTCTCCACATCCTCTCCAGCACCTGTTGTTTCCTGACTTTTTAATGATTGCCATTCTAACTGGTGTGAGATGGTATCTCATTGTGGTTTTGATTTGCATTTCTCTGATGGCCAGTGATGATGAGCATTTTTTCATGTGTCTTTCGGCTGCATAAATGTCTTCTTTTGAGAAGTGTCTGTTCGTATCCTTTGCCCACTTTTTGATGGGGCTGTTTGTTTTTTTCTTGTAAATTGTTGGAGATCATTGTAGATTCTGGATATTAGCCTTTTGTCAGATGAGTAGATTGCAAAAATTTTCTTCCATTCTGTAGGTTGCCTGTTCACTCTGATGGTAGTTTCTTTTGCTGTGCAGAAGCTCTTTAGTTTAATTAGATCCCATTTGTCAATTTTGGCTTCTGTTGCCATTGCTTTTGGTGTTTTAGACATGAAGTCCTTGCCCATGCCTATGTCCTGAATGGTATTGCCTAGGTTTTCTTCTAGGGTTTTTATGGTTTTAGGTCTAACGTTTAAGTCTTTAATCCATCTTGAATTAATTTTTGTATAAGGTGTAAGGAAGGGATCCAGTTTCAGCTTTCTACATATGGCCAGCCAGTGTTCCCAGCACCATTAATTTAACAGGGAATCGTTTTCCCATTTCTTGTTTTTGTCAGGTTTGTCAAAGTTCAGATGGTTGTAGATATGTGGCATTATTTCTGAGGGCTCTGTTCTGTTCTATTGGTCTATATCTCTGTTTTGGTGCCAGTACCATGCTGTTTTGGTTACTGTAGCCTTGTAGTATAGTTTGAAGTCAGGTAGCGTGATGCCTCCAACTTTGTTCTTTTGGCTTAGGATTGACTTCGCGGTGCAAGCTCTTTTTTGGTTCCATATGAACTTTAAAGTAGTTTTTTCCAATTCTGTGAAGAAAGTCATTGGTAGCTTGATGGGGATGGCATTGAATCTATAAATTACCTTGGGCAGTATGGCCATTTTCATGATATTGATTCTTCCTATCCATGAGCATGGAGTGTTCTTCCATTTGTTTGTGTCCTCTTTTATTTCTTTGAGCAGTGGTTTGTACTTCTCCTTGAAGAGGTCCTTCATGTCCCTTGTAAGTTGGATTCCTAGGTATTTTATTCTCTTTGAAGCAATTGTGAATGGGAGTCCACTCATGATTTGGCTCTCTGTTTGTCTGTTATTGGTGTATAAGAATGCTTGTGATTTTTGCAGGTTGATTTTGTATCCTGAGACTTTGCTGAAGTTGCTTATCAGCTTAAGGAGATTTGGGGCTGAGACAATGGGGTTTTCTAGATATACAATCATGTCATCTGCAGACAGGGACAATTTGACTTCCTCTTTTCCTAATTGAATACCCTTTATTTCCTTCTCCCTGGCCAGAACTTCCAACACTATGTTGAATAGGAGTGGTGAGAGAGGGCATCCCTGTCTTGTGCCAGTTTTCAAAGGGAATGCTTCCGGTTTTTGCCCATTCTGTATGATATTGGCTATGGGTTTGTCATAGATAGCTCTTATTATTTTGAGATGCATCCCATCAATACCTAATTTATTGAGAGTTTTTAGGATGAAGGGCTGTTGAATTTTGTCAAAGGCCTTTTCTGCATCTATTGAGATAATCATGGTTTTTTGCCATTGGTTCTGTTTATATGCTGGATTAGGTTTATTGATTTTCGTATGTTGAACCAGCCTTGCATCCCAGGGATGAAGCCCACTTGATCATGGTGGATAAGCTTTTTGATGTGCTGCTGGATTCGGTTTGCCAGTATTTTATTGAGGATTTTTGCATCAATATTAATCACAGATATTGGTCTAAAATTCTCTTTTTTGGTGGTGTCTCTGCCCGGCTTTGGTATCAGGATGATGCTGGCCTCATAAAATGAGTTAGGGAGGATTCCCTCTTTTTCTGTTGATTGGAATACTTTCAGAAGGAATGGTAGCAGCTCCTACTTGTACCTCTGGTAGAATTCGGCTGTGAATCCATCTGGTCCTGGACTTTTTTTGGTAGGTAAGCTATTAATTATTGCCTCAATTTCAGAGCCTGTTATTGGTCTATTCAGAGATTCAAATTCTTCCTGGTTTAGTCTTGGGAGGGTGTATGTGTCCAGGAATTTATCCATTTCTTCTAGATTTTCTAGTTTATTTGCGTAGAGGTGTTTATAGTATTCTCTGATGGTAGTTTGTATTTCTGTGGGATCAGTGGTAATATCCCCTTTATCATTTTTTATTGTGTCTATTTGATTCTTCTCTCTTTTCTTCTTTATTAGTCTTGCTAGCGGTCTATCAATTTTGTTGTTCTTTTCAAAAAACCAGCTACTGGATTCATTGATTTTTTGAAGGGTTTTTTGTGTCTCTATCTCCTTCAGTCCTGCTCTGATCTTAGTTATTTCTTGCCTTTTGCTAGCTTTTGAATTTGTTTGCTCTTGCTTCTCTAGTTCTTTTAATTGTGATGTTAGGGTGTCAGTTTTAGATCTTTCCTGCTTTCTCTTGTGGGCATTTAGTGCTATAAATTTCCCTCTACACACTGCTTTGAATGTGTCCCAGAGATTCTGGTATGTTGTGTCTTTGTTCTCGTTGGTTTCAAAGGACATCTTTATTTCTGCCTTCATTTCATGATGTACCCAGTAGTCATTCAGGAGCAGGTTGTTCAGTTTCCATGTAGTTGAGCAGTTCTGAGTGAGTTTCTTAATCCTGAGTTCTGGTTTGATTGCACTGTGGTCTGAGAGACAGTTTGTTATAATTTCTGTTCTTTTGCATTTGCTGAGGAGTGTTTTGCTTCCAACTATGTGGTCAATTTTGGAGTAAGTGCAGTGTGGTGCTGAGAAGAATGTATATTCTGTTGATTTGCAGTGGGGAGTTCTGTAGATGTCTTTTAGGTCAGCTTGGTGCAGAGCTGAGTTCAATTCCTGGATATCCTTGTTAATTTTCTGTCTCGTTGATGTGTCTAATATTGACAGTGGGGTGTTAAAGTCTCCCATTATTATTGTGGGAGTCTAAGTCTCTTTGTAGGTCTCTGAGGACTTGCTTTATGAATCTGGGTGCTCCTGTATTGGGTGCATATATATTTAGGATAGTTAGCTCTTCTTGTTGAATTGATCCCTTTACCATTATGTTATGGACTTCTTTGTCTCTTTTGATCTTTGTAATTTTAAAGTCTGTTTTATCAGAGACTAGGATTGCAACCCCTGCAATCCTGCCTTTTTTTGTTTTCCATTTGCTTGGTAGATCTTCTTCCATCCCTTTATTTTGAGCCTCTGTGTGTCTGTGCACATGAGATGGGTTTCCTAAATACAGCACACTGATGGATCATGACTCTTTATCCAATTTGCCAGTCTGTGTCTTTTAATTGGAGCATTTAGCCCATTTACATTTAAGGTTAATATTGTTATGTGTGAATTTCATCATGTCATTATGATGTTAGCTGGTGATTTTGCTCGTTAGTTGATGCAGTTTCTTCCTAGCCTCGATGGTCTTTACAATTTGGCATGATTTTGCAGTGGCTGGTACCAGTTTTTCCTTTCCATGTTTAGTGCTTCCTTCAGGAGCTCTTTTAGGGCAGGCCTGGTGGTGACAAAATCTCTCAGCATTTGCTTGTCTGTAAAGGATTTTATTTCTCCTTCACTTCTGAAGCTTAGTTTGGCTGGATATGAAATTCTGGGTTGAAAATCCTTTTCTTTAAGAATGTTGAATATTAGCCCCCACTCTCTTCTGGCTTGTAGAGTTTCTGGTGAGAGATCAGCTGTTAGTCTGATGGGCTTCCCTTTGTGGGTAACCCGACCTTTCTCTCTGGCTGCCCTTAACATTTTTTCCTTCATTTCAACTTTGGTGAATCTGACAATTATGTGTCTTGGAGTTGCTCTTCTCGAGGAGTATCTTTGTGGCGTTCTCTGTATTTCCTGAATCTGAATGTTGGCCTGCCTTGCTAGATTGGGGAAGTTCTCCTGGATAATATCCTGCAGAGTGTTTTCCAACTTGGTTCCATTCTCCCTGTCACTTTCAGGTACACCAATCAGACGTAGATTTGGTCTTTTCACATAGTCCCATATTTCTTGGAGGCTTTGTTCGTTTCTTTTTATTCTTTTTTCTCTAAACTTCTCTTCTCGCTTCATTTCATTCATTTGATCTTCCATCACTGATACCCTTTCTTCCAGTCGATCATATCGGCTACTGAGGCTTGTGCATTCGTCACGTAGTTCTTGTGCCTTGGTTTTCAGCTCCATCAGGTCCTTTTAGGACTTCTCTGCGTTGGTTATTCTAGTTAGCCATTCGTCTAATTTTTTTTCAAGGTTTTTAATTTCTTTGCCATGGGTTCGAACTTCCTCCTTTAGCTCGGAGTAGTTTGATTGTCTGAAGCCTTCTTCTCTCAACTTGTCAAAGTCATTCTCCATCCAGCTTTGTTCTGTTGCTGGTGAGGAGCTGCGTTCCTTTGGAGGAGGAGAGGTGCTCTGATTTTTAGAGTTTCCAGTTTTTCTGCTCTGTTTTTTCCCCCATCTTTGTGGTTTTATCTACCTTTGGTCTTTGATGATGGTCACGTATAGATGGGGTTTTGGTGTGGATGTTCCTTCTGTTTGTTAGTTTTCCTTCTAACAGTCAGGACCCTCATCTGCAGGTCTGTTGGCGTTTGCTGGAGGTCCACTCCAGACCCTGTTTGCCTGGGTATCAAAAGCGGAGGCTGCAGAACAGCGGATATTGGTGAGCATCAAATGTTGCTGCCTGATCGTTCCTCTGGAAGTTTTGTCTCAGGGGAGTACCCGGCCGTGTGAGGTGTCAGTCTGCCCCTGCTAGGGGGTGCCTCCCAGTTAGGCTACTTGGGGGTCAGGGACCCACTTGAGGAGGCAGTCTGTCGGTTCTCAGATCTCTAACTGCATGCTGGGAGAACCACTACTCTCTTCAAAGCTGTCAGACAGGGGCATTTAAGTCTGCAGAGGATTCTGCTGCCTTTAGTTTGGCTAAGCCCTGCCCCCAGAGGTGGAGTCTACACAGTAAGGCAGGCCTCCTTGAGTTGTGGTGGGCTCCACCCAGTTCGAGCTTCCTGGCCGCTTTGTTTACCTACTCAAGCCTCGGCAATGGCAGGCGCCCCTCCCCCAGCCTTGCTGCCGCCTTGCGGTTTGATCTCAGACTACTGTGCTAGCAGTGAGCGAGGCTCCGTGGGCATAGGACCCTCCGAGCCAGGCGCAGAATATAATCTCCTGGTGTGCCGTTTGCTAAGAGCTTTGGAAAAGCGCAGTATTAGGGTGGCAGTGACCCGATTTTCCAGGTGCAGTCTGTCACCCCTTTCTTTGACTAGGAAAGGTAATTCCCTGACCCCTTGTGCTTCCCGGGTGAGGCAATGCCTTGCCCTACTTCAGCTCACGCTCGGTGCGCTGCACCCACTGTCCTGCACCCACTTTACGACATTCCCCAGTGAGATGAACCGGGTACCTCAGTTGGAAATGCAGAAATCACCTGTCTTCTGCGTCGCTTATGCTGGGAGCTGTAGACTGGAGCTGTTCTATTCAGCCGTCTTGGCTCCATCATCCTAAAATAGTTTTCTAATTTGAGAAACATAACTAGTGCCTTTTGGTTTTAAAAATAATTGTATCTTAATCATCAAGGTAATGACACAGCAAGAAAACAATGACATTATCACTTGAAGGTTGTCTCCATCTACATTCCACCATCTAATCAGACACCCTTAGTTTCCAGCAGAAAGTCTATGAAATTCATGGATCAACCTCCAGAGTACATCAGGAAAAGTACTAATACATTTGAGAGCAAGAATAACAATGGCCAATGGCAGTAGAACATCTCATTTAAACTTTTGAGATAATAAAACAATACAGAGTGGGAACCCTTGTGAAATTTTTTGTTTGTTTGTTTTGTTTTGTTTTGAGACGAGTCTCACTCTGTTGCCCAGGTTGGAGCGCAGTGGCATGGTCTCAGCTCACTGCATCCTCCATCTCCCGGGTTCAAACGATTCTCCTGCCTCAGCCTCCCATGTAACTGGGATTACAGGTTCCCGCCACCACACCTGGCTAATTTTTTGTATTTTTATTAGAAACGGGGTTTCACCATGTTGGCCAGGCTGGTCTCGAACTCCTGACCTCGTGATCTGCCCACCTCCACCTCCCAAAGCGCTGGGATTACAGGCATGAGCCACCACACCGGCCACATTATAACTTTTATAGGCACAAATTTCCTTAAATTTCAAGCAAGTTTAGTCAACCCTCATTATTCATCAGGACTACAAATAGACCAGCTTACAACCAGGCAGCACCTTACAAGTGACTCTTACTTACTATATAGTTCTTAAGATAAATGTATTTCTACTTTGAATAGTCACATGGATATTGTAAAGATGGCAATTGTACATCACTACTCAGTGACATTTCTTGCCTTCATGATTTTGTCAGTCTTTTTTTCAGTAGACAAAATATTTTCTAAAAAGTGTGAATCTTCTAGGTAAACAAAGCCAGCTCATAACCTGGTAAAAGCTGGGCATCCCATCAGCAGTTAATAAGGTGATCCCAGCCATCTTTCTACCCTTTCTAATTCATGATCCAAACAAAATTTTTGCAAATCAGGGAGGGGGGCAGAGTTTTCAAGTCTTCTTATTTCATAGAACTTTGGGGGCAACAACCAAATTTCTGTTGATAAAAAAAACTGTCAGTTGCCTCTGATGTCAATGACCACTGACAGCTCACCACCTTGGCCAAGTCGGGGTAGTCATGGAGCAGCTCATGCAGGCAGCATAGGAAGAATACCCTGTTGAAGCAGCGACTGCCACTGCACGTGAAAGGCGTGAGCCGGCTGCTCCTGTCATGCAGCGCCCAGGTGTCACGCTGTGCAGTCCAGGTGTGCACAAGCACACCAGGCGGCCAGGCCCTGTGGCAGTGCAAGAATGCAGGCACCTCAGGTGTAGGGGGCTGGCTGGGAGGCCTGGTTTCTATTGTATCTATTATAGCAATAACCTTAGAACTTACTGTTACAACAGTAACCACTTATATGGTGATTTCTGTGGGCAGGAATTTGGGAGTAGCTTGGCTGGGCAATTCTGGCTTGGAATTTCCTGTGAGGTTGCAGTCAGATGTCAGCCAGCTGTTCACTGATTTGTTACGTAGCTGATAGAGTAATGCTAGGAGTTGGCTGGGGGCCTCAGTTTTCCATGGGAGGGCTGAAGCATTCTCATTGGATGGCAGCTGGCTTACTCCAGAGCAAGCAATCCAGGAGACCAAGGTGTGAACCACAGTGCCTTCTGCGACCTAACCCTAAAGGTCACATACTGTTCCTTTCACCATTGTTACATTCAGTATGGGAAGGAACTATACATAAGGGCATGAATACCCGGAGGCAAGAATTGTCAGGTACCATCTGGAAGCTGGCTACCACCATACCTTAAGAAGGATATAATCTTTAGGATAAGAGATCATTTCTACTTCAAGTTAACAAAAGGCCTCAAAGGATCATAAGATGCAAATTCTTAGTCCCAATGCAAATTCTTAGTCCCTTATTTCTTAAAATTGGGTAAGCAAGTATGTTATGTAATAATAATTTGTGTATGTGACAAATGGTTATAAGTTTTTTTGGATGGAATGGTTCTGAGATCTTGGCATTTTCTCAAATGTCTTATATAATTGTATAACAAGAAAATACAGTATGATTTGGTGACTGAAAAAATTAAATGTCAACTCTTTGTTGACAGGACGATAGTAGATGAGGCCTAGGGCTCAGTGAAGAAGGAGTTTGGGGGAGCCAGAGAAAGAAGAGCATAGCAAAGATACCCTTAACTGGGGGATATGAGAAATAAACTGAACTTGAGCTCCCTCCAGAAGCAGGGTCTGGGTCACCTTTGCTCGCTGTTGTATCCCCAGGAACCAGCACACTGCATAATACAAGTAGATGTCCAGTGATTAATTTCTGGAGTTCCTAGGATGTGGAGAATATTGTACAGAGAGCTAAAAATGGAAGCATGGCCTTTGCTTAGGGTTTTATGATTTTGCTTGAAATGATGTTCCAGTACATCACATTATCAGTAAAAACATGATGCAAAGTCAGGAGCTTTAATCTCTTCTCCATAAGTACAAATGCTGAAGATTAGGCTATATTACACAAAGTAACTGGTCATTTCAAAAGAGGAAATTTCTGTTGGATAAAAGACCACAGCCAAGAACTGCTGAACATAGTTCAGAGAGTTTTTCCCACTATATTTTAAGTGAATATTTTTCTAACATTAGATTTCTATAGGATGACTAATGGACTGTAGGGCAATTCAGCCATTATTTTTAAAAATCCATTTTGGCAAATAAACCCGATATTCTGTCGAAAGAGTTGAGGTTAACCCCAGCTTTTTCAAAAAGCACCAAGTGTGTATCCTCACTGTAGAGAAAAGGTCTTCATTCTCAATGTCTAGCCCAAAGCCCACACTAACTAATCTACTTGGCCTTCAGTTTATTCTCTGTATTAGGACCTTGGGCTGAATCGACACAGCTGGGATTTGTGATCCTGACTCCAGAAAGTCTGCATTTTGTATACCTCAGGCTTAGCCATTCTGTGATTTTAAAACTAACAGGATTTTAAGTCACATACTCAGAAATAGATTTAGCATTAAATGAGATAATTTGCATAAGGCGCTTTGGCACAGTGCCCTAAAGAGAATCTGGATCTGATAAATGAGATGGTATTACAGCCATCTTCATTGTGTCATCGTTGTCACTATCATTCAGTTGACCTTGACCCTCTGTCTAGCTGTGCTGTATACACGCTGACTTCAGGGTATCCTGCATTTTCTCATCTGTTTTTTTAAAACATAGAAATTAACAACTCTCCCACTTTTCTACCCTAGAGGAATTTTATACATATAAGTGAAATATATGAAAATTACTTACAGGAAAGCAAAATAGTAAGGAGATGTGTTTAAAAAGCACAGGAATAAGAACCAGAAGACCTGGTTTGACGTCTGCAGTTAACCAATTTTGTTGTGATGCCTCTTAGTTACTGTTAGAGCCTAGACTGGATGATCTCAGAATCTGTTCCATCACTAACCAGATTATTGATTTTGTTTCATCTCACAACAACCCTGTGGAATAAGTGTTCCTGTCTTTGAGCAAGTTACTTAACCTCTCTGTAACTCAGTTTCTTTATGTAGAAAATGTGACCAATAATAGTGCCTTCTCTTGGGGATGTTAAGAATTCAATGAATTAAAATATGTGAGGTCCTTAGAACATTACTTGCGATGTATTTAGGACCCTAAGTGTTAATAATGATGATGATGATTTTGCAGATGAGGAAGCTGAAATTCATGACAGTTACTTAAGTTTTCTGAGGTTACTTAGAGCTTATACAGCTGGAACTTGAATTCAAGGCTTATGAATTCCATCAAACCACATTATTTGCACATATTTATTTCAAACCTCGTTACCTGGTTTTGAAATACTAATTGACTAGCACAGCATCTACACAGCTGGACCCCTAATCACACTCTCCCAGCGTTTTTTATAGGTTGTGTTACAGAAAAAAGCATGGAATGAGAAGTTGTAATGTTGTTTGTCCCCAGGCCTCTGAATGCCCATGGGACATATACAATCCCTCCTTCAAAAGTAAGAAGTCTTACAGGGCATCACTACCTAGGAAGGTAGAAGAGAATTCTGCTTTTTTCCCCAAGCACTATTTGTGACCGCTTCACTTTTTTTACCCTACTTTAGTTATGTCTACACGTTTCTTACTTATTTGGATAAAGAGAATGAACTTCATTTTACATTATACAGCCTATTAAAGCAGTAAAATAATTGTTTGCTTTTGAAATCGGCTCTTTGTTCTCCAATTCTCCAATCTTTTCCACTAATTGTGGTTCTGCCCTGGGTAAGTGCATAAAAAGTAAAATCCCATTCCCTTCACTGCAGTTATTCCATCAGGCTGAACCACAGCCCCAGACAATACAAACATTGTTTTAGCCATGTTAAAAAGACAGGTGATACTAGAAAGTAATTTCACTGGTTTTGTTATTGCTTGTTTTGTTTTCAAATATAACTAGAGCATTATTTCTCAGAGACTGTCTCTCAAAACAAAATGTCCTTGAATATATCTACAGTTCCAAACAGTGCTGCCTTTGGTCAAAGTATTTTTAAAATCAGCTTTAATAATTATCTTCAGAGCTTTCAGCACGTCCTTTTGAAAAGACTAAATGGTTGAGCCAGGTATGGTACTGTGTGCCTGTAATCCCAGTAAGAAGCTGAAACAGGAAGATCCCTTGAGCCTAGAAGTTCGAGACCAGCCTGGGCAACAGAGTGAAACTGTGTCTCTTAAAAAAAAAAAAAAAAAAAAACAAGACTAAGTGATGACAAACAAATCACACTATTATTATTCCATATAGTTATAGATTAAGACCACCTCTGATACATCTGACTTTAATATGAAAAAGAAAAATTATGAAATGGACTTTCTTATGGTTCAATTCATTGTCTGTGTATAATGAATCTAAACTGAGGAAAAAAATAAATGTTAAAGAAAATGTTTAAGTATTGAATGGTAATAATGGGTTATTACCATTTCTGGATGTCATTGGCACATTCCCATTATATCAACATCATTAGAGGTATTTCTCTTCATGCACTCTTAAGTTTACCTAGTGGAAAAGTGAAATTAAAAGTTCTATAAGAACTCTTTTAAACAAAATAATGCTCAATTATTAGATTGTTCAATTTTTATATTTTATATTATTTTAAAATGTTATAAAATATATTATTGCCCTATGAAACACTCATGCTTATTAACATGGTTTTCCTGGCCTATAAGGGCGTTTTCTCAAAATACATATTTTAAATATAATAAATATATAATACTTTGCTAAATTAGACTATAAATAATTTGAAAAACCGCATCACCAAGTCAATCCTAAGCCAAAAGAACAAAGCTGGAGGCATCACGCTACCTGACTTCAAACTATACTACAAGGCTACAGTAACCAAAACAGCATGGTACTGGTACCAAAACAGAGATATACATCAATAGAACAGAACAGAGCCCTCAGAAATAACACCGCATATCTACAACTATCTGATCTTTGACAAACCTGAGAAAAACAAGCAATGGGGAAAGGATTCCCTATTTATAAATGGTGCTGGGAAAACTGGCTAGCCGTATATAGAAAGCTGAAACTGGATCCCTTCCTTACACCTTATACAAAAATCAATTCAAGATGCATTAAAGACTTAAACGTGAGACCTAAAACCATAAAAACCCTAGAAGAAAACCTAGGCATTACCATTCAGGACATAGGCATGGGCAAGGACTTCATGTCTAAAACACCAAAAGCAATGGCAACAAAAGCCAAAATTGAGAAATGGGATCTAATTAAACTAAAGAGCTTCTGCACAGCAAAAGAAACTGCCATCAGAGTGAACAGGCAACCTACAACATGGGAGAAAATTTTCGCAACCTACTCATCTGACAAAGGGCTAATATCCAGAATCTACAATGAACTCCAACAAATTTACAAGAAAAAAACAAACAACCCCATCAAAAAGTGGGCGAAGGACATGAACAGACACTTCTCAAAAGAAGACATTTATGCAGCCAAAAAACACATGAAAAAATGCTCACCATCACTGGCCATCAGAGAAATGCAAATCAAAACCACAATGAGATACCATCTCACACCAGTTAGAATGGCGATCATTAAAAAGTCAGGAAGCAACACGTGCTGGAGAGGATGTGGAGAAATAGGAACACTTTTACACTGTTGGTGGGACTGTAAACTAGTTCAACCATTGTGGAAGTCAGTGTGGCGATTCCTCAGGGATCTAGAACTAGAAATACCATTTGACCCAGCCATCCCATTACTGGGTATATACCCAAAGGACTATAAATCATGCTGCTATAAAGACACATGCACACATATGTTTATTGCGGCATTATTCACAATAGCAAAGACTTGGAACCAACCCAAATGTCCAACAATGATAGACTGGATTAAGAAAATGTGGCACATATATACCATGGAATACTGTGCAGCCATAAAAAATGATGAGTTCACGTCCTTTGTAGGGACATGGATGAAATTGGAAATCATTATTCTCAGTAAACTATTGCAAGAACAAAAAACCAAACACCGCATATTCGTAGGTGGGAATTGAACAATGAGAACACATGGACACAGGAAGGGGAACATCACACTCTGGGGACTGTTGTGGGGTGGGGGCAGGGGGGAGGGATAGCATTGGGAGATATAGCTAATGCTAGATGACGAGTTAGTGGGTGCAGCGCACCAGCATGGCACATGTATACATATGTAACTAACCTGCACATTGTGCACATGTACCCTAAAACTTAAAGTATAATAATTAAAAAAAATACATTTTTATTATTTTTCCAGAATGCCTTTATATATTATAAATAGGCAACTAGAAGGAAGTGAGATGAGATGCCTTCTGTGTGTACATATGCAACCTTTAGGCACACAGGCCTCTGCTGTAAATGAATAATTGAGTCAACATTTGTCCAAATTTAAATTATGTGTGTGTGTGTTTGTATATATTGTTTTGTATTTTTGTATTCCTACATACATTTTGTATTTGTTCAAAAGACTTCTTTAGTTTTTATCCTGCTTGGATAGTTGGTTTGTGGGTTTAAAAAAAAAGAGTAAAGTACAAAATCAGAAAAATTCAGCTGAATTTCTGAAAGAGATTTTAGTGGAAGGAAAGTAATTATAATTTTGGCTGCTAACACTTGGCTCAGGGTGTTTGATTTGATGAAGCCATGTGCTGTGGTGAAAAGAGCAGAAGTCAAGAGGCCTGGGCTTCAGTCCTGGGCTCTACCACTAATCTGTCTGAAGGACCTCAGATAAATCACTTGACCTATGTGGGCTTCTGTTTCCCTATCTGTAAAATGAAAGGTTTGACAGTAGTATGGTTGCTGGAATGTCTTCAAGCTTTAATATTCCATCATTCAAATTCTGCATGTACTGTTTCAGATCCTTTTTTCCCTGTGTATTAATTGCATGCAGATTATCTAAATATCCATAGATGTTTAACTGTAGACTTTGTCTTAGTTAGCTAGGGCTGCCATAACAAAATACCACAGACTTTATGGCTTAAACAACAGAAATTTATTTTCCCTCAGTTCTAGAGGCTGAAAAGTCCAAGATCAAGCTGCTGGGTGACTCAGTTCCTGGTACGGACCCTCTTCCTAGCTGTAGATGACCACCTACCTTCTCACTGTATTTTCACATGGCCTTTCCTTGGTACTTGTCTGTGGAGAGAGAGATCCCTCTCTCCCTCTCTTCCTCATCTTATAAAGCCACCAATCCTGTAAAGTCAGAGCCCTAACCATATGAGCTCATTTAACTATAACTATCTCCTTAGAGCTCTGTCTCCAAATATAGTCACATTGGGGGTTAGGGGTTCAACATATGAATTTTGGAAGGATACAGTTCAGTCCATAGCAGTTCTCCCAGAATTTCATTTCACTCTAGACATTCTCTTCATTCCAGATGGTTTGTACTCACTATCTTCCTTTTTTAGATTAAAAAGGAAGAAAATACTAACATTTCATGAGCTTTCTAAATTAATAAGAGAAATAATAAATATATAAAAGAATAGAACATTTTGATGGAATTTTCCCCAAGATTTTATTAGGACACTTAGGAACATACAGAGAAGTTGATAAAAGTTTACAGTGAACACCTGTATACCTACCACCTATATCGACAGTTAATATTTTATTTGTCTTTTTTTTTTGGTCACTAATCTGTCCATTCTCCATCAACCATCTTTTTTTTCCTGGAATGAATCTTTTATTTTTTATTGTAAAATATACATAATAAAAAATTTACCAGTGTAACCATTTTTAAGTGTACATTCAGTGGAATTCAGTACATTCACAGTGTTGTACAACCACCACCACTATCCATTTTCAGAAATATTTTATCATCCCAAACAGAAACTCTGTACCCATTAAGCAATAACAACCCATTCTTTCCTCCCCAACCCCAATCCCTAATAGCCTCTATCGACTTTCTATCTATAAGAATTTGCCTATTCTAGATACATCATATAAATGGAATTATATGATATGTGGTCTCTTGTGTCTGGCTTATTTCACTCATAATATTTTCAAGGTTTATACTTATTGTAATGTGTATCAGAATTTTGTTCCCTTTTATGGTTGAATAATCTTCCATCATAAACCACATTTGTTTTAGTCAATTGATTCTTGGGTTATTTTCATCTATTGGCTATTGTGAATAATGTGGCCGTGAATATTGGTGTACCAGTATCTGAGTTCCTGCTTTCAGTTATTTTGATTAGACACCTAGAAGTAGAATTTCTGTATCAGATGGTCATTTTATGTTTAACTTTCTGAAGAACCACCGAACTGTTTTCCACAGCAGCTGTACCATTTTATTTTTTATTTCTTTTTTTGACTTCTTAAGAGGTCTTCTTCTTTTTATTATTATACTTTAAGTTCTGGGATACATGTGCAGAATGTACAGGTTTGTTACATAGGTATACATGTGCCATGGTGGTTTCCTGCACCCATCAACCCGTCATCTACATTAGGTATTTCTCCTAATGTTACCCCTCCCCTAGTCCCCCAACCCCGACAGGCCCCAGTGTGTGATGTTCCCCTTCCTGTGTCCTTGTGTTCTTATTGTTCAACTCCGACTTGCAGTGTTTGGTTTTCTGTTCCTGTGTTGGTTTGCTGAGAATGATAGTTTCTAGCTTCATCCATGTCCCTGCAAAGGACATGAACTCATCCTGTTTTATGGCTGCATAGTATTCCATGTGTGCCACATTTTCTTTTTTTTTTATTATTATTATTATTATACTTTAAGTTTTAGGGTACATGTGCACAATGTGCAGGTTAGTTACATATGCATACATGTGCCATGCTGGTGTGCTGCACCCATTAACTCGTCATTTAGCATTAGGTACGTCTCCTAATGCTATCCCTCCCCCCTCCCCCACCCCACAACAGTCCCCACAGTGTGATGTTCCCCTTCCTGTGTCCATGTGTTCTCATTGTTCAATTCCCACCTATGAGTGAGAATATGCGGTGTCTGGTTTTTTGTTCTGGCGATAGTTTACTGAGAATGATGATTTCCAATTTCATCCATGTCCCTACAAAGGACATGAACTCATCATTTTTAATGGCTGCACAGTATTCCATGGTATGTATGTGCCACATTTTCTTAATCCAGTCTATCATTGTTGGACATTTGGGTTGGTTCCAAGTCTTTGCTATTGTGAATAATGCCGCAATAAACATATGTGTGCATGTGTCTTTATAGCAGCATGATTTATAGTCCTTTGGGTATATACCCAGTAATGGGATGGCTGGGTCAAATGGTATTTCTAGTTCTAGATCCCTGAGGAATCGCCACACTGACTTCCACAATGGTTGAACCAGTTTACAGTCCCACCAGCAGTGTAAAAGTGTTCCTATTTCTCCACATCCTCTCCAGCACGTGTTGCTTCCTGACTTTTTAATGATCGCCATTCTAACTGGTGTGAGATGGTATCTCATTGTGGTTTTGATTTGCATTTCTCTGATGGCCAGTGATGGTGAGCATTGTTTCATGTGTTTTTGGCTGCATAAATGTCTTCTTTTGAGAAGTGTCTGTTCATGTCCGCCCACTTTTTGATGGGGTTGTTTGTTTTTTTCTTGTAAATTTGTTGGAGTTCATTGTAGATTCTGGATATTAGCCCTTTGTCAGATAAGTAGGTTGCGAAAATTTTCTCCCATTTTGTAGGTTGCCTGTTCACTCTGATGGTAGTTTCTTTTGCTGTGCAGAAGCTCTTTAGTTTAATTAGATCCCATTTGTCAATTTTGTCTTTGGTTGCCATTGCTTTTGGTGTTTTAGACATGAAGTCCTTGCCCATGCCTATGTCCTGAATAGTAATGCCTAGGTTTTCTTCTAGGGTTTTTATGGTTTTAGGTCTAACGTTTAAGTCTTTAATCCATCTTGAATTAATTTTTGTATAAGGCGTAAGGAAGGCATCCAGTTTCAGCTTTCTACATGTGGCTAGCCAGTTTTCCCAGCACCATTTATTAAATAGGGATTCCTTTCCCCATTGCTTATTTTTCTCAGGTTTGTCAAAGATCAGATAGTTGCAGATATGCGGTGTTATTTCTGAGGGCTCTGTTCCATTGATGTATATCTCTGTTTTGGTACCAGTACCATGCTGTTTTGGTTACTGTAGCCTTGTAGTATAGTTTGAAGTCAGGTAGCGTGATGCCTCCAACTTTGTTCTTTTGGCTTAGGATTGACTTGGTGATGCGGGCTCTGTTTTGGTTCCATATGAACTTTAAAGTAGTGTTTTCCAATTCTGTGAAGAAAGTCATTGGTAGCTTGATGGGGATGGCATTGAATCTATAAATTACCTTGGACAGTATGGCCATTTTCACAATATTGATTCTTCCTACCCATGAGCATGGAATGTTATTCCATTTGTTTGTATCCTCTTTTATTTCATTGAGCAGTGGTTTGTAGTTCTCCTTGAAGAGGTCCTTCACATCCCTTGTAAGTTGGATTCCTAGGTATTTTATTCTCTTTGAAGCAATTGTGCATGGGAGTTCACTCATGATTTGGCTCTCTGTTTGTCTGTTGTTGGTGTATAAGAATGCTTGTGATTTTTATACATTGATTTTGTATCCTGAGACTTTGCTGAAGTCGCTTATCAGCTTAAGGAGATTTTGGGCTGAGACGATGGGGTTTTCTAGATATACAATCATGTCATCTGCAAACAGGGACAATTTGACTTCTTCTTTTCCTAATTGAATACCCTTTATTTCCTTCTCCTGCCCAAATGCCCTGGCCAGAACTTCCAACACTATGTTGAATAGGAGTGGTGAGAGAGGGCATCCCTGTCTTGTGCCAGTTTTCAAAGGGAATGCTTCCAGTTTTTGCCCATTCAGTATGATATTGGCTGTGGGTTTGTCATAGATAGCTCTTGTTATTTTGTGATAGGTCCCATCAATACCTAATTTATTGAGAGTTTTTAGCATGAAGGGTTGTTGAATTTTGTCAAAGGCCTTTTCTGCATCTATTGAGGTAATCATGTGGTTTTTGTCTTTGGTTCTATTTATATGCTGGATTACTTTTATTGATTTGCGTATGTTGAACCAGCCTTGCATCCCAGGGATGAAGCCCACTTGATCATGGTGGATAAGCTTTTTGATGTGCTGCTGGATTCGGTTTGCCAGTATTTTATTGAGGATTTTTGCATCAATGTTCATCAAGGATATTGGTCTAAAATTCTCTTTTTTTGTTGTGTCTCTGCCCGGCTTTGGTATCAGGATGATGCTGGCCTCATAAAATGAGTCAGGGAGGATTCCCTCTTTTTCTGTTGATTGGAATAGTTTCAGAAGGAATGGTACCAATTCCTCCTTGTACCTCTGATAGAATTCGGCTGTGAATCCTTCTGGTCCTGGACACTTTTTGGTTGGTAAGCCATTGATTATTGCCACAATTTCAGAGCCTCTTATTGGTCTATTCAGAGATTCAACTTCTTCCTGGTTTAGTCTTGGGAGGGTGTATGTGTCCAGGAATTTATCCATTCTAGATTTTCTAGTTTATTTGTGTAGAGGTGTTTGTAGTATTCTCTGATGGTAGTTTGTATTTCTGTGGGATCGGTGGTGATATCCCCTTTATCATTTTTTATTGCCTCTATTTGGTTCTTCTCTCTTTTCTTCTTTATTAGTCTTGCTAGCAGTCTATCAATTTTGTTGATCCTTTCAAAAAACCAGCTCCTGGATTCATTAATTTTTTGAAGGGTTTTTTGTGTCTCTATTTCCTTCAGTTCTGCTCTGATTTTAGTTATTTCTTGCCTTCTGCTAGCTTTTGAATGTGTTTGCTCTTGCTTTTCTAGTTCTTTTAATTGTGATGTTAGGGTGTCAATTTTGGATCTTTCCTGCTTTCTCTTGTGGGCATTTAGTGCTATAAATTTCCCTCTACACACTGCTTTGAATGTGTCCCAGAGATTCTGGTATGTTGTGTCTTTGTTCTTGTTGGTTTCAAAGGACATCTTTATTTCTGCCTTCATTTCATTATGTACCCAGTAGTCATTCAGGAGCAGGTTGTTCAGTTTCCATGTACTTGAGCACTTTTGAGTGAGTTTCTTAATCCTGAGTTCTAGTTTGATTGCACTGTGGTCTGAGAGACAGTTTGTTATAATTTCTGTTCTTTTACATTTGCTGAGGAGAGCTTTATTTCCAACCGTGTGGTCAATTTTGGAGTAGGTGTGGTGTGGTGCTGAAAAAAATGTATATTCTGTTGATTTGCAGTGGGGAGTTCTGTAGATGTCTATTAGGTCAGCTTGGTGCAGAGCTGAGTTCAATTCCTGGATATCCTTGTTAACTTTCTGTCTCGTTGATGTGTCTAATGTTGACAGTGGGGTGTTAAAGTCTCCCATTATTATTGTGTGGGAGTCTAAGTCTCTTTGTTGGTCACACAGGACTTGCTTTATGAAACTGGGTGCTCCTGTCTTGGGTGCATATATATTTAGTATAGTTAGCTCTTCTTGTTGTATTGATCCCTTTACCATTATGTAATGGCCTTCTTTGTCTCTTTTGATCTTTGTTGGTTTAAAGTCTGTTTTATCAGAGACTAGGATTGCAACCCCTGCCTTTTTTTGTTTTCCATTAGCTTGGTAGATCTTCCTCCATCCTTTTATTTTGAGCTTCTGTGTGTCTCCGCATGTGAGATGGGTTTCCTGAATATAGCACACTGATGGGTCTTGACTCTTTATCCAATTTGCCAGTCTGTGTCTTTTAATTGGAGCATTTAGTCCATTTACATTTAAAGTTAATATTGTTATGTGTGAATTTGATCCTGTCATTATGATGTTAGCTGGTGATTTTGCTCGTTAGTTGATGCAGTTTCTTCCTAGCCTCGATGGTCTTTACAATTTGGCATGATTTTGCAGTGGCTGGTACCAGTTTTTCCTTTCCATGTTTAGTGCTTCCTTCAGGAGCTCTTTTAGGGCAGGCCTGGTGGTGACAAAATCTCTCAGCATTTGCTTGTCTGTAAAGGATTTTATTTCTCCTTCACTTCTGAAGCTTAGTTTGGCTGTATATGAAATTCTGGGTTGAAAGTTCTTTTCTTTAAGAATGTTGAATATTAGCCCCCACTCTCTTCTGGCTTGTGGAGTTTCTGGCGAGAGATCAGCTGTCAGTCTGATGGGCTTCCCTTTGTGGGTAACCCGACCTTTCTCTCTGGCTGCCCTTAACATTTTTTCCTTCATTTCAACTTTGGTGAATCTGACAATTATGTGTCTTGGAGTTGCTCTTCTCGAGGAGTATCTTTGTGGCGTTCTCTGTATTTCCTGAATCTGAACGTTGGCCTGCCTTGCTAGATTGGGGAAGTTCTCCTGGATAATATCCTGCAGAGTGTTTTCCAACTTGGTTCCATTCTCCCCCGTCACTTTCAGGAACACCAATCAGACTCAGATTTGGTCTTTTCACGTAGTCCCATATTTCTTGGAGGCATTGTTCGTTTCTTTTTATTCTTTTTTCTCTAAACTTCCCTTCTCACTTCATTTCATTCATTTCATCTTCCATCACTGATACCCTTTCTTCCAGTTGATCTAATCGGCTCCTGAGGCTTGTGCATTTTTCACGTAGTTCTCATGCCTTGGCTTTCAGCTCCATCAGCTCCTTTAAGCACTTCTGTGTATTGGTTATTCTAGTTATACATTCATCTAAATTTTTTTCAAAGTTTTCACCTTCTTTGCCTTTGGTTTGAATTTCCTCCTGTAGCTCGGAGTAGTTTGATCGTCTGAAGCCTTCTTCTCTCAACTCGTCAAAGTCATTCTCCGTCCGGCTTTGTTCCGTTGCTGGTGAGGAACTGTGTTCCTTTGGAGGAGGAGAGGTGCTCTGCTTTTTAGACTTTCCAGTTTTTCTGCTCTGTTTTTTCCCCATCTTTGTGGTTTTGTCTTCTTTTGGTCTTTGATAATGGTGATGTACAGATGGGTTTTTGCTGTGGATGTCCTTTCTGTTTGTTAGTTTTCCTTCTAACAGACAGGACCCTTAGCTGCAGGTCTGTTGGAGTTTGCTAGAGGTCCACTCCAGTCACTGTTTGCCTGGGTAACAGCAGCGGTGGCTGCAGAACAGCGGATTTTTGTGAACCGCGAATGCTGCTGTCTGATCGTTCCTCTGGAAGTTTTGTCTCAGAGGAGTACCCGGACGTGTGAGGTGTCAGTCTGCCCCTACTGGGGGTGCCTCGCAGTTAGGCTTCTCGGGGTCAGGTGTCAGGGACCCACTTGAGGAGGCAGTCTGCCCGTTCTCAGATCTCCAGCTGCATGCTGGGAGAACCACTGCTCTCTTCAAAGCTGTCAGACAGGGACATTTAAGTCTGCAGAGGTTACTGCTGTCTTTTTGTTTGTCTGTGCCCTGCCCGCAGAGGTGGAGCCTACAGAGGCAGGCAGGTCCCCTTGAGCTGTGGTGGGCTCCACCCAGTTCGAGCTTCCTGGCTGCTTTGTTTACCTAAGCAAGCCTGGGCAATGGCGGGTGCCCCTTCCCCAGCCTCACTGCCGCCTTGCAGTTTGATTTCAGACTGCTGTGCTAGCAATCAGCCAGACTCCGTGGGCGTAGGACCCTCCGAGCCAGGTGCAGGATATAATCTCCTGGTGCGCCGTTTTTTAAGCCCATTGGAAAAGCGCAGTATTAGGGTGGGAGTGACCCGATTTTCGAGGTGCCGTCTGTCACCCCTTTCTTTGACTAGGAAAGGGAACTCCCTGACCCCTTGCACTTCCCAAGTGAAGCAATGCCTCGCCCTGCTTCGGCTCGCCCACAGTGTGCTGCACCCACTGACCTGCGCCCACTGTCTGGCACTCCCTAGTGAGATGAACCCGGTACCTCAGATAGAAATGCAGAAATCACCCGTCTTCTGCATTGCTCATGCTGGGAGCTGTAGACCGGAGCTGTTCCTATTCGGCCATCTTGGCTCCTGATCCACATTTTCTTTATCCAGTCTATCATTGATAGGCATTTGGGTTGGTTCCAAGTCTTTGCTATTGTGAGTAGTGCTGCAGTAAACATATGTGTGCATGTGTTTTTATAATGGAATGATTTATAATCCTTTGGTATTTGCTGGAGCAAATGGTATTTCTGCTTCTAGATCCTGGAGGAATCGCCACACTGTCTTCCACAATGGTTGAACTGATTTACACTCCCACCAACGGTGTAAAAGCGTTCCTATTTCTTCACATCCTCTCCAGCATCTGTTGTTTCCTGACTTTTTAATGATCACCATTCTAACTGGCGTGAGATGGTATCTCATTATGGTTTGATTTGCATTTCTCTAATGACCAGTGATGATGAGCTTTTTTTCACGTTTGTTGGCCGCATAAATGTCTTCTTTTCAGAAGTATCTGTTCATATCCTTCGCCCACTTTTTGATGGTGTTGCTTTTTTCTTGTAAATTTGTTTAAGTTCCTTGTAGATTCTGGATATTAGCCCTTTGTCAAATGGATAGATTGCAAAAATTTTCACCCATTCTGTAGGTTGTCTGTTCACTCTGATGAGTTTCTTTCACTGTGCAGAAGCTCTTTAGTTTAATTAGATCCCATTTGTCAATTTTGGCTTTTGCTGTCATTGCTTTTGGTGTTTTAGTCATGAAGTCTTTGCCCATGCTTATGGGTATTGCCTAGGTTTTCTTCTAGGGTTTTTATGGTTTTAGGTCTTATGTTTAAGTTTTAATCCATCTTGAGTTAATTTTTGTATAAGGTGTAAGGAAGGGGTCCAGTTTCATTATTCTGCATATGGCTAGCCAGTTTTCCCAACACCATTTATTAAATAGGGAATCCTTTCCCCATTGCTTGTTTTTGTCAGGTTTGCCAAAGATCAGATAGTTGTAGATGTGTGGTGTGTTATTTCTGAGGCCTCTGTTCTGTTCCATTGGTCTGTATATCTGTTTTGGTACTAGTACCATGCTTTTTGGTTACTGTAGCCTTGTAGTATAGTTACAATTTTGATACCTCTAGCTTTGTTCTTTTTGCTTAGGACTGTCTTAGCTATATGAGCTCTTTTTTGATTCCATATGAAATTTAAAGTAGTTTTATCTAATTGTATGAAGAAAGTCAATGGTAGCTTGATTGGGGACAGCATCAAATCTGTAAATTACTTTGGGGCAGTATGGCCATTTTCATGATATTGATTATTCCCATCCATAAGCATGGAATGTTTTTCCATTTGTTTGTGTCCTCTCTTATTTTCTTGAGCAGTGGTTTGTAGTTCTCCTTTAGGAGGTCCTTCACATCCCTTGTAAGTTGTATTCCTAGGTATTTTATTCTCTTTGTAGCAATTGTGAATGGGAGTTCACTCATGATTTGGCTCTGTGTTTGTGTATAGGAATGCTTGTGATTTTTGCACATTGATTTTGCATCCTGAGACTTTGCTGAAGTTGCTTATCAGCTTAAGGAGATTTTGGGCTGAGATGATTGAGTTTTCTAAATATACAATCATGTCACCTGCAAACAGAGACAATTTGACTTCCTCTTTTCCTATTTGAATGCCATTTATTTCTTTCTCTTGCCTGATTGCCCTGGCCAGAACTTCAAATACTGTGTTGAATAGGAGTGGTGAGAGAGGCCATCCTTGTCTTGCACTGGTTTTAAGAAGGAATGCTTCCAGCTTTTGCCTATTCAGTATGATATTGGCTGTGGATTTGTCATAAACAGCTCTTATTATTTTGAGATACGTTCCATCAATACCTAGTTTATTGAGAGTTTTTAGCATGAAGGAGTGTTGAATTTTATCGAAGGCCTTTTCTGCATCTATTGAGATGATCATTTGGTTTTTGTCATTGGTTCTGTTTATGTGATGGATTACGTTTATTGATTTGCATAAGTTGAATCAGCCTTGCATCCCAGGGATGAAGCCAACGTGATCGTGGTGGATAAGCTTTTTAATGTGCTGCTGGATCCGGTTTGCCAGTATTTTATTGAGGATTTTTGCATTGATGTTCATCAGGGATATTGGCCTGAAATTTTCTTTATTTGTTGTGTCTCTTCCAGGTTTTGGTATCAGGATGATGCTGGCCTCATAAAATGATTTAAGGAGGAGTCCCTCTTTTTCTATTGTTTGGAATAGTTTCAGAAGGAATGTTACCAATTCCTCCTTGTACCTCTGGTAGAATTCGGCTGTGAATCCATCTGGTCCTGGACTCTTTTTGGTTGGTAGGCTATTAATTACTGCCTCAATTTCAGAACTTGTTATTGATATAATCAGGGATTGTACTTCTTCTTAGTTTAGTCTTGGGAGGGTGTATGTGTCCAGCAATTTATCCATTTCTTCTGGATTTTCTAGTTTATTTGCGTAGAGGTGTTTATAGTTTTCTCTGATGGTAGTTTGTATTTATGTGGGATCCGTGGTAATATCACCTTTATCATTTTTTATTGTGTCTATTTGATTCTTCTGTCTTTTATTCTTTATTAGTCTTGCTAGCAGTCTATTTTGTTAATCTTTTCAAAAGAACCAGCTCCTGGATTCATTGATTTTTTTGAAGGGTTTTTCGTGTCTCTGTCTCCTTCACTTCTGCTCTGATCTTAGTTATGTCTTGGCTTCTGCTAGCTTTTGAATGTGTTTGCTCTTGCTTCTCTAGTTCTTTTAGTTGTGATGTTAGGGTGTCGATTTTGGATCTTTCCCACTTTCTCCTGTGGGCATTTTAGTGCTATAAATTTCCCTCTAATCACTGCTTTAGCTGTGTCCCAGAGATTCTTGTACGTCATGTCTTAGTTCTCATTGGCTTCGAAGAACTTATTTACTTCTGCCTTAATTTTATTATTTACCCAGTAGTCATTCAGGAGCAGGTTGTTCAGTTTCTATGTAGCTGTGCAGTTTTTAGTGAGTTTCTTAATCCTGAGTTCTAATTTGATTGCACTGTGGTCTGAGAGGCTGTTTATGATTTCCGTTCTCTTGCATTTGCTGAGGAGTGTTTGACTTCCAATAATGTGATCAATTTTAGAATAAGTGCAATGTGGTGCTGAGAAGAATGTATATTCTGTTGATTTGGGGTGGAGAGTTCTGTAGATATCTATTAGGTCCACTTGGTCCAGAGCTGAGTTCAAGTCCTGAATAGCCTTGTTAATTTTCTGTCTTGTTGATCTGTCTAATATTGACAGTGGGGTGTTAAAGTCTCCCACTATTATTGTGTGGGAGTCTAAGTCTCTTTGTAGATCTCTAAGAACTTGCTTTATGAATCTGGGTGCTCCAGTATTGAGTGCATATATATTTAGGATAGTTAGCTCTTCTTGTTGCATTGATCCCTTTACCATTATGTAATGGCCTTCTTTGTCTCTTTTGATCTTTGTTAGTTAAAGTCTGTTTTATCAAACTAGGATTGCAACCCCTGCTTTTTTTTGCTTTCCATTTGCTTGGTAAATATTCCTCCATCCCTTTATTTTGAGCCTTTTTGTGTCTTTGCACATGAGATGGGTCTCCTGAATACACCACACCAATGGGTCTTATCCAATGTGCCAGTCTGTGTCTTTTAATTGGGGCATTTAGCCTGTTTACATTAATATTATTATGTGTGAATTTGATCTGGTCATTATGATGCCAGCTGGTTATTTTGCCCATTAGTTGATGATGGTCTTTAGAATTTGGTATGTTTTTGCAATGGCTGGTACTGGTTGTTCCTTTCCATATTTAGTGCTTCCTTCAGGAGCTCTTGTAACGTAGGCCTGGTGGTGACAAAATCAGCATTTGATTGTCCGTAAAGGATTTTATTTTTCCTTCACTTATGAAGCTTAGTTTGGCTGGATATGAAATTCTGGGTTGAAAATTCTTTTCTTTAAGAATGTTGAATATTGGCCCCCACTCTCTTCTGGCTTGTAGGGTTTCTGCAGAGAGATCTGCTGTTAGTCTGATGGGCTTCCCTTTGTCGGTAACCCTTTCTTACTCTCTGGCTGCCCTTAATATTTTTTACTTCATTTCAACCTTGGTGAATCTGATGATTATGTGTCTTGAAGTTGCTCTTCTAAAGGAATATCTTTGTGGTGTTCTCTGTATTTCCAGAATTTGAATGTTGGCCTGCCTTGCTAGGCTGGGGAAGTTCTCCTGGATAATATCCTGCAGAGTGTTTTCCAACTTGGTTCCATTCTCCCCGTCACTTTCAGGTACACCAATCAAGTGTAGGTTTGGTCTTTTCACATAGTCCCATATTTCTTGGAGGCTTTGTTCACTCCTTTTCATTCTTTTTTCTCTAATGTTGTCTTCACACTTTATTTCTTCAAGTTGATCTTCAATCTCTGATATCCTTTCTTCCGCTTGATCGATTCGGCTACTGATACTTGTGAATGCTTCATGAAGTTCTCATGCTGTGTTTTTCAGCTCTATCAGGTCATTTATATTCTTCTCTAAACTGGTTATTCTAGACAGCAATTCCTCTAACCTTTTTTCAGGGTTCTCAGCTTTCTTGCTTTGGGTTGGAATATGCTCCTTTAGCTCGGAGAAGTTTGTTATTACCCACCTTCTGAAGCCTACTTCTGTCAGTTCGTCAAACTCATTCTCCATCCAGTTTTGTTCCCTTGCTGGCGAGGAGTTGTGATTTTTTGGAGAAGAGGCATTCTGGTTTTTGGAATTTTCAGCCTTTTTGCTCTACTTTTTTCTCATCTTCGTGGATTTATTTACCTCTGGTCTTTGATTTTGGTGACCTTCAGATGGGGCTTTTGAGTGGATGTCCTTTTTGTTGATGTTGATGCTATTCCTTTGTGTTTGTTCATTTTCCTTCTAACAGTCAGGCCCCTCTGCTGCAGGTCTGCTGGAGTATGCTGGAGGTCCACTCCAGACCCTGTTTGCCTGGGTATCACCAGCAGAGGCTGCAGAACAGCAAAGATTGCTGCCTGTTCCTTCCTCTGGAAGCTTCATCCCAGTGGGGCACCCGCCAGATGCCAGCCAGAACTCTCCTGTATGAGGTGTCTGTCAGCCCCTACTGGGAGTTGTCTCCAAGTCAGGAGGCATGGGGGTCAGGGCCCCACTTGAGGAGGCAGCCTGTCCCTTGGCAGAGCTCGAGTGCTGTGCTGGGAGATCCACTGCTCTCTTCAGAACCAGCAGGCAGGAATATTTATGTCTGCTGAAGCTGTGCCCACATCCACCCCTTCCCCTAGATGCTCTGTCCCAGGAAGATGGGAGCTTTATCTGTAAGCCCCTGACTGGGGCTGCTGCCTTTCTTTCAGAGATGCCCTGCCCAGAGAGGAGGAATCTAGACAGGCAGACTGGCCACAGCAGCTTAGCCAAGCTGCAGTGGGCTCTGCCCAGTTCAAAGTTCCAGGCAGCTTTGCTTACACTGTGAGGGGAACATTGCCTACTCAAGCCTCAGTAATGGTGGACGCCCCTCCCACCACCAAGCTCGAATGTCCCAGCTCGACTTCAGACTGCTGTGCTGGCAGCAAGAATTTCAAGCCAGTGGATCTTAGCTTGCTGGGCTCCATGGGGGTGGGATTTGCTGAGCTAGACCACTTGGCTCCCTGGCTTCAGCCCCCTTTCCAGGGCAGTGAATGGTTCTGTCTCACTGGCATTCCAGGTGTCACTGGGGTATTAAAACAAACTCCTGGAGCTAGCTCGGTGTCTGCCCAAACAGCTGCCCAGTTTTGTGCTTGAAACCCAGGGCCCTGGTGATGTAGGTACCCAAGGGAATCTCTTGGTCTGAGGGTTGCGAAGACCCTAGGAAAAGCATAGTTATCTGGGCTGGAATGCATCATTCCTCACAGCATGGTCCCTCACGGCTTCCCTTGGCTAAGGGAGGGAGTTCCCTGACCCCTTGCTATTCCTGGTGAGGGAACGCCCCACCCTGCTTCGGCTTGCCCTCCGTGGGCTGCACCCACTGTCTAACCAGTCCCAATGAGATAAGCTGGGTACCTCAGCTGGAAATGCAGAAATCACCCGCCTTCTTCATTAATCTCACTGGGAGCTGTAGACCAGAGTGGTTCCTATTCAGCCATCTTGCCATCCACACCCGAGAGCAGCTATACCATTTTATATTACTACGAGCAATGCGTAAGTGTTCCAGTTTCTCCACAACCTAACCAATGGATGAAATATTTTTAAGCAAGGGATTCACACACATACACAGTAACTTCAACACGATCTTCTATTTCTCAAAACTCTCATTAGTTTAAAAAAAAAAAGGCTTTAGTGCAAGCCCAAATATCTCCAAAAAAAGGCCTATCTCACGATTTATGATAGGAGATTAGAAACATACCCACAAATGGCACGTTGTTTTTAAAAGAGTTTAGGTTCCATTAAACGTTACAAATACATGTATCTTCTCATCATAAGCATCACATTTGATGATGGACTTTGCTTCAAACAGTGTCAAAATCAGTAATGCATCACATTTTAGAAAACAATTTCAAATAAAACCTTGTTACAACACTGCTCTATATTACTTTATCACTATTTAGGATCATACCTAATTGTTTACAACAGCATATGAATTACTTAGGATTTGTTAGACTTAAAAGCAAAATGCTGGCAGCTAGGGTTCAGTGTTTGGCCCATGTTAGCATTCTGTCCTGGAAGGACTCCTTTAGTTGGGTGTCAAAATAGCTTTAATGCTTCACCAAATGAAGAAACGGCATATCATACATTTTATATTAAATTCCTTTTAGACATACTAAGGAATTTACAAACAGGATCAGGTTCCAGGATGGAAAGCACATCAGGCTTATTCAAAGAACCTTTGGAAGTCAATAAGGAGAAAAATACCAACATCACAGTGCAGAACTGGAGAACAAACACCGACAATTCATCTAAAAATATGAATGGCAGACTTCACTGATAATGGAATTCTATGAAAACAATGATAAACCAATGTCTACATCACTGACAAAAAAAAATTGAACATAATGTTTGATGCAGGAGAGGTTTGCATGAGAAATGCAATCTTAGGTCTGTTTAAAAATGTATAGATATATAGATACACACACACATAAACTGTTCCTACCCTTTAGCCATGCTGAAGAAGTAAATGGGATTGAATAATTTTCATTTAAGGGTTTTCCTGGTAGTACACTTATGTTAGTGAAAATGTGGAAATAATCTGCTTACCTGTAAGGACACACCTGAATAATTTGTGTTACAAACTGGGATTTTTTTTTTTTTTTTTTTGAGACTGAGTCTCACTCTGTCACCAAGGCTGGAGTGCAGTGGCACTATCGCAGCTCACTGCAACCTCTGCCTCTGGGGTTCAAGTGATTCTGCTGCCTCAGTCTCCAAAGTAGCTAGGACTACAGGCATGCGCCACCACGCCTGGCTAATTTTTTTGTGCTTTTAGTAGAGACAGGGTTTCACCATGTTGACCAGACTGGTCTTGAACTCCTGACCTCAGGTGATCTGCCTGCTTCAGCCTCCCAAAGTGCTGGGATTACAGGCATGATCCACCGTGCCCAGCCCATGCACTGGGATATTAAGTAGCCATTAAAATAACATTTTGTAAAATGTTGAATGGCTTGGGAAAATGCTCAGCATATTGTAAGGAGTAAAGAAGGCTACATTATTTGACATAGGATAAGATATTTAAAAGCAAATTTATAGAAATACACTAGACATAACTGTCAAATCCTTTTTCCAGTTTCCTTGAGGTATAACCTACCCCATCTTTTTAATGCATTTCTAAGTAGGTTACAAACATCAGCATTTAAGGATGCATGTTATTAACTAATGTTCAGTTTTTTTCTTTTAAGATAAAATTTTCATACAATGTCATACACTTTTTTTTTCTTTTTCTTTTTTTTTTTTTTCAATTGAAGATCTTTATTTTTATTGTAGGCTTTTACAACTATGTATTTTAAGCACAGTTTTGCTTTTGTGTTTTCATTTTCATTCATCTCAAAGTATTTTCTAATTTCCCTTGATGTTTCTCCTTTGATCCATTGGTTATTTAAGAGTATGTTGTTTAATTTTTTTTTTAATTTTTTTTTTAAATTATACTTTAAGTTTTAGGGTACATGTGCACATTGTGCAGGTTAGTTACATATGTATACATGTGCCATGCTGGTGCGCTGCACCCACTAACGTATCATCTAGCATTAGGTATATCTCCCAATGCTATCCCTCCCCCCTCCCCCGACCCCACCACAGTCCACAGAGTATGATATTCCCCTTCCAGTGTCCATGTGATCTCATTGTTCAATTCCCACCTATGAGTGAGAATATGCGGTGTTTGGTTTTTTGTTCTTGCGATAGTTTACTGAGAATGATGGTTTCCAATTTCATCCATGTCCCTACAAAGGACATGAACTCATCATTTTTTATGGCTGCATAGTATTCCATGGTGTATATGTGCCACATTTTCTTAATCCAGTCTATCATTGTTGGACATTTGGGTTGGTTCCAAGTCTTTGCTATCGTGAATAATGCCGCAATAAACATACGTGTGCATGTGTCTTTATAGCAGCATGATTTATAGTCATTTGGGTATATACCCAGTAATGGGATGGCTGGGTCAAATGGTATTTCTAGTTCAAGATCCCTGAGGAATCGCCACACTGACTTCCACAATGGTTGAACTACTTTACAGTCCCACCAACAGTGTAAAAGTGTTCCTATTTCTCCACATCCTCTCCAGCACCTGTTGTTTCCTGACTTTTTAATGATTGCCATTCTAACTGGTGTGAGATGATATCTCATAGTGGTTTTGATTTGCATTTCTCTGATGGCCAGTGATGATGAGCATTTTTTCATGTGTTTTTTGGCTGCATAAATGTCTTCTTTTGAGAAGTGTCTGTTCATGTCCTTCACCCACTTTTTGATGGGGTTGTTTGTTTTTTTCTTGTAAATTTGTTTGAGTTCATTGTAGATTCTGGATATTAGCCCTTTGTCAGATGAGTAGGTTGCAAAAATTTTCTCCCATGTTGTAGGTTGCCTGTTCACTCTGATGGTAGTTTCTTTTGCTGTGCAGAAGCTCTTTAGTTTAATTAGATCCCATTTGTCAATTTTGGCTTTTGTTGCCATTGCTTTTGGTGTTTTGGACATGAAGTCCTTGCCCACGCCTATGTCCTGAATGGTAATGCCTAGGTTTTCTTCTAGGGTTTTTATGGTTTTAGGTCTAACGTTTAAATCTTTAATCCATCTTGAATTAATTTTTGTATAAGGTGTAAGGAAGGGATCCAGTTTCAGCTTTCTACATATGGCTAGCCAGTTTTCCCAGCACCATTTATTAAATAGGGAATCCTTTCCCCATTGCTTGTTTTTCTCAGGTTTGTCAAAGATCAGATAGTTGTAGATATGCGGCATTATTTCTGAGGGCTCTGTTCTGTTCCATTGATGTATATCTCTGTTTTGGTACCAGTACCATGCTGTTTTGGTTACTGTAGCCTTGTAGTATAGTTTGAAGTCAGGTAGTGTGATGCCTCCAGCTTTGTTCTTTTGGCTTAGGATTGACTTGGCGATGCGGGCTCTTTTTTGGTTCCATATGAACTTTAAAGTAGTTTTTTCCAATTCTGTGAAGAAAGTCATTGGTAGCTTGATGGGGATGGCATTGAATCTGTAAATTACCTTGGGCAGTATGGCCATTTTCACGATATTGATTCTTCCTACCCATGAGCATGGAATGTTCTTCCATTTGTTTGTGTCCTCTTTTATTTCCTTGAGCAGTGGTTTGTAGTTCTCCTTGAAGAGGTCCTTCACATCCCTTGTAAGTTGGATTCCTAGGTATTTTATTCTCTTTGAAGCAATTGTGAATGGGAGTTCACTCGTGATTTGCCTCTCTGTTTGTCTGTTGTTGGTGTATAAGAATGCTTGTGATTTTTGTACATTGATTTTGTATCCTGAGACTTTGCTGAAGTTGCTTATCAGCTTAAGGAGATTTTGGGCTGAGACGATGGGGTTTTCTAGATAAACAATCATGTCGTCTGCAAACAGGGACAATTTGACTTCCTCTTTTCCTAATTGAATACCCTTTATTTCCTTCTCCTGCCTGATTGCCCTGGCCAGAACTTCCAACACTATGTTGAATAGGAGTGGTGAGAGAGGGCATCCCTGTCTTGTGCCATTTTTCAAAGGGAATGCTTCCAGTTTTTGCCCATTCAGTATGATATTGGCTGTGGGTTTGTCATAGATAGCTCTTATTATTTTGAAATACGTCCCATCAATACCTAATTTATTGAGAGTTTTTAGCATGAAGGGTTGTTGAATTTTGTCAAAGGCTTTTTCTGCATCTATTGAGATAATCATGTGGTTTTTGTCTTTGGTTCTGTTGATATGCTGGATTACATTTATTGATTTGCGTATATTGAACCAGCCTTGCATCCCAGGGATGAAGCCCACTTGATCATGGTGGATAAGCTTTTTGATGTGCTGCTGGATTTGGTTTGCCAGTATTTTATTGAGGATTTTTGCATCAATGTTCATCAAGGATATTGGTCTAAAATTCTCTTTTTTGGTTGTGTCTCTGCCCGGCTTTGGTATCAGAATGATGCTGGCCTCATAAAATGAGTTAGGGAGGATTCCCTCTTTTTCTATTGATTGGAATAGTTTCAGAAGGAATGGTACCAGTTCCTCCTTGTACCTCTGGTAGAATTCGGCTGTGAATCCATCTGGTCCTGGACTCTTTTTGGTTGGTAAACTATTGATTATTGCCACAATTTCAGAGCCTGTTATTGGTCTATTCAGAGATTCAACTTCTTCCTGGTTTAGTCTTCGGAGAGTGTATGTGTCGAGGAATGTATCCATTTCTTCTAGATTTTCTAGTTTATTTGCATAGAGGTGTTTGTAGTATTCTCTGATGGTAGTTTGTATTTCTGTGGGATCGGTGGTGATATCCCCTTTACCATTTTTTATTGTGTCTATTTGATTCTTCTCTCTTTTTTTCTTTATTAGTCTTGCTAGCGGTCTATCAATTTTGTTGATCCTTTCAAAAAACCAGCTCCTGGATTCATTGATTTTTTGAAGGGTTTTTTGTGTCTCTATTTCCTTCAGTTCTGCTCTGATTTTAGTTATTTCTTGCCTTCTGCTAGCTTTTGAATGTGTTTGCTCTTGCTTTTCTAGTTCTTTTAATTGTGATGTTAGGGTGTCAATTTTGGATCTTTCCTGCTTTCTCTTGTGGGCATTTACTGCTATAAATTTCCCTCTACACACTGCTTTGAATGCGTCCCAGAGATTCTGGTATGTGGTGTCTTTGTTCTCGTTGGTTTCAAAGAACATCTTTATTTCTGCCTTCATTTCGTTATGTACCCAGTAGTCATTCAGGAGCAGATTGTTCAGTTTCCATGTAGTTGAGCGGCTTTGAGTGAGATTCTTAATCCTGAGTTCTAGTTTGATTGCACTGTGGTCTGAGAGATAGTTTGTTATAATTTCTGTTCTTTTACATTTGCTGAGGAGAGCTTTACTTCCAACTATGTGGTCAATTTTGGAATAGGTGTGGTGTGGTGCTGAAAAAAATGTATATTCTGTTGATTTGGGGTGGAGAGTTCTGTAGATGTCTATTAGGTCCGCTTGGTGCAGAGCTGAGTTCAATTCCTGGGTATCCTTGTTGACTTTCTGTCTCGTTGATCTGTCTAATGTTGACAGTGGGATGTTAAAGTCTCCCATTATTAATGTGTGGGAGTCTAAGTCTCTTTGTAGGTCACTCAGGACTTGCTTTATGAATCTGTGTGCTCCTGTATTGGGTGCATAAATATTTAGGATAGTTAGCTCCTCTTGTTGAATTGATCCCTTTACCATTATGTAATGGCCTTCTTTGTCTCTTTTGATCTTTGTTGGTTTAAAGTCTGTTTTATCAGAGACTAGGATTGCAACCCCTGCCTTTTTTTGTTTTCCATTGGCTTGGTAGATCTTCCTCCATCCTTTTATTTTGAGCCTATGTGTGTCTCTGCACGTGAGATGGGTTTCCTGAATACAGCACACTGATGGGTCTTGACTCTTTATCCAACTTGCCAGTCTGTGTCTTTTAATTGCAGAATTTAGTCCATTTATATTTAAAGTTAATATTGTTATGTTTGAATTTGATCCTGTCATTATGATGTTAGCTGGTGGTTTTGCTCGTTAGTTGATGCAGTTTCTTCCTAGCCTCGATGGTCTTTACATTTTGTCATGATTTTGCAGTGGCTGGTACCGGTTGTTCCTTTCCATGTTTAGCACTTCCTTCAGGAGCTCTTTTAGGGCAGGCCTGGTGGTGACAAAATCTCTCAGCATTTGCTTGTCTATAAAGTATTTTATTTCTCCTTCACTTATGAAGTTTAGTTTGGCTGGATATGAAATTCTGGGTTGAAAATTCTTTTCTTTAAGAATGTTGAATATTGGCCCCCACTCTCTTCTGGCTTGTAGGGTTTCTGCCGAGAGATCCGCTGTTAGTCTGATGGGCTTTCCTTTGAGGGTAACCCGACCTTTCTCTCTGGCTGCCCTTAACATTTTTTCCTTCATTTCAACTTTGGTGAATCTGACAATTATGTGTCTTGGAGTTGCTCTTCTCGAGGAGTATCTTTGTGGCGTTCTCTGTATTTCCTGAATCTGAACGTTGGCCTGCCTTGCTAGATTGGGGAAGTTCTCCTGGATAATATCCTGCAGAGTGTTTTCCAACTTGGTTCCATTCTCCACATCACTTTCAGGTACACCAATCAGACGTAGATTTGGTCTTTTCACATAGTCCCATATTTCTTGGAGGCTTTGCTCATTTCTTTTTATTCTTTTTTCTCTAAACTTCCCTTCTCGCTTCATTTCATTCATTTCATCTTCCATTGCTGATACCCTTTCTTCCAGTTGATCGCATCGGCTCCTGAGGCTTCTGCATTCTTCACGTAGTTCTCGAGCCTTGGTTTTCAGCTCCATCAGCTCCTTTAAGCACTTTTCTGTATTGGTTATTCTAGTTATACATTCTTCTAAATTTTTTTCAAAGTTTTCAACTTCTTTGCCTTTGGTTTGAATGTCCTCCCGTAGCTCAGAGTAATTTGATCGTCTGAAGCCTTCTTCTCTCAGCTCGTCAAAATCATTCTCCATCCAGCTTTGTTCCGTTGCTGGTGAGGAACTGCGTTCCTTTGGAGGAGGAGAGGCGCTCTGCGTTTTAGAGTTTCCAGTTTTTCTGTTCTGTTTTTTCCCCATCTTTGTGGTTTTATCTACTTTTGGTCTTTGATGATGGTGATGTACAGATGGGTTTTTGGTGTAGATGTCCTTTCTGGTTGTTAGTTTTCCTTCTAACAGACAGGACCCTCAGCTGCAGGTCTGTTGGAATACCCTGCCGTGTGAGGTGTCAGTGTGCCCCTGCTGGGGGGTGCCTCCCAGTTAGGCTGCTCGGGGGTCAGGGGTCAGGGACCCACTTGAGGAGGCAGTCTGCCCGTTCTCAGATCTCCAGCTGCGTGCTGGGAGAACCACTGCTCTCTTCAAAGCTGTCAGACAGGGACACTTAAGTCTGCAGAGGTTACTGCTGTCTTTTTGTTTGTCTGTGCCCTGCCCCCAGAGGTGGAGCCTACATAGGCAGGCAGGCCTCCTTGAGCTGTGGTGGGCTCCACCCAGTTCGAGCTTCCCGGCTGCTTTTTTTACCTAAGCAAGCCTGGGCAATGGCGGGCGCCCCTCCCCCAGCCTCGTTGCCGCCTTGCAGTTTGATCTCAGACTGCTGTGCTAGCAATCAGCGAGATTCCGTGGGCATAGGACCCTCTGAGCCAGGTGTGGGATATAGTCTCGTGGTGCGCCGTTTTTTAAGCCGGTCTGAAAAGCGCAATATTCGGGTGGGAGTGACCCGATTTTCCAGGTGCATCCGTCACCCCTTTCTTTGACTCGGAAAGGGAACTCCCTGACCCCTTGCGCTTCCCAGGTGAGGGAATGCCTCGCCCTGCTTCAGCTCGCGCAGGGTGCGCGCACACACTGGCCTGCGCCCACTCTCTGGCACTCCCTAGTGAGATGAACCCGGTACCTCAGATGGAAATGCAGAAATCACCCGTCTTCTGCGTCGCTCATGCTGGGAGCTGTAGACTGGAGCTGTTCCTATTCGGCCATCTTGGCTCCTCCCCCTTCTTTTTCTTTTTCTTTCTTTTTTTTTTTTTTTTTGAGACAGAGTCTCACTCTGTCACCCAGGCTGGAGTATAGTAGCACAGTCCCGGCTCGCTGCAGCCTCGACCTCCTGGGCTCAAGTGCTCATCTCACCTCAGCCTCCCAAGTAGCTGGGACTACAGGTGTGCACCACCACACACCTGGCTAATTTTTGTATTTTTCGTAGAGATGGAGTTTCACCGTGTTGCCCAGGCTGGTCTTGAGCTCCTGGCCTCAAGAGATCCTCCTGCCTCAGACTCACGAAGTGCTGGGATTACAGGCATGAACCACCACGCCTGGCCGACATACACAAATCTTAAGCATACTATGCTGATGAAACTCTTTTTGATCATCATTTTAACTCTTGCTGTGCTCTGTATACATGTTAATTGAAAGAGCTGTTTTGTGAGGAAAGAGGCACTGTTCCATTGGTAGAAGCTGTTTATAACTTGTTAGTTGTTGAAAGAGCCATTATTTGCCAGATCAAAGTTAAATCACTAAAAAGGACCAGGTTGGGAAGTGGATGAATGAAGAGAAATGTTGAAATTCTTTGGGGGAAAAAAAGCAAAATTGGCTGATAATTGGCAAAAGACTGGTTATAGGTGTTTGGGTACCTCATACACAACTTGCTTGTATAATTTGCTTTCTACTTTTGCTTTGTAAATTTAGAGGCAGGGAAATGAAAAGAGATATTGTTTCTCATCTCCACTATTCTCCCTAGAAATTCTTTCTTATCTAATACAGAGAGCCTCACATTGTCCTGACATGTTTGACACCTTGTTAAAGATTGATAGGTGAGTGAATGAGTGAAAATAAATGAATAGCTATTCTTAGCAGTCAGAAGGTACTTCCTAGGGACTTCCTAACTAGTGGTTATGAGATAATTATGCTATATCTTCCGGTGGACTGTGGCACAATGCTTTCAAGGAGTCTTAGAGCAAGGGATTCGGGGCAGGTTAGAAAAGAGCTTTCTGATTCATGGGTGTACTTGGTTTATATTTCTTTGCATTTAGGTAGGTAGGTAGAATTGGTTTAGGTTTTTTTGCATTTACATAGATAAGACACACAGATACACACATTGAAGTTGTCTGGGCATATTAGGAGTAATTACCTACATACGTGCTGATTTTCAGAACAGTTGCAATATCGTCTGTTTCAACCTACTGGGTTTTCTTAGTGGTTTATATCTCAGCCCTTGGTTCACTGCTCAGAGTTTCACCTCTGCCTCAGTGAGTCACCCAGCATTTAGCAGCATGCATGGCTATTTTTCTCGAGTCCCTTGAAATGAACTCCCAAGGAGTTGTTTTTGTAGAAGACAGTTGGTAAAGAAGGGCTTTTTCAGTATTGTCACAGCCTTTGGGGTGTGATATGCTATTTGTCTTTCCAAGGAGGCAGTCTTCAAAGAAAAAAAAAAAGACAAAGCAGCCTATACTCAGTGTTAAGAATTGCTGCTTACTTTTGATGTTTGGACAAGAGCTGGCACTGCTAGAGATGTTCTGCCTTTTGAGGCACAGCTCATGCCATCCATGTGAGCACAGAGTCTCATCAGCATTCACATCTTACCTGCTACTGGTCTCACACTGTGGAAATGGGTAATAGAAACAGAAACATCAGTGACATTTGGCTCTTTTATTCAGAGGAATCAAAAGTGACAAAGAGAAGCCAGGGTCAGCAGTAGGCAGTAGGTCCACCCATTGGGATAGCATAGCTATTGGGGAAATTGTCAGCACAGAGGCAAAACCATGGTATTCCGTGACTGCAGCAGGAGGTCTGCAGTTGTGACTTTAGCCAAGAAGCATTGGGAATCCAAGATGAGTTGACAAGGAATCTATCCTGATGTTTGTCTTTGGGACAAACATCAGGAAACACAGGAAGTAGTTGCTGTGATGAAGTCCAAGAAAACAGGCAGAGCTAAGGAGCTCCAAAGAGGGGAAGACAGGCAGGAATTGATAGGTGTGGGGACCCCCACAGGCAGAAATGGCACCTTCAAGACTCCCAGCAGCAGAGTCTTAGAGGGAATGGTGGAGCAGCGTTGGGTTGCCTAGCAGCTGAACAGAGTCCATAGCATGACAAAATGGACAAGACAGGACCTAAGCAGAGAAAGCCATATACTCGCAGATGACTACCTTGTCACAGAAGCATTATGAGACACAGCCTCATCCAGGCAGGTAGATGGTGACATCATCCTTAAAAGGCTGAAATGGATGGTTCCATCCTTAGAGACTTTTCTTTAAAAAGTATAATTATTGGGGCAAGAAAAACATGAACTTGGTTTTTAAATTTTACTTTACGTTTTCCTGGGGTTTTATTCTGTTTGCTTCCAGCATGGTCCAAATACCTACTTCAAAGCAAACATTCTAACAAGAACTTGTTAAGAGGAAGGGAAACCAGCTCCTGTGGCTTCTTGTACACCAGCTATGGGGGCACTCACAGAACCACGTTTGTGAGTTGAGTGTAAATGAATCCGAAACCTACAAATTAGATTTCCTTTGAAATACACATGGGTTTAAAACTTTAACGGGAAAAGAACTTGGCAAATCAAATCTGAGCATATTCAGTAAAACCTCACTAATTTGCACTAATGACCAAGAGATCCATTGAGAATTACTGGATTTTTGTGAGTGTGTTAGCATGGGAGAAAAAAAAAAAAATACCAAAATGGTTGAGAAGGTAGGGATGGGGGATAGAAAAAGAGAAGGAGGAGGAAAATCAAAGTTCTAGCATCAAACAAACATACTTTATGGTACAATGAAGAATGTATTTGAACGGTTACTGGAATGAAACTCAATAGCTTAATGAGTGCCTTGCTGTGGTACGCCTGCCCACTGGGGAGGCAGCCATGTCATAAGGCCTGCCTAAGCCAGCAGCTAATGTGCACTTAGGTAAAGAGGCCTTTGCTTTTTTGAAAGTTGAGGGGTTGTGGTTTTTGCAAGGGTGTGAACCAATGAGATTCTACTGTGTGTCATGCAGGTTTGTTATAGACTTGCACATGTAGGCTGTGATTCTAAGTCCGCATTGGGGATGGAATTGCTTATTACTGCTTAAAAAAAAGTGAAAACTTGCTAGAAAGAGACAGCAATTCTGACTAGCTGAATCTTTTTTAGATGTTAGCGAATCAATCATATCTATAGTAGAAGATGAAATTTAAAGCATTCTGAATTGAAGATTGAATATTTGGTAGCCCTTTATTGTGACATGAATTTTATTAAAAAAGGTGGGAGGCCGAGGCGGGAGGATCACTTGAGGTCAGGAGTTCGAAACCAGCCCGGCCAACATGTATCTACTAAAAATATGAAAATTAACTGACTGTGATGATGCCTGCCTGTAATCCCAGCTCCTCAGGAGACTGAGACAGGAGAATCACTTGAGCCCAGGAGGCGGAGGTTGCAGTGAGCTGAGATCACACCACTGCACTGCAACCTGGGTGACAGAGTGAGACTCCATTTCAAAAAAAAAAAAAAAGTGTATCTTCCTTTATAAGTAACTGTCTAAAAAGTTCTTTAAAGATTTAATTATTCGTGGCCCAAATTTCAGTAATCATAGTGGCTGTTTTTAATCCATTTACTTAAGAAATAGTTTTCTTCAGTTGTTAGTATTTTTACATGTGCAGTTAAAGGACAGTGATGTTTCCTTTCACTCTCCTTTCCATAATATCCGAGAATATCTAAAATTGTGATAGTCTTTATTACTATGGAATATGTCTTTACTAAATGTGCTATTCTTCTGACTTAAGCGCAACCCTTGGTAATGATTTGTGTTTACACTGATTTAAGTCACTCCTTAGACTTCCCTTACTGCAAGCTAATGTTTTACCAGCTGAAGAATAATTTAGAACTTCAACTCAAGTAGCCATTGAAGGCTGTGGGGGATAATAAATATGAATAGTCAGAGCTTTCTCTAGGATATAAGCTGAGGCAATGATTTCAGGTCTTTAACTGCTGCCCCTAGACCAGAAAAGGAGTTGTCACACCAGCTGCTGCAGAAAAAGACCAAACCTAATTTGACACACAGTAAAGCCTAAAAGGAGTTGGGCACTAGAAGGAGTTGCTTGTATAGAAGACAGTTGTAAAGCTTTATGTTTTTTTTTTTATTTTCCTAAGAGATGGATCTCAATATATATATATTACCTAAGAGATGGATCTCAATATATATATATATTACCTAAGAGATGGATCTCAACATATTACCTAGGCTGTCCTCAAATTCCTAGCCTCAAGTGATCCTCCTACCTGAACTTCCCAAGTAAGTGGGACTACAGGCGTGCACTGCTAAGCCGGGTTTGCTTTTGTCATTTTTAGTATTTTCTTTCTTTTTCCCCAGTTAAACAATAAAACATAATTCATGTGCCACCTCCCCCTCAAGTCATGGAGTAGAGAAGTAATGAATTTGGAGGATTCATTTATCCCATAGGAATCATACAAAAGTTATTCACTCTTTTCAAGCCCCCAGTTTGCCCCTGTGACTCTTAGACAGGCAATCTACTTTGCTTAAAAAAAAAAAAAAAAAAAAAGTCGATGTAGGCTTTCTAAATTATTTTCTTCCTCACCTCAACATTTCTGTAATTTAATTCCTGTTATCTCTCTTAGACCTGTTTCTGAGGAGAAAGTACTGATTAGTTTGTCAAGCAGAGCTCTTAAACTCCCCTCCCTCACTGCAAGTTCTCCCACTTGGCTTTCTGCTTCCTGTCTGTATTTTAGCAGACTCAGGTCTCCCCCATCTTGAGTCCTCTCCTTGGCAGTGCAGATGACTATTATTGTTACTGCCCTTTTACAGCAGAACTCTTTAGAAGATTGGAGAACATTCTACTTAATATATGTGATGTACCTCAAGTCCCTGCCTCTAAGGCTCCTGGTATGGTTTGGCTCTGTTTCCCCACTCAAATCTTATCTTGAATTTTACTCCCATAATTCCCACATATTGTAGGAGAGACCCAGTGGGAGATAATTGAATCATGGTGGTTTCTCCCATACTGTTCTTGTGATAGTGAATATGTTTCATAAGTTCTAATGGTTTGATAAGGGAAAACCTGTTTCATTTGGTGCTCATTCTCTCTCTTGCCTGCTGCAATGTAAGACATGCCTTTCACCTTTTGCCATGCTTGTGAGGCCTCCCCAGCCACGTGGAACTGTGAGTCCATTAAATCTCTTTTTCTTTGTAAATTACCCAGTCTTGGGTATGTCTTTATCAGCAGCATAAAAATGAAGTAATACAGTAAATGGGTACCAGGAGTGGGGTGCTGCTGAAAAGATACCTGAAAATGTGGAAGTGACTTTGGAACCTGAATAACAGACAGAAGTTGGAACAGTTTGGAGGGCTCAGAAGAAGACAGGAAAATGTAGGAAAGTTTGGAACTCTCTAGAGACTTGCTGAATGGCTTTGACCAAAATGGTGATAATGATATGGAGTGGACAGTGAAATCCACGCTGAGGTGGTCTCAGATGGAGATGAGGAACTTGTTGGGAACTGGAGCAAAGGTGACACTTGTTAGGTTTTAGCAAAGAGACTGGCAGCATTTTGCCCCTGCCCTAGAGACTTGTGGAACTTTCAACTTGAGAGAGATGATTTAAGGTATCTGGCAGAAGAAATTTCTAACCTGCAAAGTATTCAAGAAGTGACTTGGTGTGTTAAAGGCATTCGGTTTATAAGGGAAGCAGACATAAAAGTTTGCAGCCTGACAATGCGATATAAAAGAAGATCCCATTATATGAGGAGAAATTCAAGCCAGCTTTAGAAATTTTTATAAGTAACACAGAGCCAAATGTTAAGCCCCAAGACAATGGGGAAAATGTCTCCAGGGCATGTCAGAGGTCTTCATGGCAGCCCTTCCCATCATGGCCCGGAGGCCTAGGAGAAAAGAGTGTTTTTTTTGTGGGCTGGGCCCAGGGTCCCCACGCTGTGTGCAGCCTAGGGACTTGGTGCCCTGTGTCCCAGTCACTCCAGCCATGGCTGAAAGGGGCCAACACAGAGCTCAGGACATGGCTTCAGAGGATGAAAGCCTCAAGCCTTGGCAGCTGCCACGTGGTGTTGAGCCTGCCAGTGCACAGAAGTCAAGAATTGGGGTTTGGGAACCTCTGCTTAGATTTGAGAGGATGTAGGGAAATACCTGGATGTCCAGGCAAAAGTTTGCTGCAGGGGTGGGGCTCTCATGGAGAACCTCTCCTAGGGCAGTGCAGAAGGGAAATATGGGATTGGAGTCCCCACACAGAGTCCCTACTGGGGCATCACCTAGTGGAGCTGTGAGAAGAGGGTCACCATCCTCCAGACTCCAGAATGGTAGATCCACTGACAGCTTGCACCATGGGGCCAGTAGCCCCTTTGTTTTAGCCAGTTTCTACCATTTGGAATGGCTGTATTTACCCAATGCCTGTACCTTCATTATATCTAGGAATTAACTAACTTGCTTTTGATTTTACAGGCTCATAGGCGGAAGAGACTTGCCTTGTCTCAGATAAGACTTGGGACTATGGACTTTGAGTTAATGCTGAAATGAGTTAAGACTTTGGGGGACTGTTGGAAAGGCATGATTGATTTTGAAATGTGAGAATATGAGATTTGGCAGGGGGCAGGAGCAGAATGATATGCTTTCATTCTGTGTCCCCACCCAAATCTCATCTTGAATTGTACTCCCATAATTCCCACATATTGTGGGAGGGACTCGGTGGGAGATAATTGAATCATGGGGGCAGTTTCTCCCATACTGTTCTCATGGTAGTGAATAAGTGTCACGAGATCTGATGTTTGATAAAGGGAAACCTGTTCCACTTGACTCTTATTCTCTCTCTTGCCTGCTGCGATGTGAGACGTGACTCTTGCCTTCCACCATGATTTTGAGGTCTCCCTAGCCACGTGGAACTGTGAGTCCATTAAATCTCTTTTTCTTTGTAAATTATGCAGTCTTGAGTATGTCTTTATCAGCAGCATGAAAATACAGCCCCACATGATCTGGCCCCCGACAACCTCTTAATTCATCTCTTAATACCTGCCCTCTTGCTCATTCTGCTGCAGCCACCCTGACCTCTATCCTGTTCCTCAAAGACTCCACTTAATGTTCCTACCCCAACGTCTTTCCACTTTCACTTCTCTCTACCTAGAGTGCTTTTTGGTCATATATTATACTACATGGCTTATTCTGTCATTTACTATAGAGCTCCCTGATCTAATGATACCTTCACGAACAGGACCTCCTGACCCCTTACATGAAATAGGAACACCACCTCCTCTCTAGAACTCACCGTTGCTTTTTCCCAGGATATCTTTTCCCCATAGCACATTACCCCTTTTCATCCCATAGCATGTGTCACCCACAAATACTGTGTGTGTGTGTTTATTGCATATTTCTTCCACTGTAATATTTTGTGTGAGAGCATGGACTTTACCTGTTTGGCTCACAGGTGCATTCCCACACCTAGAAGAGTGACTGGTAAGTAATCAGTGCATGACTGGATTAAAGATAGAGTAGATATACATACATTCTGCAAATATACTAGCCCTTTCTTTGGTGAACTTTGTTATTTTATTTTGTTTTTAATTAGTAATTTTTAGGTTTGTTCTTTGAGGGGAGTTTTTATAACAGTTTTTAGGTGGAGTGTTGCTCTCTTGCTTCCTAACAAGCAGATGTCAGCTGCAGGCAAACCTTGTGGAGACTCCTTTCTTAACTAAAATGTTTGCTTAAGAGAATATGCCGTCAAAGAGAGAAGCTGTACACCATCAGGGGATTTTTTAGTTTTTGAAATTAAATTGTTTGATCAGGTTCAAGGTGTTTTTAAAATTTTTTAATGTCCTCCTTCAATACGTCTTTATTGAACTTTTAGACACTAATATTTTAACAAATACAAAAGAGAAGGGCCTTGCCCATGAGACAATTATAGCCCAAATGAAAGAGAAACTATAGAATTCTATCATTTCTTTTTTTATTTTAATATTAATTTTTTTTTTTTTTGATACAGAGTTTCATTCTGTTGCCCAGGCTGGAGTGCAGTGGCGCAATCTTGGCTCGCTGCAACCTCCACCCGCCTTGTTCAAGCAATTCTCCCTGCCTCAGCCTCCCAAGTAGCTGGGGTTACAGGTGCCTGCCACCACGCCCGGCTAATTTTTGTATTTTTAGTAGAGGCGGGATTTCACCATGTTGGCCAGGCTGGTCTCAAACTCCTGACCACAGGTGATCCGCTCACCTCGGCCTCCGAAAATGCTGGAATTACAGGTGTGTGTCACTGCGCCTGGCCCTGTATCATTTCTTTATAAGGTGTAATGTGCGAATCCTTCACAGGCTGTAGTAAGAGCAAGTAGAGGGCACTTCACCTGGTTTTGGGGTTCCAAAAAGGCTTTGTGGAGAAAGGATTGCCTGAGCTGAATTTTGAAGAGTAAGAAGAGTTAAGCCAAGCAGAGAAGGGGGCAAATTGCAGAAGGAGCATGAGCAAAAGTGAGTTCCAAGGAGGTGTGAAACAGCACTGCATTGTCAGGTTATTACCAACATTTTGAAATGCTTAAAGCATGAAGTACATGGTGAGAAATGGCTGGAGATGAGAAGAAAAGGAGAGGCGGGGGCTGAGGCATGGAGAATGCTGTATTTAGGAGCTTGGGTTTAATCCTTAAGGTAGTGTCCTTGCAGGGCTTTTAAGCGAACATCAGAGTCAGAAGGTGTATTATAGGTACTGTCAACTTTTCAGTGGCTTTGAAACTTCAGCCACATAACTTGTTCTTCAAACAAGATCTTACATTTTAGCTTAATATTAAAATCAGATCAAAGCAGAACTGCCCAGTTGAGGTTGGGGTGGAAAACACAGAACTTCCAAGCTTGGTATCTTCCTTATTCTTCCCTAGCCCCTCTTGTCAGCTCCTAGGACAACTCTGGGAAACTTCCAGGGCCCTTCTTAGCACACTGTTAAAAATCAACCCTTTCAATTTTTATATTAGAAAACTGTGGCTGGGGCCAGGCATGGTGGTGGCTCACATCTGTAATCCCAGCACTTTGGGAGGCTGAAGCAGGTGAATCACCTGAGGTCGGGAGTTGAAGACCAGCCTGACCAACATGGTGAAACCCTGTTTCTACTAAAAATACAAAAATTAGCTGGGCGTGATGGCAGACACCTGTAATCCTAGCTACTCAGGAAGCTGAGGCGGGAGAATCGCTTGAATCCAGGAGGCGGAGGTTGTAGTGAGACAAGATTGTGCCACTGTACTCCATCCTGAGCGACAGAGTGAGACTCCTTCTCAAAAAAAAACAAAAAGAAAAGAAAAGAAAACTGTGGCTGAGCATCATGGCCCATGCCTTTAATCCCTTTGGGAAGCTGAGGTGAGAGGATCACTTGAGCCCAGGAGTTTGAGATTAGCCTGGGCAACATAGGAAGACCCCATCTCTACAAAAATAAAACAACTAGCCAGGTGTGGTGGTGCTTGCCTGTAGTCCTAGCTACTCAGGAGGCTGAGGCAGGAGGATCACCAGGAAGTTGAGGCTGCAGTGAGCTGTGATCGTGCTACTACACTCCAGCCTGAATCACAGAGTGACACCCTGTATCCAAAAAATAAAAAAACAAAACAAAACAAAAGAAAGCTATGACTGAGAAAATGAGAAAATTAGAGTATCTCAGTGAATTAATAGCAGAACCCAGGACTCTTGATTCTCAATCTAGTTCTTTTCTGCAGTATAATGTACATCATTGGCAAAAGAAAACTTTTACTGTTTAATACAGAAATTCCTCACTCTTATGCAGGTGCAATAGGTGAGATTAAAAAAATATATATCACCCAAGTAGAATAAATGTTCTACATTGAGTATATCCTTATTAATCTTATTAATGCAGACTTTTTTTAAAAAGATTCTTTTAGAATTGGTTTCTAGTCCATATAGTTTCTTTGCTTTTTTATGTTAGTGGCTAGAATACCAAGTTACCATCCCTCAACTTGAATTTTTTAGGAATTAGATACAGGGAGTTTTTTGTTACAGCCTCTTGTTGTTAATGAAATCACTTGCCATTAAGTCCTAGTAGTGTCTGTTTACTGACCTTGCTTAAATAGTATGTCATGGCTGAATCCTGTTATAATGGCAAAAGCAGTTGAATAAGAGTCGGGAGACCTGGTTCTACTCCCAGTCCGGCCATTAACTGGTTGAATAACATTTGGAAAAGTCACTCAAGCTCAACTGTACAATGAGAAGGTTGAACTAAATTACTTCTAAGGCCCATTCGAGCTCCTACAGTCTGTGATTCTAATTATAGGGTATGTTGTGTTTTATCTGTGAGAGTGGTGATGTTATAGACTGCTGCAAGCTCTCATTTTTGGTGGTCTGAATGACTAAGGATAGCTGGGTACATGAAGCAGTTGATTGTGAATATCTCTGAAGAGACGCAAAAGTGGGCATTTACTCATCAGGGCAGAGGATATGTATTAATGAAATGAGTTCATTTATTTGCAACTATATTCACAGTCTGGGAATTTGAATGGCTTCACTGAAATTCTAGTAATAAATTCCCCACGACCTTATCAGTGGACAGTTCAGCCTTGGGACAGCCCACTTAGCAGATGTTTATTAAGAGTGTTTATGAAGAGCTGTGCTTATCTCAGTGGGAGTCATGGTATATAAACTCTTTTAGGACTCTCAGAATAATAGAAGTCCTTCATAGTCCATTTCTGAATTCCCCATTCTGTGTTTGATTCCCCAATCTCATTTTTCTGCAGAAGCCCTTCCTCAATGTGCTATTTAAAGTCCTTTAAATCAAGCCCTATTACTTTGAGAATAAGTGTGATATAACAAACAATGACATTATTATATTGTAAGGACAAGAAATGGGGTTAAGTTATAAAGCAGAACATTTTTATTTACACAGCAGTGTTTTAATAACCAGCAAAATTTTGGAAGAGAACTAGAAAAATAGTTAAAAGATAAATGGACTTATGTTTCAATGTTATGATTTTTCACATACACTAAAGTTCATTTTTACTTTTTTAAATCCTTGAATTTCGGACAGGACCCTAGGAGAGTTGTTGGTATCCTTTGGTCAACACATTTGTCAGGGTATTTTCTTTTTTCAATGTCCTTCTATGGTTCTATTAAGCAATAACCTCATTAGCACCACATTCTGAGTGGTATAGTATGATAGCTTTACTACAAAGGGGTTCTGTATTTCACTTGCCAGGATATAACACTCTTATGACAGGAGAGAAAAAGAAAACTTGCTATGAAGGGGAAGCTTAGACATTATTTACTCTAAATATTGGAGCTTTCCATTTGAAAGTTTACAGAGGCTGAAGAATTGTTGAATTTGGAGATTTTGAAATGAAAATCTCCAGCAAGCTCTAAAAATGTTTCCACCTTAAAAAACAAGTTCTGTTTCCTTCTGTGAGCATTTGCCTTACATAGCTTTGGATTAGTCTATAAGTTATTTTCATCACAAATACCTTTCACTAAGAGACACAGTATCACCCTCTTCTGGAGTGAAACAAATAAAACATTCTGGTTCAGGGCTAGGCAACTTGAGAACAGACTGTCAGTTGTGTTGAGTTAGATGGACTCTTTTTACCTCTTTATATCAAGTCTATTTTTTAGGTTACATCAAGTTAAAGTAATGCAAACTCTGAAAGGCCCAATCCAAATTAACCCTGGCAGTATTCCAGAAGTGCTGGGAACTGGCAAATTTAAATCATTTTCAATTCCAGATTCTTTTTTTCTTTTATCTTTGGCTTTTTGTCATCCTGGATGAGTTAGAACTATGGAAAAACCATCATTACTGATTTTACCTCTTTTGAGTCCCTTGACTTTGTCTACACAGGCAAAATGTATTATAGCAAATATATCCCAAAAATATCATTAAGTCCTAGACAGCCATAGGAACAAAGCTCTGTTGACACAGTTAAAAATAATTATGTGCATAAATACCTTCTCAGGTCCTTCTCCAGGTGCGTGTCACTCTAGCATGGCAATATGTAGGTGCATGCTACCCAGTTGTGGGTAGATTTAGAGATAAAGCACAGGGATAAAGATGAAATTGCCATTTATGTAGGTCAAACCCAATTGAATGCCAACAGTTTTATATGGTTCAACTTAGTAATTATTTTGATCTGTTATCAATTAGCAGTTACTCTTCACTTCACCTTTGCTCCGAGCATATAATCTGAATTCATCTAAATTGACAAGCCACTACCAAAACAAAGCAATGCAACAAAATACAGAAGGTTCTCTGTGTCTCAGCTTCTTCATCCGTAAAATGGAGGTGGTAATGGCACAAATGCACCTTCCTTGTAGGGTTGTGAAGATTAAATGTAAAAGGCCTAGAATAGCACTTGACATGTAACAAGCACTCAGTAAATTTAGTCATTAGTAACATTGTCATCATTATCAGCATGTTACTAATTTGTTTGTTCAATGAATATTTATTGGCTTCTGACTATTTGGCAAGCTGCCTGGTACTGGGGCCACATTTCTGAATAGGCTATATTCCCTACCCTCAAGGTTCAATTATAATGTAGTGTAGTGTAGTAGTAATGTAGTATAAGTGCTACTGTAGGGCTAGCAGGTGCTGTGGACTTAGTGCACTTGGGCGAGGCCTGATTTTGTCTTAATGATCAGGGAAGGCTTCCTGCAGGGAATGTCAGCTAAGCTGAAATCTAAAGGACTAATAACGTTAGCCAAGAAAAAGTAACCAGGAAGAACAGACTCATCAGCATGAATATAAAGTATAGAGGCTGGAGGGAGAGAGAGCATTATGTGTTCTGAGAACAAGTCTTTACTTCCCTCCTGTTTTGCACTTATTACCCCATATATCAACAGGTTTCATCTGTTGACACCATGGCAAAAATGTATATGATTTTTACCAATGTGATCAAGAGCTTATTGCTAGTTGCCTATTTGAATAGTTCGAGAGTTGCTTACCAAAGGATTCCAGCTGTAATGTTTTTGTCCTGTACAGAAGTGGCTATTCTCTAAAGGTATTTTTATGTAATCCTAGGTAAGAAAAATCGACTAAAAAGTAAAAACTGGGCCTCCAGAATAGAAAAGAACTTTTAAAGAAAATCTGTTAATAATGCTACATAATAATAGCAATAGTAAAATCATTGTAGAAGAGCTGGATTACTTATTTATCTGAATAACCAAAGAGTGCATTTTTCAAAAACAAAGCCAGTTAACATTGAGCTAAACATAGACATTAAAAATCAATCCAATTGATATGGATTTTTTTTAATAGAGCAAAGTAAACCAGTTAAAGCAAACGATTGTAGCAGTCAGATCTCTCCCAATGAGACTGCTCTCCCCAGTAGAACATCCCTTTCTTTCACAAACCCATACGAGCTTAAGAGAATGTGTTTCTCTTCCGCTTTTGTCCTTTTACTAAGATAAAACTTATGTGTCCATTATGGCGCTTTGTGTTTTATAAGGGTATTATAAGTGATGCTTTATTTATTTTGTATTTTCAGAACATCTGGATAAAAAGATTAAAAAGGTAAACAATGTGGAAGAAGCAAAATGCAGACAGTAACAATAAAAAAGAAAATTTACCAATTAATATACTATTGAAAATCTGAATTTTTAATAAAGGGATTATTTCTTTGAGTCTCAAAAGACTGCTTACTGTTGAGCCTATGTTTTGGGTTAGTTTATGATATAGAAAATTGATTGAATTGAAATGTATATCTTTCCCCCATATAATAACATACCTAATTCTATACTCGTGAATACCGAAGTCCCCATGATTTATTACAGATTTTATTCTCATTTATGAGTTCCATGTCAAACTGTTAAATCAACGGAATCATTACCTTTGCCTTAAATTAGCATAGCACATCATTAGGGAAAGCAATGCTATACATTTAATTGCTGTTTTTAAAAGTTATGTCATGTTGCCGTGCCCTACGTTTGTGTTCATGTGTTACCATGTTTAATTTATAAGGCGTTTGTTTAATTTACAACAAGCTTCTGGGCTGCTTCCTGTTGTTCACTAGCTCCCTCAAAGCCCAACTATTTGGTAATAGCTGTGGCTATTGCTATGTGAGTATTTGAAATATAGTGAAACTGAAATGATATAGGATAAGAGGGCAAATGTTAGAGAATTGGAAAAATAGAAAAAACCAGTGCAGCATGAAATGTCAAACCACATTTTAGGGCACTTTTACTGTATTTCCATAAATGCATGAGGGAATTATGTTGCAAATACTTGAAACTGTTTATTTTCATTTTTGGCCTGATTTTCTAGCATTGAAGAAACCATGTCTAATGATCTTGAGTATTCCTAAAGAAAAAGAAATTATATTTTACATAATGGTTTACATGTGTGAGTTCCCTCTGGCAGAAGCACTATAATTAGTGTGTCGTCTCTGAGGGAAGAGACTAGCTGTCTTAAAGATGCAGTGGCCACATTTGACTGCAGGAGCTGAGTGCAGAACATTATGATTTTGTTGAAAGATAAACACCATCCCTTTTCACTTATTCATTCACTCTCCTTCCTGCTTCTTTGGCAAGGGAAGCAAAGGACAACTGAGTACAAGCGGTTTTCTTCCTTTCTTATTCAGCAAACCATGGAGAAATATCTTGGCTTCTTGACATTAATAAGTGCTTCAACTATATTTGGAACCATTTGGGCAGCTTTTCAAAAATGAAAAAGGTACAATAAAAGAGGACCGAACTTCCTGTTTTACTCATAAAGTAGCAGATTCAGCAAAGGCTTACTCTCCTCTGGGAACAGTCATATTCTTCCCTGGAGACTGGAGATTGTAGAATATTATTTCCTTGCACAGCTTTCATTGAAACTATTAAAAGACAGCTTGAGGAGGCATAATGGCAGACAGTATGAAGCTTTTCAGTATTGTTACTAAACGAGAATAATGGTAGTGTAAATGCTTGACTGCCTCTGAAGTAGTCAAAAGTGTCTCTGATTGTCAGGGTGGTGGGGTGGGACCTAAAGGCTGTCCTAGAACCGAAACAGAAAAAGAATGTGAGCGCATATATAATGGTTTTGTGTAAGATGTATGGATGTATCTGTTGTCTATCTGCATTATCGTCTACACACCATCTTTGTGTAGTCTTTGCTGTATATTAATTCTTGATTCCCTGCAATATTTGAAGAAACTGGAATTGACCAAGAATCAAATACGGCACATTTCAGACCAGTACCTATGGCTGCACAGAAGTAGTGAAAAGATATGAAGAAACCATTCTATGAATAAAGATGACAGTTTCATTAGGAGAGCAAATAAGAAAAACTGTGCCTTCTGATTCTGTTTTGCATTAGTTTGTATTCGTTTCTGAGCACACTAGAGCCAGGATGTCTGCTACCCCTTATCTGTTACAGTGTGGGCCATAAAGCTGGGGAGATGAAAAACTGCTGCTTCAGTAGAAGCATCTGCCAGTCAAAACTGGCCAGCCCAAGAGATGGGACTCAAGCCCGTCAGCACCTCCCTGATCCACAGCAAAGCAGTTTGGGAGAAGAGGGGCAAAGTTAAGTGTGTGGTATTATATGACCCTCTCTAGAAAGTGCAAGATGTTTGTGTGCAATTCCATGTGATAGAAAAAGCTTTGAGATCAGAAAACATGAGTTTCTTAATATAATCTGACTGTTCTTTGATAACCCAAGAATTGCAAGTTGCACAACTGAGTGGTGAAAAATGAACTCTATGATTGTTTTCATTCTAAGGTGAAAACATCAAGGACACATTTTGTGCTTCCTCTTTGTGCTTATCTTTTAGATAAGGAAATTCTATGTTTTATCTCTGGAGGTTTCTTGAACTTAAGTAATATAATGAATCCTGTCACATAAGATAGTCCTTCAGGTATTTGAAGATAGCTGTCATCTTTCCAGATTCTGTAAGAAAGTCTTTAGTTTAAAAGAATTATCCAGATGGAAATAAATTTCTTCTTATCTTTCATATGAATAATATTTTAAAATCACATTTTAGATACATTTAAATGCTGGCATTTTTACTTTAATGTGTTTGTGGTCATAAGCAGAGATGGTTCATAAGGGCGTACTCACTGAGTGCAGAAGCTGAATGGAGCTGGATCTGCAAGAAGCGTAAAGAAAAGAGAGGAGAATTCTGGCTGCAAGGGATTGAGGGCATATAGAATGGGAAAAAGGAGAAGGAACCTCAGCAGAGAGAAGCTGTTCAGTAACATTGATGCCACTAAGCTCTCCCGCTCCAGAACCAAGTTCAACAGAAGAGCAGAATGACTCCTAGTATCTACTGTTCAGTATTAGTTTATACTGATTGACAGCTTCTTTTCAAAATAGGTGGTAAAGGATCACTCAGGCTGCTATGAAGAGAGTGTCCTACAGACCAGAAGAGAAGCAAGGAGACCAGTTAGGGTGTTATTAAAAGAGTCCATAGAAGGATGATGGTACAGTGCATTTTGTTTTGGGAAAGCTGATTTCAGCCTATTTTTTTCTTGCCTGTTAACAAGACAAAAAAAATCATTCCTGCATTCATTTTTATTCCCCTGTTTGGGGGAATAAATTTTATAATTTGTTCTATGTGCATTTTCAGGCCCCAAGCATGGATTAACTTTTCATCTGTTTAAATGACTGAATGTCATGGCAGTGATATTTGTGTCTTGTTTATTCTTCTGTCTCCAGTGCAGACTCCAAGAGCTCTCTGCGTATATTTATTATAAGTGAAGGGGTTCAAAATATACCACTTTGACTTTTTTTTTTTTTTAGCTAAAGGCAATTGAGAACCAGCTGATGCAGGAAAAGCTCTTTACCTCCCCCTCAACTATCTAGAATAAAGTATAAATTTACTTTTGTAAATGAAATTTCCACTAGTAAAGTATTTTTATCAGGAAGAGAACTACTCTCAGTAGTTCTTATCACTCTTACCAGCATAATAAAGCAAACTTTATTTGCTACACATTTTTCCCCTCACCTTCCCATAATTTGCCTCCCACTCCCCCCACCAGAAGCCCCTAAACCACTACTCCTGTTTATAGCTCAGGTATGTAAGTCTCAATTATCTGCCCATCTCCTTGAGCCTCATTTTTGTAAAACACTCATGCATATGTATGTAATTAAGTTTTTTTCTCCTGTTAATCTGTCTTACACTGATTTAATTCTTAGACCAGAGAACCTGGAAAGAGTAAAAGGAAGCATTGTTTCCTCCTGTACACATGTACTTATTTAATTTTTATTTTTTTATTTTTGATAGAGTTGGTTTCCCACTATGTTGCCCAGACTGGTCTGGAACTTCTGGGCTCAAGCAATCCTTCTGCATTGACCTCCCAAAGTGCTAGGATTATAGGCATAAGCCACCTCATGCACCACTTGCATTTATTGAATGCATGTTTCCTATGATGATTTTAGAGCTTCTCGAGGTTATCAGTGATTCAAAGGCCAGTACAACGTAGAAGTTGAGAACATGGGTTGTGGAGCAACTGCCTAGGTTCACATCATGACTCTCCACTTAGCAACTGTGTGACTTTGGGCAAGTTATATAACCTTACTGAAAGCACCTGTCTAATAGCATTGTTATAAGGACTAAATAAGTTAATACATGTTAAATGCTTAGAATAGTCCCAAGCACAGAGTAAACACAGTATGTTAGACTTTGTTATTATAATTAAAAAACAAAAGCTTATTTCTCTTTAATCTCTAGAGAGCAAGGCAGTCGTTAGGTAACATACTTTCTACAGCCACTAGGACATTATTTAAAAATGTTAAAGATATAGATGTAAAACTCTGTTTAGAATTGTTTTGAACCAGGTGGTAGACTGGAACCTCCTGCAAGACAAAGTGCAAAACAAATTGCTGCATAGTTAGCTAATACTGTACGTACACCTTTTCTCTGCACTTGCCCTAAGGTCAGCTCACAGAACAGCGACAACTATGGAAGAAGTAGCATTTTTTATACAAATTACTTGTTTTGTGGGAGAGCAAGACCTTTTGTATGCTGATAGGAGTTTTTGTTTAATAAAACACTTAAAGGTTAAAAATATAGAGAATTTACCATAGCTGTTCTTCTATGAAAATAGTATGTTCTCCAAATTAGAAGAATGAGTAAATAGCATAAATTTTTAAGATGTTTTCATTTTCTTCTAATGTTCATGAATACTATTTCTCTTGTGGGAGGTTGGGAAGAGGGTAAGGAAAGTAACAGAAAGCTTGGGAGAAGAGGTTGTTCCTTCTCCACTTAATTTTTCAAAGGATGAAGTCCTTCAATAGCCTTAGAACCAGAAGAGGTTAAGTAAAAATGTAAAAATAGAGCCCTGCTGAAACTTGACCTCCAAAGCCTTTTTTGATGTAGGTGCCATATTATATGTTCACAGCTCTATAATATGGCTTTCAGTGTAGTAAATGAAGCTGAGCAAGGTCTGAGCATGCCTCAGCCAAGCATAATGCAAAATTAGGGAAAAAATAGTAGAGTGGAATTAGTTGAAAGGTAAAGAAAGCAAACTGGAAAAGGTGACTAGTGCCACCTATAATTACTTTTCCTCAGGTGCCCATTTGCCTAATTCTGGCTTAAATACTTTAAATAATTGATTCTCAGCCTCTTCCCTCCTCACTAGAATACAGTGAAAATTAAAAGCAAAAGTTTTTGAGTTTCCCCAAGGCTGGAAAATAGAAGATATGGTATTATTACCACGAATTGGTCCTCTAATGTGTGAGGATGATGGATTTTCCATTTCATTTGGCACCCAAATTTGTAGGAAACGCCAATGGGGCCCCTCTTATTTAAATAAGGAGTCAATCTTTGTCTCTTTGGCAGACTAAGTTCCTGGAAAAGGCCTGACAAGTCAAAATGATGTAAGTCAGTTTTCGATTTTCCCATAGAAACAGTGTTCAGTAGGAGTTTATAATCTTGATCAGGGGCTCAATGAGCAGCTTTTTATAGAAATCACTCCAGACACCAGATTTCATCAACTGAATCAATTTTAAAAGGCACTCTAGTATTTCATAACCTAGATATTTATGTATTTTTAATAAGTTCATAGCCATATGGAATCCTTTTTAAAAATTATCCTATCACATTTTTGTTTTAAGGAACTAGAAGGCAACAATATGTCTCCATTGGTATGGAAATTCAAAAGGCTAACCGGGGATCATTTTGACAAGTTTCTCCAAGGAGACCTAGGATAACTCAATGATGGCTCTTCAATAAAGAAATCACACTTTTTCTCATCACTAGTTCCACTATATCTAGCACAAGTCTTAGAGACTGAGTATTTTGGTAGATCAATCTGAAGTTGGATTTATTTCCTTCTAATTGCCTAATAAGTCTGTCTGTTCTGCCAACCATAATTGTGGTGAATATGAACACAAGCGTGAGTCACATCAGTGTCTCTCCAAGACTGCCTGTTTACCAATGAAGGAGAATTTCTTACATCCCCACTTTCTGCTCATCCTAGCCAGTTTAGAAAACTCTTTTTATTCCTTAGATATTGGTGTTATTTTATTCTGCTCTTGTATTTAAGTACATCTTTATATGTAAATATTTCAAAAAATATAAAGGGCCATGGAAAGGTATTCAAATTTATTGAAACCATTCCTATGAGGAGGGCTAAAGGCTGATCCCTTCCTGTGGTCTCTACACATAGAAAAATCCCCAAGTCCTTGATGCTTATTTCCAGAATTCCATCACATGAATTAAATTCAGTGTCCATCACGTACACCATCTGTCAGAGGTCACAGCCATGTCATTAGACCTTGAGCTCCCAAAAAAGAGAGAACTTGGTCTATGGGTGGGTTCCTACTAGCAAATCTTGAACAAACCAGAAGCTTTATCAGAAACCGCTAGATAAACCAGTAGCTTATTATGAATGCTAATATGACTATAACTGAGAAAACTGAAAGCTATAAATGGTGGCTTCATAGCATCTATATATGTTTGTACATACAAGGTACATTTATAGATAGATAGATAGATAGATAGATAGATAGATAGATAGATAGATAGATGTATATAAAACCAAAAGCAAAATAAGCCCAGCTTCCCTGGATTCTGACTGACAATGAACAAAATAATTGAAAAAAGAAAGTTCAGTATTTCAGTCATAAACTTCCAAGACTCCTTTCTATTTGAGAATGTTTTTGTCTTGCTAACCACAGAGAACAGTTGGAGTGAGTGGATCATTTTATTTTGATTGCTTCTCCTGCACTGGCCCTGAGGGACAGACTTGATGATCTAATAAGTCTTTTCCATCTCTAATATCTATAATTTTGGCTATTCTGTGGCAGCTTCTTATTGCTTTAAATAAGCCATCTTAATTCAAAAAACATACATCTGGATTTGACCTGCCTAATATATGTCAAGAAGAGTGTGTCCCTTTAAAGCCCCACCAGGGAATTTCTGAGAGACTAAAGAAACTGAAAGGAAGCAGGAAAAAAAAGGTTAGGGGGAAGTGGAGGGGAACTGTGATTCAAACAATTTTCTGTTTATTTTATTTAAGTTTTTATTTTTCAATAAGGAGATTGTCCCTTAGGCCTCCTTAAATCATTTATTGGTTAAAATTTAATCTGATCATTAGTGCATTCTTACATTAGTAGCATTTTAAAATTGTTGATTCTTTTTCTTGGAAGTTATTCTACCATTAACTAGCATTTTGTTTCACAGATTTTAGTCATCATCTCTGACCAGTTCTTGGCCTCATATCCACTCTGCAACTCCTCAGACTTGAATGTCTGAAGAGGAAGTGGTATCTATGCATTGCTCCAAATGTCAGCCAGTGGTGGTCCTCAGGCCAGGTGTCCTGGGGGCATTATTACAAATACATAGTAACTGTCTTCTCCCCAGCTAAATACATTGCCAACAGTATGAATTCGCTTTTATAAATGTATAAATATATTGCCTCTACAGTTGTACTCAGGCCATACATCTGGTTGATCTGCTGGAATAGCTATCCTTTATTTTTCCTGCCCAGTGATTTTAATTCAATGTGTAGGTCTTGTAAGCTGTTTTTGGTTAATATTTTCTCCTGCACATATTTAGTTATTTCCTGAGATTATTGTTCCAGACAGAAGAATAGAGGACTATGTCTGTGTCTCTTTTTGTCCATCAGTCTGTCCTTGTCTTCCTGCAAGACTAATTCAGCCTAAATGCTTAGTTACTTTTTCTGACCCTTTCTCCAGATCCTCATGATTATAGGCAGATCAAACTAGAATAAAAATTAGTATTCATGGCCGGGCGCGGTGGCTCACGCCTGTAATCCCAGCACTTTGGGAGGCCGAGGCGGGCGGATCACGAGGTCAGGAGATCGAGACCATCCCGGCTAAAATGGTGAAACCCCGTCTCTACTAAAAAATACAAAAAATTAGCCGGGCGTAGTGGCGGGCGCCTGTAGTCCCAGCTACTTGGGAGGCTGAGGCAGGAGAATGGCGTGAACCCGGGAGGCGGAGCTTGCAGTGAGCCGAGATCCCGCCACTGCACTCCAGCCTGGGCGACAGAGCGAGACTCCGTCTCAAAAAAAAAAAAAAAAAAAAAAAAGTATTCATTTGTAGTGCTTATATCTACAGCTATGCCCTATAGAAAAGTCATATACATGGCAAGAAACAAGTGGAAGTTTGTAAATTTATTCAACAAATATTTGTTGGCCATATGTTATATTCTAGGCACTTCATGAAATTACGTTAAACTGCTCCCATGTATGGTACCCAGTGCTTCAGCTATGACTTAGCCTATAATGTCACATTGGAGTTGAAATTAAAGTTATAAGGTAGTGTTTTTATCAGTTGTTTATTTAGACTAAAATGCCTTTAAAAAGAAAGTCGTCTCTTATTCACTTCTGATTTCCTTCAAAGGAAGGTTGGGGGGAATGAAGTAGTAGGAAGTGTAGTAGGTTAAATGTTAGATGTCATTGTTTCGAGTCCTGAGTCTGTCATTGAACCACGAAATTTAGAAAAATCATTTAACCTTTTTGAGCCACAGTTTCTCATCTAAAATGGGCATAGTAATCCCCCCTGCTTTCCAGAATTACAGTTAGGTTCACATGAGAGAATGCTTGTAGAAGTACCTTGCCTATCTCTATAATATCTATTGGTCTGTAATAGAAAAGACTCTCTTATAATTGTAAGTCAGCTCACAGGAAAACCTTCATTAGAAAAGGACAGTTGCAGAGATCCACACAACAAATGTACACAGACTATTACTCTAATACTGTTCTTATCACAAGAATAAAGACAACAGAGATTTAAAACTAGGAATGAACCTGACAAATAAGGTTTTGATTTTTCTCCCTAGCCTAGTGGTTCTCTGCCCTGGCTGAACTTTGGAATTGATGCCTGGGGCCTGTCACCAGAAATTAATTGGTGCCAGTGGGTCTCAGGATATTTAAAAGTTCCCCAAGTGGCTCTAATGTACAACCAGCCAGTGTTGAGAAAAGTCACCGTGCTAGAGAAATCAATAAAAGACCTCCAGAAGTCTAGTTATGAAGACACAGGCTGGGTACAGTGGCTCACTCCTGTAATCCTAGCACTTTGGGAGGCTGAGACAGGTGGATCACTTGAGGATAGGAGTTCGAGACCAGCCTGGCCAACATGGTGAAACCCCGTCTCTACTAAAAATACAAAAAAAAATTAGCTGAGTGTGGTGGCACACACCTGTAATTCCAGCTACTCAGGAGGCTGAGGCAGGAGAATCACTTGAACCACAAGACAGAGGTTGCAGTGAGTCAAGATCATGCCACTGCACTCCAGCCTGGATAACAGAGCCAGACTCCATCTCAAAAAAAAAAAAAAAAAAAAAAAAAAGACACAGAGATAACTGTCAACACTAGAAGAAAATATTTCTGTAATGAATGGTAAAGAAAATTAGTGGAATCCATACATCTCCAACAATAGTCTATAGTAGCTTAGGTTGACATCTCACCAGTGACAAGAGCAGGAGAAGAAAAGACAGAGCATTTAAAAAATCTTCCCATAGGCTGGGTGTGGTGGCTCACGCCTGTAATCCCAGCACTTTGGGAGGCCAAGGCAGGTGGATCACCCGAGGTCAGGAGTTCGAGACCAGCCTGGCCAACATAGCGAAACCCCATCTCTACTAAAAATACAAAAATTAGCTGGGCATGGTGGCACATGCCTGTAGTCCCAGCTACTCAGAAGGCTGAGGCAGGAGAATCACTTGAACCCGGGAGGCGGAGGTTGTAGTGAGCCAAGATTGTGCCACTGCACTCCAGCCTGGGTGACAGAGCAAGACTCTGTCTCAAAAAAAAAAAAAAAATCTTCCCATAACTGTTTAAGTTTCCATTTAAAAATTAGTATTCAACCAGTAATATGATAGCTATAGAATGAGTCAAGTGGCGATAGGTATACGTAAACACAAGTGTAAGTGCTGTTTTCACAATTCTTGTTCCCTGTAGTAAATATTTAAGTAACAGCTAATCTGTGTTGTTATAACCAATCATGGCTGATTCCATGAAATGTGTAGACACTTTGATTGTGACCAGACTTGTAGTCTCAGGTCATTTCTATGCCTAACAAAATAACTGTATCAGCAATTGGAAAAGTATATAGTAGCTAGCACAGTCCCAAACTAAAATACAAGAAAAAAAATATTAGTCTTTCATTGTGATGCTAAGGGTCCAGTTCTCAGAGCATTGTCCTGATTTGTGCCCAAGGATTCAATCTCATCCTTAATATCAATTACTGAAAACAGAAAAATCACATTTATGTGTTTTCCAGTTTAAACACAGAAAAAGCCAAGAAAGTCAAACGGTAAGCCTTAAAAACTCCATCCCTGATGTGGAAATTGTTTTAGTCTTCAAAAAACTTTTCAACTGGGGCTGGGTACAGTGCCTCACGCCTGTAATCCCAGCACTTTGGGAGGCTAAGGCGGAGAGATCACCTGAGGTCAAGAGTTTGAGACCAGCCTGTCCAGCAGAGAAACCCCGTCTCTACCAAAAATACAAAAATGAGCCAGATGTGGTGGCAGATGCCTGTAATCCCAGCTACTCAGAAAGCTGAGGCAGGAGAATTGCTTGAACCCAGGAGGCGGAGGTTGCAGTGAGCCAGTATTGCGCCACTGCACTCCAGCCTGAGCGACAGAGGGAGACTCTGTCTCAAAAAGAAAAAAAAAAAAATTCAATTGGGAAAGACAAAAATGTTCAGAAAGCTCAGCCCTCCCCTGTTCTCTCCAAAGACCCTTCTCAGTTTCCTGCAATATAGACATCTATCCTGGTCTTACCTCCTTTTTCCCACTCCTTCCCTTCTAAAACCTCCCTTGTTTCTTCTGTAGTCTGGTGCACATGCTTTATTGAAGGGCTCTGAGGTTCCTCCCTTCAACTGTAAGGTTGTCTGGTGTCTGAACTACCTTTGAGCCTCTTGTCACTATCTGTGTGGTTAGCTTGTTGAAATATGCGTAAGTGTAACTCTTGAAGAGATTAGTAAATCGAACTGTTGGTATCCTTAACTAGCCTTTTGCATTAAGTTGAGGAAAAGTTCATGATTGACAAGCCTAAAGTTACAGAGCAGAGTGAGTGCAAAGTTGGAAGGCAAAGTGATGAAAAGGACAAAGGATCAGGGATGGTACTGAAATGGGAAAAATTCCCTTCTCCCCCTCACAGGGCATGCAGTGGGGGTGTGGCTCGCTTGTTCAGTGCCCCACTGCCCATACCTCTAGGGGAGCATAAAGACGGGCAGGCTGTGGGCTCTGACCCCATGGCAGTGTCTAGGGGTGAACGTTTACAGCTGAAGCCCCAGTGGGCGTGTGTTACAGGGTGCTCTTTTAGTTTAGCCGTCCATAGGCAGCTTGTGTTAGTCAGCTCAATTAGACCCCTGCCTTATCGCAAGGACAGAGGGCTTTCTGTATCCCAGGGTTCTTGCCTTGGTGTACCGGAAAAATCAGATCACACATGGGCTTGGAGAATGAGCACAAGGTTTTATTGAGTGGAAGTAGCTCTCAGCAGATAGGGGAGCCAGAAGGGAGATATTTTCCCCTGGTGTCGGGTTGCTCAGTGGCCTGGGCTCATGCCAGCGAGCTCCCCTCAACGTCCTCTTGACATCCAGCCTCTTGTGTCTTCTTCTGCCAGTGTGTTCCTCTTGATGTCCAGCCGCTTGTGTGTGTGCCCACTAGGGTCTCAGGTTTTTATAGGCACAGGATCGGGGCGTGGTGGACCAGGGTGGTCTTGGGAAATGCAACATTTGGGCAGAAGTGCCTGTCCTCACCTAGGTCTGTGGGTACAGGCCCTAGGGTGGAGCCCTCACCAGGGACCCACCCTTCTCTTCCCAGCACTTCTTTGCCCCTCTTCCATACCAGTACCAAAACAGTTTTTGAAAGCCTGCTACTTCATATACCTTTATCAAGGAGCAGTTCTTCAGAATTAGAATTCAAGCCCTCCATAGAGAAATGCCATTTCAGAGCTGTCTAGTGATTGGTATATCACTTCACAATGATAGCTTATGAATGGATGGCTTAGATGTACTCCTGTGAGTCCCAGGAGACCCTGTTTTATGCCTCACGTATCTGTTTTTCTCCCACTCAGTTTCTACCCCAGTGTCTGGTACTAGTAAGCATTCAATAAATGTTTGCCAAAATGAATGGAATTTATTGTATAATTATATACACAGTTTACCTTGGTCTTAAGGAACTCTAGTCATATAATTTTTCTATTCAACTGGGACTTTCTAATGAACATGTAGTGTGCTGCCATGTAGAAAACTAACAACTTGGAAACTTACTAAGTGCTGTGTTTCATTTCTAGTACTGTTCAAGTCCAAACAAGTACATCCTGCCTGTGATGTACAAATCCTGACCATCTCCAACAAAAGCATTATTGTGGGGGGGGTTTTGTTGTTTTATTTTACTGAGTTATAATTTGCATACAATAAAATTCATTCTTTTAAAATATATAGTTTGATGATTTTGACAAATGTATATAGCCATAAAACCACCATCACAATTAAAATATTAGAGCATTTCCATTGCTGCAAAAAAGATGTCCTGACATCTCATTATAGTCAGTCCTCTACCCCTACCATCCATAGCTCTGTCAATCACTGATGTGTTTTCTGACCCTATAATTTTCCCATTTGTAATATGTCATACAAATGCAAATTGTATATATGTACCCCTTTGAGTCTGACTTCTTTTCATTTAGCATAATGCATTTGAAGTTCATCTGTGTTATTGCATATATCAATAATACATTCCTTTTTTATTGCTGAAGAGTGTTCCCTTCTATGGGTGTACCGCATTTGGTTTCTTTGTAGTGGACATTTGGGATATTTCCAGTTTTGAGCAATTAGGAATAAAGTTTACATAAAAATATATAAATGTTCACCTATAAAACATGGACATGTTTTCATTTCTCTTGAGTTGGTAATTTTGACATAGTCTGATTTATCGATCTTTTTTTTACAGATAAGTATGTTAGCTAAGAAAGCTTTGCTTATAAGGGCACAAAAATTTTGTCCTATTTCTTCTAGAATTTTTATGGTTACTTGTGTTTGGGTCTGTGATTCATTTTCAGTTAATATTTGTACATGGTATGGGGTAAGAATCGAGGTTCACTTTTTTGCATATGGATGTCCAATTGTTCCAGCATCATATATTGAAGACTGTCCTTTCCCTATTGAGTTATCTTGGCACCTATGCTGAAAATAAATACTCCAAAAACGTGTAGGTCTATTTGGACTCTCTCATCTGTTTCACTGATCTGCATTTCTATCTGTGCCAATACCATACTGACTTGATTACTTTAGCTTTAAAATTAGGTAGTGTGCCTCCTCCCAACTTTGTTCTTTTTCTGTGCATGTGTGTGTGTGTGTGTGTGTGTGTGTGTGTGCGTGTGTGTGTGTGTGTGTGTGTTTGGCTGTTCAAGGTCCTTTGAGTTTTTATTTGGAATCAGTTTATCACTTTCTACAGAAAAGCCTGGTAGGATTTAGAAAAGAATTACACCGACTCTATAGATAAGTCTATGGAAAAATATCTTTACAATATTGTCTTCTGATCCCTTAACACAGTATCTCTCTCCACTTATATATTAATATTTAAAATTTTTCCTCTGTAGTGTTTTGTAGTTTTCATTGTACAGGTCTTACACATATTTTAAGAGTCCCCTAATTAATATTATGTTTTTATGCCATTTTAATTTCTTAATTTTTTCTTCTTGTTCACTGCTAGATATAGAAATAAAGTTTATTTTTTTCTGGTGTTGATTTTATAGCCTATAACCTTACTAAACTCTCTAGTTCCAGTAAGTTTTCTGTAGATTCTTTGGTATTTTCTATGTAAACAATTGTATTATTGTCTGTGAATACTGGCAGTTTATTTCAGCACTTCCAATCTGTATGCCTTTTGTTTTCTTTCCTTATTTCAGCTGGTATTAATGGTGAAATAGGTGCAGTGGGAGTAGATATCTTTGCTTTATCCCTGATCTTATGGAGAAATTGTTTTAGACTTTCACCACTAAGACTGATGTTAGCTGTGGGGTTTTTATGTATGTCTTTTATCAGATTGTACAGCACCATTGTTCTTGCCTGTCTATTTTTGTGTATGTATACACAACTCATTTTGAAATTTCTAATGCTTCTTCATGTATATCACTTAAAGCACCGATATAAAACAATTTATAATAATTTGCTGCTACCAAAAAGGTTTTTTGTCAGCACACTGAATTGCATGTGTCCTGAAACTAGGCTTTTATTTTTTTACTATTTCTAAAATTTCTAGAAATATTGGATATTTTTTATCCAGTCTCCCTTCAGTGGATGGACATTTGGGTAGCCACAATGTGCCCAGGTGATAATTCCCTTCCACGTAACAGTATGTTTCTTTTCAAAAGTCAGTAGACGTGGGTCTTTTTCATTGAGCAATGTCTTTTTGCTCCCACCGAAAACAAGTGACATCATTAACATTTATTATGATTCATTCTGATGTGAGCATGTATTCATAGTCACCACCATAATCTTGTGCTGATATATAGTAATGTAATAAATGGTCCCTTCTGTCTCACAGGAGACTGGATAAATAGGCCTGTCTGTAATCATGTTCCCCTTGTGTCAAAGCACAGACCATCAAACTGCTCTTATATCACTGGTATTTTAAAAAATAATCTTTCTTATCTTTATGTATCATGTAAGCATTTTTTTAAAAAAAAATAGGTATATGACAGCATGAAAAGCCTTTAAATGATTTATAGTTGGTAATGTCTTACTCTCTTTCCATTCATTTCTTTATATTGAAATAATCCCAAGACAATTGGACAGCACTGACTAGCCTCATGATCTCATGTCCTGACACTGATACCACTTACCTGTTTTTGTAGAGGAAACATTTATTTCTAAATAAATGTTAATAAACATTATTTATTAATGAATAATATTTATATTTCTAAATCCAATATGCATGTATACATATACATGATACACACAGACATCTAAGTAACTTCCTTCCTCTGCCCACCCCCAGCCCAAAGTGAGACTCCTGTGTAATAAGAACCATGACTGTTTAACTGATTCCTCAGAGCCTACCATGTGCATTTCACAGAGAATATACACAGAAAAAAATGTTGGAAAGACAAGTCATTCTCAATGTTCCCAGCATCCTATCAAAGCCTTCCTTTTAAACACAATTTCAGCACCCACACTCTGCTGTCCATTAATAGGCCATCTGCACTCTGGTGTCTGCATGGCTTCCTCCATTCAGGCCTCTAAATGTCACTTTATCAGAGAGGTAACACCTTCACCCCATCTCTCTCTGTCACCTCATCCTGCCTTATTTGTCTTTATAGCACTTACCACTGTCATTGTGTGTATATACACACACACATACAGAGACTATCTTATACCTCACTAGAAAGTAAGATTTAGTGGATTCACATGTATTCACGATACATCTCCAGCACTAAGAACTGTGCCTGACATGTCATAGGCACTTAATAAATACTTGTAAATGAGTGAATGAACAAATGAATAAGCAAAAGTAGGCCAGAGAGGCGTTTCCAAACCTGAGTTCCCCAAGAGCCTTATGCTTACAATGGGACATCTGCAGACCCAAAGATGCATTAAGCATTGTCTGTAGGGAGAATAACTGATTTTTCTTTATGTTTTTCAGTGGTATGTAGATACCATCGTGATTAATAAAATTTACTTAAATACATTATTGAAGGCTGTCAGTCATTACATATTAGATACCATTGTGATTAATAAAATTTATTTAAACACATTATTGAAGGCTTTCAATCATTACATATTTTGTTGGTCAGTGGCTACGAGAAGTACAGCACCTCCTATGTGGGTGTCTTTAAACACCTCCCAACACTTCCACATTGAGGACCAAGCCTTACCATTAGTTTTGGTGAGGCTTTAAAAAAATAGTTTTGGTGGGGAAAAACCATATTCACAGCATAGCACGGATTACCTAAACTTGAACAGTATTTAAATAAATTCTATTCACCAAATACCTATTGAGCATCTAAATGTCAGACATTACAGGAGATATAATAATGGCTAAAACAGGGTTTAAAAGGTGGAACTTATTAATTCATATAACAACTAATAATAATATCTGTTAGGACATTCTTGCTTGCTATAACAAAATACCTGAGACTAGGTAATTTATAAAGAAAAGAGGTTTTATTGGCTCATGGTTCTCCAGGCTGTACAGGAAGCATGGCAGCATCTGCTTCAGGAAGCTTCCAATAATGGCAGAAGGCAAAGGGGAAGCAGGCACATCACAGAGACAGACAGAGAGATAATACTTTCATGTACATTATCATAGCCAAACTCTCAAATTTCTCTTCTCCAAAGTTAGATGACAACATCATGTTTTAAGGTATTGCAACCTTATTTGACTTTTTCATTGGAAGTTTGACTCTTTAATATCACCATATAATTATGTTTACACAAAGAATTGGAAAGAAGGCATAGAGTCTCCATATGTTCATTTCAGCCTGGGTGGCTAAAGGGCTTCTAAGAGTCAGTGCATGAAAATGGCCTAGATTGAATAAATTAGCAAAATCACAAAAGGAAACCACTATAGGAAATAGTTTTACACATGTAATTGCTGAAATCCTATAGTGAATGTGTCAATCTGTACTAACTAAATAAATTTGTTTATAGACATGTTCTGTATTAGCTTCCACTCTTTCACAGACCTTTGCCAAACAAAATCCCACTAGAAGTAGGATGTTCACACCCGAGTAGGAGTTTCTTGGATAAATATTTTTACTATATGGAGACCAAAACCACTTTTACAAATTTTAGACTTTGATTGAAATACTATATTTCTTTTGCTTTTTTCTCCCATCTTTTCTTCTGGCAGCTACTTGTGCATTAGCTTACCTCCTCTCACCTCCCACGGGTCTGCTGAACAAGAGACTGGCTGCATGCACAGGAGGCCAGGCAGTCCCGAAAGTGGTGAGACCAGCTTACCCAGTCACTCCCACCACCAATTGGACTGGAGAGACAGAGGAAGGTCCATTTGCCCTTCTCCTAAAACCTAGTTGAAATTATTCCTTGAATTAAGCATAGAGATTATACATTGAGGCTATATTTTATAGAATGCCTGTTTACATTTCATTTGACTGCTACATGAATAGAATACATAAAGGTAGAATTTATGCAGCTGGTCCTCAAGAAATCGCAGTAAAAGTTATTGAAATATAACAGCCACATTCTTTTGTAAGGATGACTCTGATCTCAACTTTTGCCAACCAGTTTGGACAAGAATTTCAACTGACTTCTTAATTCAGTAGTCAAAAACTGGTGCTGGGCTGGGTGCGGTGGCTCACGCCTGTAATCCCAGCACTTTGGGAGGCCAAGGCGGGCGGATCACGAGGTCAGGAGATCGAGACCATCCTGGCTAACACGGTGAAACCCCATCTCTACTAAAAATACAAAAAGTAGCCGGGCGTGGTGGCGGGCACCTGTAGTCCCAGCTACTCGGGAGGCTGAGGCAGGAGAATGGCATGAACCCGGGAGGTGGAGCTTGCAGTGAGCCGAGATGGCGCCACTGCACTCCAGCCTGGGCGACAGAGAGAGACTCCGTCTCAAAAAAGAAAAAAAAAACTGGTGCTGAATTTTTCATAGGCCCTTTTGAGGATCCATTTTGTTAATTTGGCTGTTGAGTAATAAAATATTTTTAATAAGTATTTTTAATTATAATAACTTATGTTAAAAGTGAAACAAGGGGCCAGGCATGATGGGTAGCTAAGGCAAGAAGATCATTCAAGCCCAGGAGTTCAAGACCAGCCTGGGCAACAAAGTGAGACCCTCATCTCTAAAAAAAATTTTTTTAATTAGCTGAGCGTGGTGGTGCACACCTGCAGTCCCAGCTACTCAGGAGGCTGAGGTGGGAGAATTGCTTGAGTGTGGGAGATTGGGGCTTCATTGAGCCATGATCACACCACATCACTCTAGCCTGGGCGAGACCCAGTTTCAAAAAAAAATAATAATAATAGTGAAACAAACATTTATTTTTGATGCGCTTAAGCCTTTTCACTGTGTTTATGAGACAATGTAACCAGTAGGCAGTTGACTTGGACAATAGTGTGATAAGGGTGATCTGGGCCAGTGCAGGATCCTAGTTACCATGAGCCCAAAAGCTCACCTTTTAGAATTAATTAGAATAATACCCAATAAAATGAGTACTGTCACTACCACATAAATAATATATCTGACTTGGGATGGCTCCACAACTCGGATCTTGTCATTTAATATGATAGCTCTGTTCAAATTAATCTTTCACATCAGAGGAGACACTTTTGTTATTTATGATATGTTGGAGATAAATTTTCAGAATGGTTAAGGCATATTATTGTAAATGTCCATGGCAAATTTAACACAACTCTGTTTTAGAAATATAGATGTGTAATATGTACAAGGTAAAAGTATGTTCACAGTGTCTCAAGAACACCTAACTTTAAGGAAAGAGACACAAAGGCATGGAAGAGGCATGCCCCCCTATTGTCAGTCCACAGCAGTTCAGCTTGGAAATAAATGCCAACAGAGAGTACTCTAATTTAATATAAAGAGTTTATGCCAGGCCCTAAAGCAGTGATTCAAGAGAATCACTTGGTTGAATGCTTATGAGTATCTCGGACCTGAATTTGGATAAGCTCTTTAGTGGTAGGTAGTTTGGGTTGGTGTCTCAGACTTAGCATTTATTGACTAGCCTATAGATTGGCATTTGGAAACAAGATAAGTCAAGATCTCTCTCCTCTTGGCCTTACTTAAAACACTTTTTTGTCCCCTGAACCCATCCCCTTCCCGTCCCCAACTCAGATCTCAGCTGTGTGACTTCTTCAAGAAACCTCCTTGATGACCACCATCTCCCTCTACTGCCCTCTTACACAGCCCATTACACTCTATTCTCATTTTGTAACTTCCATCACTTTTGGCATTTCTCATTCAGTATGTGTCTTCCCCCTCAGCCTGTTCACCACAGAGGGCAGGAACCACATCTGTGATCCTGCTGTACCCACTGTACCTTGTACTCTGTGTTTTTTGAATGAATAAGTAAAATGACAGTAGGTTCATACAGACATACACCTTCTCTATCATTTCTCAGCCTTTTGGCTAAAATCAAGTGTAAAAATATATCTTCTCAGGTGGCTACCGAATGTAATTGATATTATTAACTACCATCTCCTGATTTTTGTCATAATTTTTTATTTATTGTCTTTAAAGAATTCTTAAAGACCTTAATTGTAATTTACTTACTGTCCAATCAAATTGGTGTTGACCATTGGCAAACAGCTATTGCTATCTGTGTTCTTACTCCTTGTATGGTGTTTTAATGTGGCAAAGGCCATTGAGAAGGCGGGGGAAGGCCATAGCAACAGTATTTTCTTTTTGTTTTTGTCTTACATCAGTATTGTCTAAGACCTTGAAAATGCAATTGAGTAACATGACTACAAAACCAAGATTGTAAAAAAAATTATATTATCTACTACAAACTTACTGTTGATTATAATTTTTGGTAACAGAGTATTTGAACCTAAAATGTTTATAGACTCAACAAAATAATTTCACAGTGTTGTTTTAGATGAATTGAATATTCTTTTTCTGGCAAACAAAGCAATTGGCTTGATTGATGCATAACTTTTCACTGTTGACTGATAATCAGTAAGAAGAAGCCCAGAAATGCTCCCAGTGGGAACTGAGACCTAATATCAGAATAACTGCTTTGCAACATTGCTAGTGGTTGGGCTATCAAGGTCACTAATTTAGTTTTCTTAATAACTGGTGCTGATGGTTCTCTTGCAAAATGGTAAGTGTGTGGTCTAAGCCCACTTTTTAGGAACTGAGACTATCCAGCCCCTGCTCTAATGATGAGCACATCAGCATTTCCCATTATTGCCCAGAGGAAAAGAAGCTACCTGCTAGTCAAATTCATTCATTCATTAGATGACTATTTATTAAGCATTTAATTTATTTCATGCATTGGGTTATGCCTTAGACATACAGAAATAAACAGAACAGTAAGTTCCCTTCCTTCTGGAGGTTATAGGTTACTCAAGCGAAATGAGAATTAACTGTTGTTAGAGCTGAGCCCCCAAACAATTGTTATTTGGGTTACTAACTCCTGCCAATTTGGCACTTTTTGGCCGTTCTTTTTGTTTTTATCTTGTATCAGTATTGTCTAAGACCTTGAAAATGCAGTTGAGTAACATGACTACAAAACCAAGATTGTAAAAAAAAGAGTATTTGATGTTATCTATTACAAACCTACTATTGATTCTAATTTTTGGTAACAGTATGTGAACCTAAAATGTTTACTTATATGTGTTTGCAGCTTGGAATAATTTGAGACATTTGTTTTGATTGTCTTTAATATAAAAGTAGCTGAAGACAAGTTTAATATTATTGGTGTTAAGTTACTATTAAACAAAGATGTATGTAAGTGCATGTAGTGTCATGGAAAGAATTTATACATAGTCTCATAAAATTGCTGAAGATAATATTTACAAAAAACCTTTTTTTCCTAAAATACAATGTTGTATTTATTAGCCACTTAATTATTTTGCTCAACAACAAAAAAGTCTTAATATATCTCATAATTTGAAATGACTTGGGCAATTATGAATGGTAACTTTTAATAACTAAATTTAATCTAGAGATTTTTGTATTCAGACTGCCAAAACAACTTGGTAATAACTCAAGAATTTATAAAAGTCCAATGTTAGTATTTTCAATAAAATAAGAAGAGACTGGCATAGAGTTAGGGAAAATCGGGCATAAAATGACAAGTTCCTCAAGATTTATGGGCTCTGGGTTACATGGACTACAATGAGAGTTAATACTATGTTTTTTTCCCATTCTGCCAGCCGGAGAAGACCTCTTATTTAAAGGGCAGGGCTCCCTCCACTGTTGTTAAATCAGGGCTCTGCTTCTGACAGGATATTTATAACATAGGGCAAGTATACAAAAGAAAAATGTTTAATGATGAGTTTTGCATGTTATACAGTGCTATATATCATATGGTTTAATTTAGGTCCTCTGAAATATCAGAGTTAGAATGAAATTATCAAAAGGAGAAAAGTCACATGGCATGGTGCAAACAAGATGTGCCTATTTGTATTTATGTTTGCTAATGAAATTCAGCCATGATTCCCACTTTGATTTTAAGAGTCTTAGACCACCATTTGGCTTTATTCATTATAATTAAATATCTTGCCCACACGCAGACACAAGGGCAGCAAAGAAAGGGGCATATTTTATCTTTTAAAAAGCGATTGCATAGCTTTCATATGAAACTCCTGAACTTCCAGGATTTATAGTATTAAAGCAAAACAATATGTCTTTCAGAGCACGGTCATCTTCTTAGGCAAATGGAGGGCTTAGACTCAGAATCTAATGACCTCACAGAGACCAGGGCTGAATTCGGACATATGGGAGCAGTTGAATTTGAAACAACCTAAGTTTGAGACAACTTGGCATAGTCTCTCTTCTACCAGAAGAGAGATTGAAAAAGGCCTGTTAGAAGCACAACTGATTTTTACTATAAAGCTTGGGAGTGGGGTGGGACAGAGAGGGGGACTAATTTAGTTGACCTAAACAGCATTTATACATGAAATTCAGAAATGTACCTACCATCCCAACGGTGGCTCAACTGAGTATTCCAATAAACCAGACATTTAGGTTAACAAGTAAGAGTTAGTGAAAGCCTGTTGCTTCTAGTTTATTCTACTACCTCCCTACCTTTTTCTCCCAGCAAAGCAAAGCCAGCATAGAACCTCAACCCTCTGTGCCCATCTTCATCCCTTTCAACCTCAACCCTCTGTGCCCATCTTCATCCCTTTCAACCTCAACCCTCTGTGCCCTCACATCCCAAGATGTGAAGAATTTGGAAAACCCCAGGCTCTTGGTGACAGGGCAGCTCCTGTGGCCCACAGATCATCCTAGAGACAGAGCATGTATACTCTATACTTAGTTAATTAGGAGTTAACAGTAGTTTGGGAGAGGGTGAATGTATGCTCCAAATCTTTTTTATCGTCCCTTTTACTGCTTGATTTAACCCAAACTTGCCAACTCCAAACAGCTCCACGCAGGCCATATTATTTGCTCAACCCAAAATCAGATACTGAGCATAGCCATAGTAAGACTTCCATGAAAACACATGGTGTATCAACCCCCTGAAGGTCCTAAAGATGCATACATTTGCCACAGAACCTTTCAGCTATGTATATCTATCTTATTTTGATGCTTTGTCCATTTATCAGAATTATTATTTTGGGCACTCAGGAAAATTAAGTGATTCTCCAGGGGAGGGCTAATCATAAAGCAGAAAAGCCCAAGGTAGAACTCAAAGCTTATAATGGCTTGACCTCTACCTGCTCAGCTATATTGTTTCGGACATAATTAAGTTGTGTTCCTTCCTTCCCCCTCCCCTAACCGCCCCTCCGCCAACTCCACCAGTTTCTTCACTTTTGTTCTGCTCCCAAGGGCTGTTCTTTATCCAGAAAAACTGTTTCTTTCCCTGCATCTGTTTTCCCCATTAAGGCCGGGGAAGCTAAACACATAGCTTTGGGCAGAATCAGAACCATCTGCAACAAGCCCTAAACTGAGTCAGGAATCCTAGGCGAAAACCATGTGACTGTGGATGGGTCACTCTCTCTGGGCATTAGTTTTTTCATCTGTTAAATTAAGAATGGGGCCAGAGGAATTCACAAAGATACTTTCCAATTCCAAAGTTCTATTGTTCCTTGATTCTAGATGTTAGTAAAGGGTTTGTTCAGCTTGGTTTAGCAGGCTTAGTTTCCAAATTCCTTTTTCACTATAGTATTAAACATGTTGTGGCAGTCAGACAGACTGTGCTCCTAACAGTGGCATCTCAGCATCTTGGGGGCGGAAAGCAATGCCTAATCTACAGATAACCTAAAGTGAGAGATACAGGTAACCCATCTGCTGTGGATAAAAGCCACAATCTGAAAACTTCAATTTCTGCCTCTTCCATGTTAAATTTACTAAATGCCAAAATTAGAATTTCCATTAGGAAATATTTATTTACTCCATAATCATGACAGATTCTGAAAATGTTCCATTTATTGACGAAACCATTATTGGGTCCTGTTAATGATCTCCTCATCCATTTTACCACTGTTCTCAGCTCTCACTATGCACCTGGGATACTTCTAAGACATTCCAAAGCCTAATCTCCACTCAGACCCATTGGCTTTGAAGAACTGGAGCTACAGCATCTGTGTCTTTTAAAGCTCCCCAAGTGATTTGGGTGCAATGTTCTATACTATACACTATTCTTAAAGTTAGTTTGGAAAATAAGCAGTAGTTGAGAAAGCCTCCAAAGTGAAGATGATTTAGATTTAAGGTCCATTGTCTGTACTCGGAAGTATTATACCTGGCTGATTTAGCTTAAATTTGAAATAAAATTGTAATTTACCCTTTAAGTGATGTTTAGCAAGAACTGAGTTTGTTAGGACTAAGAGAATATGTGTATCTACAGTGCTCTGGGTGGAATTGGGGCAGGGGACTGTCTGGTTTGTTTTGTTTATTGTAAGACAATGTAGTATAATGAAAAGAACACAGGCCCTGGGTTTTAAATCCAAAATCTACTCTTTTACTAATTGTGGTAAGGCTCAAATTAGATACAGACATGAAAATATTTCATAAACCATAAAACCATGTATCTCAGCATTTTTTAATCTTTGCCCCTCCCTACTTTGAGAAATAGACAAATCTCATGCCTTTCGAAAGTGTAAGTAAGTTCAAATTAAATATTGTGATTAGAAGCAAAAAAACAAAAGCCTGCTTTGTTTTCTCCCTCCTTTCTCACTTTGAGAATGACCTCTCAGTGCATTTTACTTGTGGTGGTTAAAACTTGAATGTGAAACTGGAAGTTTAGTGAAGCCAGGGACTGTCTATTTATCTTAGTGTCCTGTTGTACCACCAAGCACACAGTGATTTACAGAATAAGAACTCAGTAAAAATTTGCTGAAATCATATTAAGCAAATTTATAGGAATTCAGACAATAGAACCAAAACCTCTTTCTTATGCCTTTGAGAAATAAAGTATTTGTAGGAGAGTTTGGGACTTACTTACTACAGTGAGATTCTTATGCTAGTTTATTTAAGATTTGAGAAAGCAGAAGAGAATCAGGAAAGGTAATAGAATAAAACAAGTCTGTACTGGAAGAAAGACTGGTGTTTATAGTTAATGTTTTAATAAGTAGGCTAATGGCAAACATAATACGCAGTAATATTTAAGTCGGAACTACAAAGTAAGTTTTGTAGCATGTGTCCTTTTAAGAAAAATATTAATCTTTTGCTTTTTAATATTCATTTGTATCCCCTAAGATGTATCAATTTATGATAACCCATAAAAAACAGAAGTAAACCACTATGGGATTTAAATGTTTTCTCTACCTTGTCCATATGAAGTAAAAAACAGTCACTTTAAAAAGTACACACTTAGAAATTAATTACCCCACAGTGCCCAGTGCAGTAGGTAAAATCTGTATCTGCTTATCCAGGTAGATTGACATTCTGGCACAGGTCGTAATTTGGCACTGTATGAATAAATGAATGTCAAAAATTGGGTCCTCAATTAAAAAAAATGGGAACTATGAATTCCTAATTTTATAACTAATTGGGCCTTAAACACATTAAGTATTGTCTTTGCTGTGAACTTTAAGAGATGCTAAAATGTCTGAGCTTTTCAGCAAATTCACAAAGGAGCAACTGATGTTGAGAACAGAGCTTTATTAAACCAGAAATGAACCTTAAGTAGTATATAGGCACGTAGGATCCAGTTTGTTGGGGAGGTCTAATTGTGTTATTGATTAAGCTATAATTTTCAGTAGTGGGTGGAAGTCCTGACTCTTTCTGGTCAAAGCCTGGATTTTACTAACTAGGAGTGTCTGTAAAGATAGATACAGAACTGGGAATCATTCATAGGGTCTGACAGAAGAAAGTAAGTGGGATACAAAGTATTCCATGAGAATGTGGCCTCTGGAAGGCCCTCACACCAAGCAATGTTTAAATTTAGTTTCAACATTTGCAACACAAATAGAGAGAAATTTACAGTTGACGTGAAGATGAGTTGTTGTCTTCATCCATCTTCCTGTAAAGTTGCTTATTCTGGAAAGCATGCCAAAGTTGGGACGTTCCCATAATTGCCCTACATAGACAATGTACATCCTTTGTACATCAAAAGGAAAAAGCAGTGACTCAAAATAGAGTACCCTAGGGAATATGTTTACTGAAATTGCTCTTCACTAATTACACATGCTTGTTTGTTCCTTCTTTATTTATTTCAGAATTCAAATGGGAAGAACATCACAGAAATCTGGGTCAACTCTAAACTTTGGTTTTCTCATAGGATCTGTGTTATTAAATAAGTTATTAAAAAAAAATCTTTTGTTTGCAAAGCAGTGATAAATCATCTGTGAAGGTGAATCGATCTTTCAAAAGTGACCTTTTCCATGCTAATAAGAACTATTTTATATTGCCCCGTCTGAAAAGATTAAAACCTGGTTATTTCTCAGGTGAACTCAGCTAAGACTCAGTCTCCCTCTAAGCCAAAACCTCCTTTCTCAAGCAAGGCTCACTTCAACACTGTATGTTTAGAAGGAATGCAGCCTTACTCCTAGGTCCATTTAACTCCATATAAAACCATCCCTGTGCTTTAAATAATACATGATGTTAAAGATTGTCACTGTGGTTATAAAATTTAAAATATCAAGGTCAAGAAGCTAAGAGTATTACTTTGGCATAAGCCTCTCTGTAAGGCAGCCGTGGTGGTAGGAGCTGTTTGTTTCACAGACTGAGGCTCCACTGCCTGTGGTTGTGGGAAGACACCCTATGCATTCCTGCAAGTTATTTGTGGCTCTCTGAGGCATTCACTTAACACTGTTCTATAGCGCAATTTTAGGAAGTAGAGTTGGAATTTTCTAGTCCTTGTTAGAATGTTTTCTTCAATCCAGAAGTGTTCTACAACACAAAAAGCCCCATGGTAAAGAACAAGCTCACAGAAAGAACACTGAGGAATGACACTTGGAATGTGCCACTGTTTTGTCATCCCTGATACACTGATCTGGAGTGAACTGCATAGCAGCATAACTAAGCAAAGAAATTTCAGCCAGGGCGCCAAAGCCTGACAAGCACAGTAAATCTTCTTAAGCAGGATATTTGGAGAGAAGGTTTTCAAGTTAATTGAATTTTATGATTAAGAGAAGGTTATCTAGAAAACTATATTTGTTTCACCTCATGTTGATGGAAGTCTTTCTAAAAGGGTTAAGTCTACTTTCCATTTTTAGTATAATTAATTATAAATGTGGTTTAATTATTTTTTAAGATGAAGATTTCACTGCCTCCATAGCATTATCTTGATCGTAAAAGGTTATTCTGTATTTCTTAAAATATGGCTGTGGCTGTTCAAGGTTAATTCATTGGGCTGGAAGTATACAGACTCCAGAACTGCTTCAGAGTTATTAGCCTAAGGGGGAAAAATCCCTAACCTGAATTTTATGATTTTCTTTGTTTTTCTGAAAAGATTGACGGTTATGAATTCTCTGGATGTGACTGTTACTAGTTTAAATGATTAAAAATGTGCCAGGGAAAGGGAAATTTTATTCCTAAGTCCTGAATTTTAGTTCTGCTCCCCTCTGGGTCTTATGGTGGAATTCAGGATGTTACAGAGACCCTGTGTGATCCAGGTCTCCCAACACTGAAATGCAAAATATGTCTCTTGGAATGAAAAGCATGCAACTTTTCTTTCTTTACTGAAACGTATTAATTATTGCACTTAGAATCCATTTTCCCATTTTCTTTTATGGGAGTATTTTATCCCACCATGCATATCCATGTGTACATCTGTACGTACAGGTATGTATATAAAATTATATAAGATTTGCATTTTTGATACTGTCTACAATATGCAGAACTATACAGAACTCCTTTGAGATCATCATATTTTAGGGAGGAGGAGAGGCCTCTATTAGTGTCTGTTCCGACAGCTTTTCACTCAGACTATAAATTAGGCCCGGGAAGGGCCAGTAATGAGTCAGTAATTTATAGACTATTAAGATACTTAGTTAGTTAGAAGTGATTCCTGAGCATATCGAATAGAGAACACATGTTTATAAAAGACAAACAGATTCAATACATCTCTTTGGCCTAACCAAGCCCAATCAGTTAACAAAATGGGATGTCTTATTTTATGTATCTGCTACTTCCCAAAAATAGAATCACTAACCACTTGTTAACCACACTGACTTTTTAATAGACAGAATGGTTGCTATAGTTTTGCCACCAGAAATATTCAGATTAAGCATTCTATTAGATTGTAGCCAGCAGAGTCTACAAAACAGGAAGAGGGCTCTGCTTGCTTTTTGCCTCCTTTCCTTGTTTGACTTCATGTGATAATTCATTGCAGATTTCTTTTTCTTTGACAGAATGCCTACCGCAGGAATGGGATGGCTTTTCTAGCCTGCTGATGTGACAACTGTGATGTGCCTGCAACAACAGGAAAGGCAATGTTATATTAAGGTGATTTCTTGTGAACAAAATAAAATACAAATTTACCTTTCTTTTATCTGAGGGAGTGGGCTGGTCTGTTGTGACTTTCAACTTGCTGACTCCTCCTCTTTTCCAGCCCCTCAACCATCGGTCTTGTTTACTAGATGGGCTGTTCAGCTAATTAATGGCAGGATGTTTAGGATAGTCTGTAGGTGGACAAGAATGCAGATCACACAGTTTTGAAATTTTAATTTGAGTAGATTTACTGCCCTCAGCTCACATACCTTAAAAGCAGTGGTTGCCCCCGTCCAGCGTTTTGTCTGCATTTTATTTGATATATTTTATAATCCAGGTTTGGAACAAGGAAACAAAATTAAAAGGACAGTGAGTTTTCGCCTTCCCTTACACCACCAACTTTACTTTCCAACATTTGTTGACATGTGTTTTAGTGACAGCTATCCATTTTATAAACTTACAGTAATCAAAGATCTAACAGACCTGATAAATCACCTGTTCCCACCTCCTTTCCCCTTCACTCCACTTATAGTATGTGTCATTTTCAATGCCTGCTTCCCAACTTCCTGCCATCTGCCTTTCATGTGTGTTTTTCCTCACACAGAACCTCTTCCTCCATCTTCATTTCCCTCCTTTTCCTGTTCCTCCAATCCCCAGATCCACCACTCCTGCACATGCCATACACATTTAGAAGCCAAGTATTCAGAATCAGTAGAAGGGGAGCAGAGTGATTTCTTGCTTCCTCCCTTCAAAGCACTACCACACCTAGACTGGAAATGTGGGCTGGGTAATTTCTTGCTGTTAGCAGCCGAGCTACCCTTCTGGCATCTATACTTTCTCCAGTAAATGAGGAACCGTAACTCTTTGGAACAAACCAAAATATAGCAGATGTAATTGTACAGTTCCTGATTAAACTTCAGTTGCAAAAAAGAAAGTTATTTCTTTAATTCTGTGGGAGTTTTGTATAATTTTACTTTTATGGTTTTTACACATACTTGAAACACTCTTTCTAAAGAATTAATAAAAACAGAAATGAGAAACATGAAAGATCTTTTTCTTGATACTGCTCCTTTTTCTTGATACTGCTCAAGAGAGCAAGCCTCTCTTGATACTGCTTCCTAGATTTAAGGGTAAAGAAAGTAGAAATAGTTCTCCCTTCACCCAAATTTGGAAGTATAAAACTTTCTGAACATGCCATTTAGAGGTTATGTCATTAGCTTTCCTGCCTTCTTATATTGTAATAGTTGCGATTCAAAAACACTGTTTCAATTTTAAATTCAAGACTTTTTATTTGAAAACCATCAGACTCAAAGAATTATGAGGCTCAGTTAATATTATTATGCCACATTATTTACATTTGTTAACTGTCATTTACCTGCTCTATGTTAATCTTTTTAGAAAAAATTTGCATTTCAGAAACAAAAAGCACGGATAGATATATAATATCAAAATATTCCCAAAGGATTTTGATGTTCCATCTATGCTTGTTAAAATGTATGATTATGATTAAACTTTTTATCATTCTTATTTTCCTTGGCATCCATAATCATGGAAAATTACAAGCTTGCAGTAAACATCCTAACTTAACTTAACTTTTAAACGATAGCATTTATTGTATTTGGTTTTGATCTGCCAGGCTTATAGATGGTATAAAATTTTCAGGGGATAATTTTTCACATCAAAATTCCTTCTCTCCCACATTATACATTTTAAAGTATGCACAAGGCAGAAAATATAGGGTTTGGGTTTTTTTCCTTCGTTTTATTCCACCTGATCTCCTTATAGTCCCAGAGAAGGAAGACTCAATGTACATTTCTCTCAGAAATATGACAGGTCTGTGTTTTTGTTGGTCTGGCATATGTTTGTCTATCTTGAACAGTCTGACAGGTAATTATTTATAAAATCTGGTTTTGCCCAGTAAGTTCATATAAAACCTTTCATTTTTCATCATAAGCCAGTAAGCTGAATTTAGAATAAAGCAAGGTCATTTATGTCTGTCCTGAACCAGCCTACATGTCCCCATAATTGCTCAATATTTTTAATTCCCTTTTCTATTTTTTATACTTAGGTTCTTTCTCTGACTCTTTGCACAATACTAAATTTGAAGTGAAATAAAACTTCCTTCAGCAGTGACTATAGAAACAAAAGAAAATTTACAGAAGGAATGTTTAAGAAAACTTCAGTAAATTATTTTCTCAATAATCATAATGTTAGAGCAGAAGATAGTCTTAGAGATCATTAAGAACAGCTGCTCATCTTGCAAATGAAAAAACCATGGCCTAGAGAGGGAAAGTGAGTTTCCTAAGATCACTCAATAATGTAGTGACAGACCAGAGATGAGAATCGATGGTCCCTAATTTTCAGTCGGTATTATACAGTATTTTCTACCATACTGGGTTAGCATAAGAATATTACTAAGACATGTTGGGGTTTTATGGCATATTTATCCTAGACAACGATGTAAATTTATTTAAAAACTGTACTAATTATGGATACATCCTAAAGCATACGTGTTATATAGTAAAATCTTCAGTGTGACTGTGGTATTAAGTAAACAGTCTGTTATCTTACACATCAGGCTTAACTCTAAGTCAAATGGAAATATACAAAGCTAGTTTCTATTTTTTGTCCCTTGTATTTTAGAGACTGAATTTGAAAATAAATAAGCCAATAAATAAATAGCGTCTCTTGATACTGCTTCCTAGATTTAAGGGTAAAGAAAGTAGAAATATTTCTCCCTTCACCTAAATTTGGAAGTATAACTTTCTGAACGTGCCATTTAGAGGGTTATGCCATTAGCTTTCCTGCCTTCTTAGATTGTAATCGTTGTGATTCAAAAATACTGTTTCAATTTTAAAACCAAGACTTTTTATTTGAAAACCATCAGAAGCACAAATATTTTTTAAATGGTGTATATAATTCCTGTATCTGGGGAGAACCCTTCATTTATTGCTGTTCTTTGTTTTTATAAAATAATAAACAAGCCATGTCTGATGCTTTTACCATGTAGAAGACAAATAAACATAACTGGTGATTCTTGGTCTGAAAGAAAACATGTTTACTTGTTTAGAATTAATTATAAAGTTTAATTTTATGAATTTTTTTACGTAGTTCTCAAATCAGGCAATGCTTTCCAGTTCATATAACCTCTTGTGTAAAACTGAATCACTAAAGAGAACATATTCTCTCATCTGCCCCCCTGGAATTTGGATAGAACCTTTCCAGGCTACATTTAAAATTCTACCATCAACCATGTATACATCTCATAAAATATTTTACAGTTTCCTGTATGCTCTGGCCGAACATTTCATAGTACATAAACACTCTGCAAATAATCTAAGGGCATCAAGTTGAATATGTCATAGCAGTGGCCACTACAAAGAGCTAATTCTCCAGCAACACAGTTTCTTATTTTTACCTTCTTATTTGAAACTCAAGATGAAACTTTACATGCTATTGTTGTACAGTGGCAGGGGTGAGAAGAGAGCAGGGAACTCTAGCAGTTTTTGTGGAATTGTGTTCATTAAAGCAAAGGCTTTCTGCAGAGGGCATCTAGCCAAGCTTAAACAACAAAACTTTGCCTGCAGGAATTGGATGTAAATGTGATGGTTAAATAAGGGCCAGATGTCGTTAAAAACTCAAATATTAGAAAGTCGTATCTCTTAAAGAAAGTCTCAAATGTTGTAAGTCGGATACTGATACCATGATACCTAAAGAAAGAGACGAGACTTGCATTTGTTTTCCAGAGCAAGATAGATAGTAAATAGTCAAGCTGTCATAAGTCATGGAAGTTTTGGCAATTGAAGCATATTTTAAAGCAATCAATTCCTGCAGTCACAAGAACGCCGCATACATATTTCATTGTTGGGAGCCACTGTAATTATCTGTACAGCATTGTGTTCATGATCCCTTTTCTGCTCATCACTACTGAATATTCACTATTCTCATTTTTTTCAAAGGAGGGTAAAGATAGATAGATAGGAAAAAAAGAAGGAGGCAAGGCTCAAGATGATCAAAATATAGTTTTACTTATACCAGGTAACACTCTACTTGCTATCAAAAATGATGATGTATTGTGTCAGCATTTTAATAAGCTATGACATAATAATTACAGCACACCATGTGCTACCCTGTGTACTAAGCAGTTTGTGCGATTTATCTCATTTAATACTCACAGCCCCACTACCAGATATGCCCTGTTGCCCACAGGCAGGAGAGAGGAAACTGAGGAACAGCAGATTAAATGTCTTATGCAGAATTACCCAAGGTAGAGCTGGCTTTTGTACCCAGCACTTTGATCCCAAAGCTCATGCTGTTAACCACTGTTACACAACGTGGACTGTACTGGAGTAGAGATTTCTGAGACCATATTAAAGAGAATTGCTGCCTGACCTTGAACCTAGAAGCACTTCTCAGAACCAGAAAATTTGATTGCAAGAAAATTTTAACTTAACATTCCTCCTCTAATGCCAAGTATTATGTATATAATAGAATATTATATCATGTACAATAGAATATAATTATATAGGCTCATGCCAAGTTTTTAATAATGTCTTAAGCCTCAAGATAAATGTATATAATCAATGAATATACTAAAAAGTCCCTATACAAATTATGGGAAAAAATTCCTCAAAGATCCATGTATACAAAGCTTCTCTCCTTTCTGAAGACCAGATTTCCCCAGAAGGCTCTGTTTACAGGCTACCGTTTCACGCTTTCATACAAGGTATGTATCCATGTTATAAAATAATTCCCATCTTGTTTACGTGTTTGCAGCAGCAGATACAAAAGTACATATGGCAATGCCCTGAAACTTTAAATAAATGACCCTTTTAAAGGCTTGCTCATTAATTCATTAATTATATAGTAGTCATAGTTTTTCCCAGCCTGACATGTTTGTGTGTGAGGCAGGTCTGGGGGAAGTGGTGTATGGAAATAAATAGGAAAGTGGAAAAAAAGCTACCATGCACAATTTGAATTACAAAGGATAGTTTTCCATTCCACTCAGTAGTTAGCAGCAGCTTTGTTTTACAGAGAGAGAGAGTCAGGTCTCTCTTTGTTGCCCAGGCTGATCTCAAACTCTTGGACTCAAGTGATCCTCCCACCTTGGCCTCCCAAAATGCTGGGATTATAGGCATGAGCCACCACACCCAGTCAGCAGCTTCTTTAATTCAACCCTAAGTTTGTTCTGCCTCAGGACAAGCCACCTTCTGATTTATGTCCTTTAAGATTCCAAATAACTGCACCAGCCTGTGGTACAACTTTCTTTTCTGAATTTTTTTTTTAAGATGGGGTCTCCCTATATCACTGAGGCTGGTCTCCAACTCCTAGGTGCAAGCAGTCCTCCCACCTCAGCCTCCTGATTAGCTGGGACTACAGGCACAAGCCACCTCACCCAGCTATTTCTGAATGGTTTTAAGTGTGTCTTCCAGCTACTTCACTTGGGAAGAGTTAGTTCACCTGCCAATGCATTGGCCACTTGTCACCCCTCCCTGACCTAAACATACCAGTCAGTCAAGCAAGCAGACACTAAGCAGCACCAACTACTGCAGCTCATGAGTTGGCTTGCCACACTTCCATAGGTTTGGCCTGTAAGGAAACGGTGAGCCCAAATGGCTTTAGACAGTCTGTTACACAGCTACATAAGCAAGATCGGCACAGTGTCAACTTCCCACGTTCCTAATCCCACAGGAAGATACCAAGCCAGAGGGGCCAATTGACAGAAGACATGAGTGACTGGGGGGTTACCATGTCATGGAGGAGCCAACTCTAAACCACAGCCAAGCAGTTTTTTGGTTTTGTTTTTTGTGTTTTTGAGACAGAGTTTCACTCTTGTTGCCCAGGCTGGAGTGCAATGGCTCGATCTCAGCTCACTGCAACCTCCACCTCCCAGGTTCAAGCGATTCTCCTGCCTCAGCCTCCCGAGTAGCTGGGATTACAGGCGCCTGCCACCACGCCCAGCTAATTTTTTGTATTTTTAGTAGAGACGGGGTTTCACTATGTTGGCCAGGTTGGTCTCGAACTCCTGACCTCGGGCGATCCACCCGCCTCAGCCTCCCAAAGTGCTGGGATTACAGGCGTGAGCCACCGTGCCTGGCCAGCCAAGCAGTTTTATAGCTTGCATTCACATCCCAAAGGGGGCTGAGGTGGAAAGACCTTTGCCTTACCAGAACTAGGGAGTCAGATGCAAAACTACCTGTGGCAGCTCCTCTCAAGAGTGGCTGTCTTGCTGTGTTCCTGTGACAATCACAGAGGAAGGTCCCTATGGCCTAGGTAGGGCTGCGTGGCCTATGTGGAGATGAGGTCTCCTGGGAGCCCTTCCATGGCAATGTGTAGAAGGTCAGGTGTTTCTGTTAGCAGTATGCAAAATCAATCTGCCTCTTCTTTCCTAGGTTTTCATGGTGGTCTCCTTCCCTAGCTCTTTCCCATAAAGTTTCCTGCCTGTCTCAGCACATAGCACCCTTTGCTTCCTCTGAACTCTAAGCCCTTGTTGTTCTCTCTGCTTCCTATTTAGTATCCCTGATCATCTGTCCATGTGCCTTTAGACTGCACCAGATTAAGAATTTCTTGAGGGCAAGTCTTGAATTAACACCTCTTTGTCATTCTCATATACACAGATACTCATAAACATTTGTGGTTTGGTTGGTAGAAAAAAATTTTTTTTTTTTTTTTTTTTTGAAACGGAGTCTCATTCTATTGCCCAGGCTGAAGTGGCTCACAGGAACCTCCGCCTCCCGGGTTCAAGCAATTCTCCTGCCTCAGCCTCCAGAGTAGCTGGGATTACAGGCATGCGCCACCACATCCAGCTGATTTTTGTATTTTTAGTAGAGACAGGGTTTCACCATGTTGGAAAGGCTGGTCTTGAACTCCTCACCTCTAGTAGTCCACCTGCCTCAGCTTCCCAAAGTGCTGGAATTACAGGTGTGAGCCACCGTGCCCAGCCAAAAAAAAATGCATTTAAACATAAGCTCAGAATCCTTTTTTAAAAATCTTTGTTTAATCTCATCAATTCTTATTTCACTTATTTGGCTATACAGCTTATGAACTTTAGATGATCACAGCTTTTCTCTTAAAGACAAATACAATGTCTCAGAAAAACCAATTTAAAGCACCGCATGCATCAGGTTTCTTGTGGCCTTTGTGAGTAGGTCACTGTGCCATCAGTCTTGTGTGAAGGGGTTAAGGACCTCATAAACAGATGACCTTAATCATATTTGCATTACTTTGCACTACTAAGACCTAAGAACCTTTGAGTTCCATCTGAATCTATACAATCTTGAAAAAGAATTACAAACTAGTAGGACTATTTTTGTATATAGTCCATCTTTGAAAACCTACCAGTTCTCCCACTGGTTCACTGTAAAGACAATGAGCCTTTTAGGATCAAATTTCCCTAAAGGTAATGGAATAACATGTCCACTGAACTTAAAGCAAATATAAAGATCTATTTAGACTAAAAATAACATTTTGTGAACCGGAAGCTACTCCAAAGAGTAGCTTGAAATTAAAATGTCTGTTTTCTTTATAGCCATTCCTTCAGAAATCTTATTTGGCACCTATGAAAATCAAGCAATCAACATGTAGTCTGCAGGCCCCAAACAGTGAGCCTGAGGGGAACCGTGAAATTACAGAAAGGGGTTCATGAACCCACCTAGATTAAATTATCTGTAGATTCAATAAAGTATATTTTGCCCATGTAGGTGCTACTCTATTTTATTAATAAATATACACATAAGTCCCATTGTAATTATAAAATGTAAAATCACTTTAACGTGATACTGAAATCCTGCTAGTTTTTTGACACTACCTTTTTTTAAAAAACAATAGATAGCAAAAGCCAAGTTATAGAATGCAGGGATCAGTGAGTTTATGTTAAAAAGTGATTCTCAAGCTCAATAAAAGGTAATCGTTGCTTTCTGTACTTTATCATAATTGCCATTGTCTCCTCGTTCTCCAATGGTGAGTAGATTGTGCCTTCTGAAGATTTCAGGCAGCTTTAACGTGGATTTGAGGGCTTTTTTCTTCCTTTGACATAAACTATCACTGGAACTTTTTTCATATGTCTTATTTTGGGAAAAATTTATGATATTTTTAACATTAGGAAGTTTTGCTTTTCCTGACATTTTATTGCTTTGCCTATTTGAAACATTTCAATCCCAGACAATAAATATTATGTGATTATTGTTTTCATATGGATAGGCTATTTCCTCCCACTCTTTCTAACCCCCTTTCCCAGCTAATGATACTAAAAAAGTAAATTCAGCATTCCCAAAGTCACATATAATGAAAATTGAAAGAGGGGCAGGTTTCAGAGAGGGGGGTAGTAGTAGTTAAAAATAAAGTGAGGTATGTGGTTTTCTTTCAGTTGGATCTCAAATTTTTCTTGCTCAGTTGAAATGAAGATTATTTTGTAAATCATTTTTATCAGCAGTCATAACCAATTATCACATTAATGGTATATTTGAATATCATTTCAATGGAAGCTAAATGGGTCTCAACGAAGTAGATGGATGTTAGCTGTGCATACCATGAGTACTCGGTGTTTAGAAGCATCCACCGTAAAAAGCTGTCCTCATGGCTACCTTACCTTCTTCAAGCCATACATGAAATATCATGTTACTTTCTCAGACCGGGCCACAGTGGCTCACACCTGTAATCCCAGAACTTTAGAAGGCCAAAGTGGGAGGATTGCTTGAGGCGAAGAATTGGAGACCAGCCTGGGCAACAGAGCAAGACCCTGCCTCTACAAAAAATTAAAAAAGTAGCCAGGCACAGTGGCACATTCCTGTAGTCCCAGCTAATGGGAAGGCTGAGGCAGGAGAATCGCTTGAGCCCAGGAGTTCAAGGCAGCACTGAGCTAGGATAGTGCCATTGCACTCCAACCTGGGCAACACAGCCAGACCCTGTCTCAAAAAAACATAAATCACTTTCTCTATAAGACCTTCTCTGACCACCCTTTTAAATATTGAGACCCCAACCCCTGCTCTAGCACATCATATCCCTTTCCTTGCTTTCTTTTTCACTCTAACACTTACTGTCTTCTAAAATACCATTTCATAGATCTGTTTATTTTGTTACTGTGTTCTCCCTCTAGAATGTAGACTCTGCAATTAAGGATCATGGTCTATTTTGCCTACTGCTATATCCCAGCACTTAGAACAGTGCATGACACATAATACGTGTTGAGTCAGTATTATATGAATGAATGACTGATCAGTACTTAATTCTGCAAATTCTTGCAACACTATACCCATGTTATTATACTTCTCTGGTTCTTCTCCAGCCTTTAGCTTTTCCTTTTCACTTCTGTCCTGGCTCGTCATCTTCATATCTCAACATTCAGCTTCCCCTTGACTTTCCCAAGACTTCTGAACTTCTTCAACTGTGTTTTTCAACATAACTCTTTTAAAAAACATTTTTGCATTTTGGTACTTCCTAAATCACAGTGCATCTCCAACAAAATAAGAAATTTGACCACTACAAGCAGAAATTAGTTGTGATGTCATTAGGTTTCAGTAATATTATGTCAAATTTTATTTGATGTATCTTTTTTTCTTTTTGAGATGGGGTCTCACTCTGTTACCTAGGCTGGAGTACAGTGGCGTGATCCTGGCTCACCGCAACCCCTGCCTCCTGGGCTCAAATGATCCTCCCACCTCAGCCTCCTGAGTAGCTGGGACCACAGGCGCATGCCACCATGCCCGGCTAATATTTTTTTGGTAGAGACAGGGTTTCACCACGTTGCCCAGGCTGGTCTTGAATTCCTGAGCTCAAGTGATCCGCCCACCTTGTCTTCCCAAAGTGTTGGGATTACAGGCATGAGCCACTGCACCTGGCCTATTTTGATATATCTGTTTCACCACTTGCTCAAATTTTCTTTTTACCACAGCTCCAGGTTAGCATTTTTATTTAAAAAATCATGTATTATTTATCACTTCATATGTTGCAGAAGTTCTTTAGATATGGCACATAGAAACAATATATTTCCTTTTTTCTTTTTTTTGATACAGGGTCTTACTCTGTCACCCAGGCTGAAGTACACTGGCATGATCACAGCTCCTGGGCTCAAGCAATCCTCCCACCTCAGCCTCCTGAGTAGTTGGGACTACAAAGCACATGCCACCATGCCCAGCATTTTTTTTTTCTTTTTATAGAGACAGGGTCTCACTATGTTGCTCAGGCTTATCTCAAACTCCTGGATTCAAACTGTCCTCCTGCCTCAGCCTCCCAAAGTACTGCGATTATAGGCATGAATCACCACTCTTATCTATGTTTCTTTAAAAAAAAAAAAATGCTTAGTCTGATCTAGTTTGCATATAGGTATAAACCCTTTTTATATGTACAGCACAATTTAGTGACTTCTGACAAATGAACAGTTGTGTAATCACCATCACAATAAAAATAAAAGAACCCAAAACAGTTTTTTCATGTTCCTTTGTAACATGATTCCCCCGCCTCATCACTAACCCCTGGCAACACTCATTCTGTCCCTATCATTTTTTATATTTTCCAGAATGGCATATTAAATGCAATAATTCCATATCAAGTTGAATTTCAAGATTTTTGTGTGTCTTTTTTACTTAGCATTATGCTTTTGAGATTTATCCATCTTGTTTCGTGTGTTAGTTCATTATATGTTATTGCTGAGTAATATTCCATCATATGGATGCACTACAATTTGTTCATCCATTCGCTATTGAGTGGACATTTGCATTGTTTCCATTTCGTTGCTATTAAAAATAAAATTGCTCTGAACACAAATGGACAGATCTTTGTGTGGACTCACGTGTTCATTTGTATTGGGTAAATACCTAGAAGTGGGATTACTGACTCATGGTAAGTGAATATTTATTTTTATAAAAAACTACCAAAATGTTTTCCAATGTAGATGTACCATATGGCACTCCCACCAGAAATATGAGATTTCTAGTTTCTCCATATCTTCACTAGCTTTTGGTATGATCCAGCATTTGGTGTATTGCTTATTTATTTTGCTTTAATTTTAGCCATTCCAGTAGGTGCATAGTGATATCTCATTGTGGCTTTACCTGCATTTCCCTGATGACCAATGATATTAAGCATTTTCCATGTGTTCATTTGCCATCTGTATTTTTTCTTTGTTGAAGTGTTTATTCACATCTTTTGCCCCTTAAAAACATGGTTGTTTGTCTCTTTACAATATAAGTGTTATGTCTTTTAGATACAGATCTATTATCAGAAATGTGCTTTTCAAAACTTTCAAGTCTGGAGCTTGTTCTTTCCTAAAGTGCCCTTGGAAAAGCTGATATTTTTAATTTTGAATAAGTCAAAGTTATCAATTTTTATTCTTTTATGGCTTATACTGTATGTCTTATGTAAGAAACCTTCATCTAACCCAAGCTCACAAAGGCTTTCTTTCTCCTATGTTTTCTTTTAGATATTTAAGTTTTGAATTTTTACTTTTAGGTTTTCTATTTATTTTGACTTTGTATATGGTATTAATACAAGATAAGAGTTGAGGTTCTATTTTTTTGTTTTTTTTGCATATGGATGTGGATGTCAGATAGTTTCAATACCACTCGTTGAGAAAACTATCCTTTCTGTGTTGAATTACCTTGACACCCTTGTCTAAAATTAATTGACCATATAAATATTGCTCTGCTTTGCATCCTGTTTTGTTCCATTAGTCTATTTGTTTATCCTGATACTAATGCTGGTTGTCTTGATTACTATGACTTCTATACTAAGTCATGAAATCAGGTCTTAAGAGTTTCTCAGCTCTTCTTTTTCAAAATTGCTTTGCATATTTTAGATTCTTTGCTTTTTCATATTTCTACAAAACACTTTCTGAAATTTTCACTGGGATTGCTTACAATGTATAGCTTAATTTGGAAAGAACTGACACCTTAGCAACATTAAGCCTTCTAATTAATGAACATGATATAGCTCTCCATTTATAAAGGTCTTTTTAAATTTTTCTCATCAATGTTTTATAGCTTTCAGAATATAAACCTAGTACATATTTTATTAGGTTCGTGCATGGATATTTCATGGCTGATGTTATAAGAAATATTTAAATTTTTTTCATTTTCCAATTATTCATTATTCATTTTATTTCACAGAGAAATAAAATTGATTTTTGTATATTAACTTTTTATGCTAAAACCTTGCTGAACTTACTAGCTCTAATAGATTGCTGAGGTGGTGGGGGCAGTTATAGTTTCTTCGGGATTTTCTACATAGATGATCATTTTGTTTGCAAATACAATTTTTTTTCTTTCTAATCTGTATGGTTTTTATTTCTTCTTCATGTCTTATTGCAGTGACTAGGATCTCCAGTACACTATTGAATAGGAGTGGTAAAAATGGACATCCTGTCCTTTTCCCTATTTTATGGGGAAAGCATTCAGCCTTTACCCCATTAAATTAGCTAAGATTTTCTTAGATGCTTTTTATCACATTAAGGAAGTTTCCTTTTATTCCTTTTTTGCCGAGTGTTTTTATGGATGTTGAATTTTATCAAATGGATTTCTTCATCCTTGAAGACAATGAGTTTTTTTTTTTTTTCCCAGTGATAGATTACGTTGATTGATTTTTACTTGTTGAACTAATCTTTCATTACTGGGATAAATGCAATTCGGTCATGATGTATTAACCTCCGTGTGTGTGGGCATGTGTGTGTGTGTGTGTGAATATGTATGTGTATATTTATATATATTTGTGTGTTTGTATTTTTAAAGAGACAGGGTCTCACTCTGTAGTCCAAGCTGGAGTGCAGTGGCATGATCATAGCTCACTGCAACCTGGAACTCCTGGGCTCAAGCCATCTTCTCGCCTCAGCCTCCCAAACAGCTAGAAGTATAAGCACACATCACCATGCCTGGCATTTTTTTTGTTGTTGTTTTATTTTGTAGTGACAGGGTCTTGCTTGTTGCCTAGGCTGGTCTCGATCTCCTGGCCTCAAGTGATCTTCCCACCTTGGCCTCCCAAAGTACTGGGATTATAGGCCTGAGCTACTGTGCCTGGCGACATTTTGATGGATCTGATTTGCTAACATTTTGCTAGGTATTTTTGTATCTGTACTCATGAAAAGTATTGATCTGGAGTTTTTGTAATGTCTCATTTCTGGTTTTTATATCAGCTAATGCTAGGCTCATAAAATGAGTTTGGGCCTGCTGCTTCCTTTTCTATGTTCTGGAAGAGTTTCTGTAGAATTAGTGTTTTTTGTTGTTGTTGTTAAAATTCCGTAGAATTCACCAGGGAGGCTATCAGGGTCTGAAGTGTTTTTTTGTGGGAAAGCTTTTAGCTATGAATAATATTAGATATAAGGCTATTTCTTAGATAGATATAAGGTTATCTATTAGATATAAGGTTATCTATTTCTTCTTGAGAGAGTTTTGATAGTTTGTCTCTTATTTGTCCCTTATCTAAGTTAACAAAAGTTTTGGCATAAAGTTGTTCATTAAATTATCTTATAATCCTTTAAATGTCTGTAGGATCTGTAGTGACACTCCTCTTTTTAATTCCTAAGATTGGCAATTTGTTTATTCTTCCTTTTCAGTTTCCCTCTAAACACTACTTTAGCTATATCCCACAACCTTTAATGTGTTTTGTTTTCATTTTCATCCAATTCAGAACATTTTCTAATTTCCTTTCTGATTTTCTCTTTGACTCATGGCTTATTTAGAAATGTGTTGATTCGTTTCCAAATGTTTGAGAATGTCCTAGATATCTTCCTGTTACTAAATTTTAGTTTAATTTTATAATACATACTTTGTATGATTTCAGTTCCTTTAGGTTTTCTAAGGTTTGCTTATGGCCCAGAACATGTGCATATGCACTTGAAAACTTGTGTATTGTGCTCTTTGATGTAGTATTCTATAAATATTAGGTCAAGTTGGTTGATATGTTGGTGCAAAAGTAATCACGGTTTTTGCCTTTGAAATAGTAATGGGAAAAACCATGATTACTTTTGCATCAACCTAACAGTGTTATTCAGTTCTTCTGTATACTTACTGATTTTCTACTTTTTACAATCAATTACTGAGAAAGGAGGGTTAATGTCTTCAATTAATATTGTAGACTTATCTGTTTCTCCTTTGAGTTTTATTAGGTTTTGCTTAGTATATTTTGAAGTTCTGTTCTCAGTTACATACACACATTTAGGAATGGCATGTCTTCTTGATTAATTGTCCCCTTTAGCATTCTTAATTTTCCTTTTTACCCCTGACAGTATGTCATGTTCTGAAGTGTACTTGGTCTGATATTAATAAATCTACTTCATCTTTCTTCAGTACTTATATTATACATATTTTTTCATCCTTTACTTTTATTTAAAGTATCTTTTTCACTGATAGCCTATAGTTAGGTGTTGCTTTTTAACCCATTTTACAATCTCTGCCTTTTAATCCCACTCTTTAGACTATATCTAATGTAATGATTGATATGGTTACATTTAAATCTACAATCTTATCCTCATCATAACTCCTTAACATGCTAACTTGTATTTCTTGGTTTTAACTTATTTTTGTCATTTTAACTCTTTAACTTGTTCTTTACCACCCTTTTTATTATTTTTAAAATATTCATTCATTGCAAACAAAAAACTCAGAAGACTCAGAAAAGCACAAAGAATGCAATTAGAATTAGCTATAGTCCTTTAACGTTGAGACTACACGTGACTGACATTTTAATACACACATGCACACATACACACACACACAATATGTTCATAAAGTACATACTTCTTTGTAACCTATAGTAACACTTTCTCATGACTTTTTTTTAAGACTGCAGAGTATTTCTGTTATGAAAAAAATTTGAGGCCGGGCGTGGTGGCTCACAACTATAATCCCAGCACTTTGGGAGGCCAAGGCAGGTGTATCACTTGAGGCCAAGAGTTTGAAACCAGCCTGGCCAACATGGCTAAACCCCATCTCTACTAAAAATACAAAAATTATCCAGGCGTGGTGACGCACACTTGTAATCCCAGCTATTCAGGACGCTGAGGCAGGAGAATTGCTTGAACCCGGAAGGCAGAGGTTGCAGTGACCTGAGATCACACCACTGCACTCCAGCCTGGGCAACAAAATGAGACTCTGTCTAAAAAAAAAATAACAGTAAAAATAAAATTTTGAGACTATAACACTGCTCCCACCCCCAAACTGGGAAGATGCCAAGAAACCAAAGAATGATTCGGACAAGTCCAGCTTGGTGAGTAGATGAGTTTATTAAGACTTACAGACAGGGAACTCCTGGGCAGCAGCAGAACAACTCTAGAGATCCACGCTGCCTCCCATCTCGAAGGCTGCTTTTAAGCTAATTTTCTGGCTCTTTGCCTACCGTGTGTGTGATGGGACTGTTTTCCTTGGTATGTTCCCAGATACTCTCTGGGAAGTTTGGATTCTCAGGGACACCTGCTCCTCTGCTGGGCACCCTGGACTTGGATCACTGCCTGGCCTTTAGGGTTCAAGCAGTGAACATATACCCTTAAATAACCTGTTGGGAGACCTGTCACTACATTTCTTCATACTATGATGGCTGGTTCGTTTTCAATTGTATCCTATTTTTGGACATTTCTCTTTTCCTAAAGTTTTGCATTATAAAATGTGCATTATTTTTCACACATCAGACTTATTTCCTTCTCTTTTGGCCTCTGTCATTTTGGTTGTCAGCCTGTTGTTGCCCCTGTGAAGGTAATGTGCCTGCTTTTCTCTGGATGCTTTTGAGGTGTTTTTCCTTTTATTCTTTAACAGTTGTAGTATGACATGCCTACATGTAGTTTTCTTTGTTTTTCTTTCTTGGAATTTGTAGAACTACTTGAATCTGTGGCTGGATATTTTTCATCGATTTTTTTAGATCCTATCCACTTTTCTTCAAATATTTCTTTATGTCTTCTAGGATTTCAATTAGATGTATGTCAGACTTATTTTTTTAACCATACATTATATGTCTTCTGTACCCTTTTCTGTATTTCTTATTTCCTTTTCTCTCTGCTTCAATATGAATATTTTCTACTGACCTATCTTGTATTTATTGAACTTTCCTTCTAAAATTCTATTAAGCTCATCTACTGAATTCTTAAATTTTTTTTATTTTTTTAATTATACCATCACCATTTGATTCTTTTTTGAAAAAAAAAAAATTCCAGTTCCAGTCCCTTCTTTATTACCTCAATATTTGGGTTGCTTGGGAATGTTTCTGTTGTCTGTTTTTTTTTTTTTCCTCTTGGTTTTCAGTGCCTCCTGCTTTGCCTATGAGTGTTTTACTGAATGCCAGACATCATATATGCAAAAGATATAGACGCTCTGGGCTGGGCACACTGGCTCACCCCTGTAATCTCACCACTTTGGGAGGCCAAGGTAGGGGGGAGGATCTCTTGAGCCCAGGATTTCAAGACCACCCTGGGCAACAAAGCAAGACCCCATCGCTACAAAAATAAAAATTAACTGGGCGTGGTGGCATGTGCCTGTAGTAGTCCCAGCCACTCAGAAGGCTGAGGCAGGAGGATCCCTTAAGCTCAGGAATTTGAGGCTGCTGTGAGTTATGATTGCACCACCGCACTCCAACCTGGATGACAGATCAAGACCTTGTCTTAAAGAAACTCTGGATGGTGATTTTTTCTAGAGAGGATATAATTTTCTGGCAGGCAGATGGGGTACAGTTGGATCAAGGTTGATCTATTTCTGCTTTGCCTTTATTCCTAGAAAATATCCCTAGGGTCTCAGCTGAGAGCCTATGGTGTTTACCAGGCCCCTTCAACCCTGGTGAGCTCTGAAATCTAACCCCTAACCCAATAAGATTGATGGAATTTTTGCTCACCTTTTTAGCCTTCCGTCTGCTGCTCTCACCCCCCACCCCACCATATGTACAGCTTTGGAGTTGACATATGCTTCAAGGGGAAATTGCATGCAGAATTATAGACTTATTTCTCTGTAGTTTCCTCTGGTCAGGGAATCATGGTCCCTCAACTGCCTTGGCAGCCCCAAACTCCAACCTCTGCTTCCCCAGCCCAGTGATACTGCCATAATTCCCAGACTGTTTGGCCTCACTTCGTCTCACAGTTAATTGGCAAATTTCGTGAGAAAAAAAGAGAACCTGACTTTTCTCCATTATCTTATTCTCTCAAGTCCTGGCCACACTGGATTTTTTCTGATGCTTCAAATAATTTGTACCCCTACCCCAAGATGTCCATATCCAAATCTCAGAACCTGTGAATATGTTACATCACATAGCAAAAGGGAAATAAGGTTGCAGATGGCATGAAGGTTGCTAATCAAAGGAAGTTAAGATGGAGAGGTTATCCTAGATTATCCACATGGGTCCAGTCTAATCACATGAGCTCTTAAAAGCAGAAGAATGGGTAAGAGAGATGCAACATGAAAATGACTTGATGTTCTAGCTTTGAAGACAGAGTAAAGGAGCCACGAGCCAAGGAATATGATGGCCTCCTAGAATGGCCCCAGCTTACAGACGGCTCGAAAATGGAGACCTTGGTACTGAAGAAACAGAAACTGAGTTCTCCCAACAATCTGAATGAACAGGAAACAGATTCTTCCCTATAGCCTCCAGAAAAAAACATAGTCTGACAACACTGATTTTAGTCTAATGAGACTTATACTGGACTTCTGGCCTATAGAACTGTAAGATAATAAATTTGTGGTATTTATGCTACTAAATTTGTAGTAATTTGTTACGGCATCATAGAAAACTATTACACAACTGCATTTGTATTTTTTTTTCCAGCTTCTGTAGTTGTTTGCAGTTTGAAAATCAGTCTCTCATACCTTGAGTTATCAGTCAGGGTTCAGTCACAGAATCAGAACCACTGTGTACTATGGGATGAGGATTACAGGAATCAGACCTTATACAGTTGTGAGAAGAACTAGGAAAGTGAAAGCATAGGAAGGAAGTTGGAGGATCAGAGAAAAAAAAAAAAAAGACCAACCCATCAATGTGAGAAACAAAGAACAACCAAGTGCCAAAAGTGGCTGCAAAGTGATGGCTTATGAGAAGGTATGCAGGAAGCCATGCTTCTGTATAACTGCCACCTTGGCAGGCCCACCACTGAGTGTCTGGCATAAGCTGGGAGCCACTGTTGGTCAACAGCCTCTTCAGTCAGAACTGAATGTGGAGTAGAAGAATGTGAAGACAAGCTAGAACCTGTCAGCATTTCTGTGCCTTCTCTGTACCTGCAAGACCTTCAAAGATCAATAGCTGCTTCATTTCCACCTTCCACATCTGCATACATTTCCCTTTTGGCCAACTCTAACTCAGAACCCTGTAGGGAATGGGAAAGTAGTTTAAGTTTCACCAAGTTGGCACACTACCAATGACTGCAGTCTATCCAACCTTTGTCTACTTGGTACCCATACATACATCTTTTAACCATGTTTAACCTCCAAATAAAGTCAACAGCAAAATGCTTCCACCTAACATGATGCATGCTAACCCTGTCCTCCAAAAAGGGTATAAATACCTTTGTGGTCATCTTCCCAATAACCCATAACCCCTTCTAATCTTGAGCATCATACAAATGTCACTTGAGAGGCATTACAGAATACCTGACCACACTCCTCAAAACTGTCAAGGAAAGCCTGAGAAACTATCATAGCCAAGAGGAGCCTAAGGAGACATGACATAAATGTAATGTGGCATCCTGGATGCAATTCTGGAGCAGAAACGGGACAATGGATAAAAACTAAGGAAATCCGAATCAAGTATGGGCTTTAGGAAATAACATACCAATATTTGTTCATTAATTGTGACAAATGTATCATAATGTAAATTACTAATAATAGAGGAAAGTAGGTGTTGGGTATATGGGAACTTTGTGCTGTCTTCACAATTCAGTAAATGTAAAACTGTTCTAATATAAATTTTTTTTTTTTTTGAGATGGAGTCTCTCGCTCTGTCATCCAGGCTGGAGTGCAGTGGCACGATCTCAGCTCACTGCAGCCTCCGCCTCCCAGGTTCAAGTGATTCTCTTGCCTCAGCCTCCCAAGTAGCTGGGACTACAGGCATGTGCCACCAGGCCTGGCTAATTTTTGTATTTTTAATGGAGACGGAGTTTCACCATGTTGGCCAGGATGGTCTCAATCTCCTGACCTCGTGATCCACCTGCCTCAGCCTCCCAAAGTGCTGGGATTACAGGCGTGAGCCACCATGCCCCGCCAAAAGTGCATTTTTTTTTTTTTTTAGTAAAAGGCTATTAAGTCCTATATGACACATCCATTTTGGGGTGATATTTTTTCCTCTTTTCTCTGAGTCACACTCCCTCTTTAATATCCTGTAACTTAAATACTGAGCTATATGGCTAGCCACTATTAACACATCTTCTATTAAAGATAGGGAATGGAAGTGGGGGAGTAAAGAAAATTAATACCAAAAAAATGCTGTATTCATATTAAAGTAAGAAAGAAATACTTACAACCACTACTGTCATCATTTCTGTAACTGGTCCAATGGTCCTTGCTAGTATTTATAACTTCCGTCTTCTGTTAGCCAGTCCATATCGCCTTTGCCCTTAGTAAACAACTCAGCTGATGTGCTTCCTTGCCTCATGGGGTGATCCTGCCTATTTCTGTTTCAGTTATCTTTTGCTGTGTAACAAACCCACCCCAAACGTTAGTGGCTTTAAGGCAACATTATTTTTTTTATTTCTCATGATTCTGGAGTCAGGCATTTAGATGGTATTTAGCTCTTGTCCAGAGCTGCTGAAGGACAGAAGTATACTCGGTTTGGACCCACAGGCCCAGTCTTGGCTTCTGGAAAAAACTACACCAACAATACATTTGGCCCCTTCACCACAAGGTTTGTTTCCTCCGTGGATCTGGCACTAAGAAATTATATCTATTCGTAACTCTTGCCTGATGAGTAACTTGGATCCTAAATTCTCCCTGCCCTTAATGGCTGTGTGGTGTTTGAGAAATTGCTTTAACTTTGGGGTCTTGGATTCCTCATCTATTAAGTGGGAGCATTGAAGTTCTACTAGATGACTTTAAGACATATTTTTTACTCCTGAAATCTGTTATTTAAGAGGGGCATTTATGGAGTGTGGATTATGGAAAAACCAGCATAAGTGGGAGTCAAAACTTTAAGAATTTATTTCAGCCTAAAATGCCTATTTTTGAAGGGAACCTAATCAAAACTTTTTAAAAATAGTTTTTAATTATAGGTTTGAAACTTTGTGTTATTTGTAATGCCTTTTTAGAAGCCTGAAAATAACATTTCTCTCTGTACCAACTTTGTGCTTTTCCATTTGGTAAACACTGATTTTATTTCTCTCTGTCCCTGTAGGAGTAAACCAAGCCAATTCAGCACTTCCTGTTTACTTCCTTGTCATATGTACCATAGATGGTGACAGACCTGCTCTCAAAACAAGCTTCCTTCGTTTAATTCTGCATTTTCTGCTTAGGCAACCACCCTATCAATATACTTGAACAATGAAACAATTTGGCTACGGAAGCACTGTCTCTGAATTCCTCCTTCAACTTGTCAGTGGAAAGGAAAGTCCCTTGGTGGAATGGTAGGAATAGTTTTAAGCGGGGTATCACACAGTGCCTTACAGTGGAGAATATCAAAGCGTTTTCAGCTCTTCAATCTTCGTATGCATGACATGGGTGAACACAAGACTAATAAACAACTTGATTTCCTTAGGAGATTCTCAGTGCTCTATCTGTTTTTTAAGTAAGAAGATTGAGTTTCATGTATATTGAGTGACTAAAGTGTAAGCTTAGAAATATTTTATGTCTCCATCATAGTTTATTCTGTTCAGCATAAATCATCAGAGCCAACCATAACTTAACCATTTACTAGAGCTTTTTCAGAGTCAGTTGTATTACAAGCATGTCAGACACACCTTCCTACAAGTCCCTCAAGGTCAATAGTTGAGAAATTCTGCGTTTTCCTTCCCTTCCCCACTCAACACTTATGGAAATATATGCTAATTGGAACAGAAGCTGCCTACCAAACTAACAGGGTTAGACCACTCTTAACACAAGATTAATGAGAAAGAAGTTTAAGGAAAAAATAACATTTCTCAAGCAGTAAGAAAGTACATGCCAAGTAAAAGCCAACAGTCTGCATCAGTCGGATACCAAACTCTGCTTTCCCTTGACTTTACTTAAAGGAGTTAAAGACAGGGAATCCTGTATGTCCAGCCTTGCTCCAGTCACTGTTGCCAGCCCTTTGGCTCAGTGTGGCTGGCTTCTCACCTTCCTTGGGGCCTCAGCTCAGCAGCCACCATTGTAGAAAACAAGACCACAGACTCAAGGGTTAGAATGAGACTCTATACATTGTTTACTAAGGTGACATGCCAGAAGGAATGATGAGGCACAGACATACTGCATGTGGCCCGCTGCATTCATGACAGGCCTTTGTAGGTGTGTGATTTATATTCATAAAGGGGGGTTCGGAGACAATGGATGTTTAAAGTCACTGATATTGGCAAGAAATTAAGTTTGTGAATCACTCTGCGCCGTTGATGAATGACTGAACTGTGAGTTAGCAGACATCAAGAGCTGTCAGTTAGGAGTGATACTAATGTTCTTTTGAAATAGGTTTAGACAACAGTATTTGCTTAGAAGGAGAAAAGCCTAAAGATCTTATCAATTTGCAGAAACTGTAATTGGCATACTACGTGACATATTTACATTATTTGGCAAGGGCCGGTGAGGGCGGGGGGTGATTTCTCTTAGAATTCCAACCCTTTCAGGATCCAAAGGCAGCCTTCACCTGTGGCACATGCTTAGCTCTTTATAAGCACCCTAAATTTTTCCAAATAAATTTTACACATTTAAAAAGTGATGATCTTTCACACCTAGTGCCCAGATCTTAGTTTCTAAATATCATTCCCCACTGGTATTCAGGGTTCCTTGGAGAAATGCCTGATCCCAGAACCAGGGCAGGGAAAGATGCCTGGAAAAATGAGCCTTGAATATTTTATTGCATAAGAAAATAAGGAACTGGTCAAAGAACCATGGGGAGAGGTCAAAAATGGAGCTGGAAGAGGCTCTTACTGGCCAAATCTGGGACAATTTGAGCATCAAAATAAATGATAGTACTAGTTTGTCACCCATCGAATAAATATTCATGAGTCCATGCAGTATAAATAAGTAAACAGAGGAGAAAGTGAAAAGTCTTCTTTGCAGAAGAATGCCAACTAATAAATAAGAAGGAATAGTAGCATTAAAAGATCATCCATGGTAGAGGAAGACTGATAAGAAGTGGTTTATGTAGTCTCAGATTGTCTCCCCACAAATTACTGATTAATTAAAAAGGAAAAAATAGTAAAAAAGAAATCAGATGTTCTTTAAATTATTTATTGTAAGTACTGTTAATTAAAATGTTATGTTTGTGTTCAAAAATAGATAAGTACTCTTGCTTAAATTTTGTGTTTCTGCAGGCCATGCCACTAAATAAGAAATGCAAACAGGGAGAAATTCATTTATAATAGTTGAAAGAGTATCTCCAATGATGGCAAATCCTTTGATAAAATATATTTTGGTCAAATGCCTAAGACAGCTCCTTTTGTTCAGCCTCAATCTGGAAATTGTTCTTCCCTCCAAAAGCCAGAACAGGCTGACACTGTAGCACATCAGAGGCATATGGGAGCTCTCTGCTCCAAGCACTGCAATTTAAGGGAGATGGGGAGCTACAACATCATGTGGGCAAAGAGGTGGCCATTCTAGGATGGCACTGGAACTCCGTCTGTCCCTTGCCTAGTGAGGACCCTGGCCTTTATTTCCCCCTTTTGTTGTCTATATAAAACCAGAAACACTGTTTTCAGTTCCTGTGATGGTTAGGTATCTGAAGCAGGCAGGACACCAACGTCCAGACAGGGCAGACTGGGTAAACAGGACTCACAGATAATGCTGGCTCAGCTGGGCGCCCAGCCACCTGGTTATGTGATGAACTGCACTAGCATTCCAGGGAGACCGGGCAGGCACCTCGAAGACTACATTCAGACGCTAAAGTGCACACCCACAAAACAGCCATCTCAGACTTCTAATCTTACTTTATGACCAAACTGTAATTACATTACACCAATTACTTGAATATTACATTTTTATTACTGTTATGTCATTATGTCTACTAGGAAAAAAATATGCCTACTTTAACCAATAAAATTCTTAATGACTCATGTAAGCTGTGTCTACATGAAACCCCTGACTTAAACATTTTGGTCAAAATAATTTTTAGAGCCTGGGAGAAAAAGAGAGTTAATCTCCATCTATGTGATTACCCCCAAAGCAAGAAAACTTCCATTTGTAGATGTACGGCTAGAAGTTAAAAAAGTTCCAGCCAAAGCTAATCAGAAAGTTACGATGACTATATTTAAGAGCTATATTTATACAGCCATCAATTCTGTATCGTCTGTTGATCAGTTACAACTATTAATAAAAAAGGAGAGCTGGGAACTCAGGAAACATCCATGTAGCCATCCTCCAAATGCATGGAGGCACGTTTACATTTCCAAAATGTCAAGTAGGCCCAGCTGTAAAAAGATTCTTTAAAGGCCATCTAGGCCAGTTTTTTTGGGAGCCAGTGATTTAATTGGGACTCACTAGGGACAGTCCCCCAAATAAAGTTATTAATGTGTAGAACTTCTGTTTTAAAATCATTATAATTACATTTTACTTCATTTACCTCTTTTAAGGTAGCATCTCATTTTCTGTAGGCCAGTGACCTGTAGAGCTTATCTCACTGAGAAATTCCAGGCAGTCAGACTCGGTGCATTTTCTCAGCAGAGGGACCTCTGACCTTAACCACCTCTCAGCTCGCCCCAAACCTATGTGTCCCTTTCCCAAGCCATGCAGACTCAGACAAGCATAGGACGCTACCTGTCTCCAAAATAATTCTCTACTTCGGGAGCCAGAATTCAGACCCTTGAATTTTGAGAATTTACCATATGCACTTAAGTGAGTCAGAATATCCAAATTTAATCACTGTTGAAAACTTTTTTCACAAACATTTTACATATGCCTTTTCCTCCCAATTTTTTATGCATTAAACACTTTCCTACAAGAAGATGAAGTGGGAACAGGTTTTTCTTCCCCAGGCTTGGTATTTGCTTTATTTAAAAAAAAAAATCCTTTTGACAATATATGTACTCTGTATTACTGTGTAAAATCTCATGCCTAATTCTTAAGTTATGTGCATCTGCTGGACATAAACACTGTTAAACATTCATGACTGCCTACAAATGTGAAAAGTATTACCAGGTCTATTTTTAACATTATTTTGGCAAGACTGTTGCTGTGGAAAAAAAAAATCCTATAGAATCTTAATGAGAAAACTGAATGATTCTTTGAAATGTGGTTGTGATTCCCTAACTTATTAAGTGATGATGTCACTGATGCCGAGAAGCAAGAAACAGTGGACTCACTCACTTGCCAGCATGCTCTGGAGATACACCAGAAGGGAAATAAAACTCATCTTGAGTACGGTTTGCGCTGAGCTGCACCTTCCCCCACAGCTCGGAAGGTCACACGTGTCCCTGCACAGGACGTGTCTCACACACTTGGTCTGTCATTTCTGTGAACCTACGTCATAGAGGGTGCACTGATTGCTTTTGTTTTTATGGAACTTGATCTGTTTGCTGGCCTTTTTTCTGTTTATTACCCACATTTGTCTTACAGAAAAGAACCACCTTGTTTCACCTGTTGGAGAAAGACGGGGGTGTCCTCCAGCTCACCTGAGTCCCCTCAGTCACTTAATCAGCAAGTGGCAAGAAGTTCAAAGAAGTCTGTCAGGACAGGAGCACAGGTCTAATGAAGGAGGTTGTTCCTCATGCCTTCTTACTCCTCAACTCCCTTCAGACTTCCTGGCCACTCGACTTGAATCCCACTTGTCCTAAGTGGGCACAGGCCCTGTAAGAGCAAGGTGTGAGGCTGTTTGGTTCTAGGCAGCAGCAAACAGGACCTGGCAGAGTTTTACAGACTGTGCCCTACACAAAGAAACCAGGCCAGGAAGGCATTGATGGAGACTAACTTTCATTTTGGCCTTCACTTGCCAAGCCTTGCATCCTGGCACAGGAGTTGTGTCAGCCAGGAGCAAGGTCCACTCAGAGGGAGCGTTGTTTTATCATTCCCCTACCTAGAGGAGGCACTTTTTCGTAATTCTTCTGCCTCATGAGGATCCATTTGGCTTGTTTGTACAAAGTCACTGTGTGTGCTTGCAGAAGCCCTGGGGCTGGCCCTGGAGGAATCAGGACTTGCCATACTGAAGGGGCAGATTCTGCACCTTAAATGCTGGCTGGGTCAGCAGTGAATATAAATGAGGTCATTGCTTCTATGGAAAAAGTGCTACAGAATAAGGTCTTTCATCCTAGACAGCAAGTCTGGAACCTTTCAGAGTTCCAGAATCAGCCACAGCTGATTGAAAATTGAGGAACGATTTTCAGCCAGAAACCTGCAGAACCCGTATCTAGAGAGAGAGCTATGTGTTCCATCCAAAGTAGGGGCTGGTTTAGTTCTGCACTGGAGGAAATGCAGCCTGAGGGTGGCCTAGCTGGTCTTAAATCTGCATAAAATCATGGAATCACTGAAGTTTAGAGCAGAAAGAAGTCTTGGGTCCTCTAAGATCCATTCACAACTTTCCGAGATGAGCACAGGAACATGAAGTGCTGGTCCCCACCACCCTCAAAGGTGGTATCTTCTCAGCCAAGGGAGCCTGCCGCTCCCTCCACATCCATTCTTCTCCCATCCTGATGGCTCTAGATATTTTGTGGCGAGTATTCTGATTTCTGGGCATGGACCCACTGGTGCTCCACTTTCTTCCACAAGTTCTTTGTGAAATACCTACCTGCCACTGATCACTCAGTGACGTCTACCATTTGCACAGAATGACCAGTGGCTCAGATGCTCTTCACTGGTCATCCATGATTGCCACAGACTTCCAGAGGAACTCAGGGCCATGAACCTGCAGTCTTAGTCCAGTCCCTGCCCCAGTCCACTGGAATGATGCAAGGACCCATCCTGTCACCCCCTCCACCACTGCCAGGACACTCTTGTTTCCTACCCCTTTATCCTCTGGCTATGATGCAGCTTCACCTTGTTGGGGGAGGTCCCCAGGAGCCAGCCTCCTGACCACTGCCTCTGCAGAGACTCCTGCCATGCCCCACTCAGCAGTGCAGACTTGTGCATGGACACCCCACACCAGAGCTCTGTTTATCACACACTCGGGACAGCAATTTGGACTAGAGCTCGTCCTACACTCCCTTTATCTACCCTAACTCCAGAAGCATACATTTTTTGACTACTTCGTCCCACCCAGCAGCCTCCACTGAAGTCCCAGCATGTCTCAGAGCTGAGGCTATGCTGGAGATGACACATGACATTTCAGTCCATTCTTGGAAGTTTCTTTGTCTTTGCAAGAAGGATGTTAATTTCGCAGGTTAATTTGGTAAACCTGTAAGTCAAGAAGGGGGACTTTGACTTCAAATTATTACATTTACAATGCTGCGTATTATTTTAGCAGGTTCCACAGAGATACTTCACTCATTGTTACAATTGTGTTTTTATAAACTTCAAAGAAACATGGACTTTCCTTTCAGAAACTGCCTCACACAGACTCATATTACATTGTTCTGAACCCCAAGTCTACCTAAGACATGACCAAGACATCATTTGATGTGCCATCCCATCCTCCTGCCGGAGAGTGTGACCCAAGGAAGAGACCCTCAGGGCTGGTGGCCATATTGCCCCTCTCTGTGATGGACTGCATGTGCCACTGCCATTACTTATACTGACTTTGCCCTTAACTATTAGTTCTGATTGATTAATTTTTGGCAAAATACTCCACAAGGTCCATATCAGTTAGCTATTGCCACCTAACAAAATCCTAGAACTCAGTAGCTTAAACCAACATGCATTTATTATTGTGGATGAGTCCAGAGATCTTCTGGTCTCAGGTGACTTACTCGTGCATCTGCATCTGCGTTCTGTGTGTTGGTTGGCAGCTCTGCTGATCCTGGCTGGACACTATCATCTGTTTAGGGGTCAGGTGACTGCGTCTGGCATAGGATGGCTGTGGCTAAGACAAGTGGGCTCTTCTCCATGTAGTCTTACCCTTCTGGCCCTGGGTGGTTCATATAGAGGCAGCAGGATTCCATGAGAGGGTCTCTTGAGCCCTAGGCTCAGAACTGGTACAATGTCAACGTCACTTCTGCCACATTCAAGGCCAAAATATACCACAAGCCCTGCCTACATTCACGGGGTGGGAAAGTAGGCTCTACCTCTTTCTGAGAGGAACTGCAAAGTGACACTGCAAAGGGCACAGCAATAGGGAAGGGTGGTGAAGTGTGGATATTTTTGCAATCGATCTACCAACTCTCTACTAATAGCTTTTATTGGCCAGGTGCAGGCTCACACCTATAATCCCAGCACTCTGGGAGGCCGAGCTGGGAGGATCACTTGAGGCCAGAAGTTCAAGACAAGCCTAGGCAACATAGTGAGACCCTGTCTCTATATATAAAAAAAAAAAAATTCTAAAAATTAGCTGGTGCAGTGGTGTGCACCTCTGGTCCCAGCTACTTGGTAGGCTGAGACAGGAGGATCACTTGAGCTCAGGAGTTAGAGGTTGCACTTAGCCATGATCACAGCACTGCACTCCAGCCTGGGTGACAGAGCAAGACCCTGTCTCTATTAAAAAGAAAAAAAACTTTTATTTTTCTCATTCTACATGTAAGTAATTAAATGTCTTTATAATTATAAAGCGCTTTCTCTTATGTGATCTTGCATAATATATCCAACGCATGCACTTCCCAGATGACGAAACTAGAGACTCTAAGAGGTTAAGCTGCTTGCCAAGAGCTAGTAAGTGGCAGTATCAGGACTAGAATCCTGATAGAATCCTAGGACTAGAAGACTAGAATCCAGGTCTTCTGATACAAAGTTCAGAATCATTTCGAAAATTTCACACTCATGATCCCCTTTGGGGTAATGGTGTTCCCTTAAAATAGCTTCCTCCAAAGGAAGGAATAATTTGTGGCCATAGGATGGGAGCAGGGGTGGGGCTATACAATCCATATGGAGCCTGACCCCATCTCGGTCTCCTTGTCTCCCTAGCACGGTGTTGTAATCCTCTAAGCCAAATAATCCTAGCAAGATGCTGTACCCTACACACCCTCAGACACTTCATTCCAGACTATGGTTTTGTGAGATTTCATGCTGCTTTAATTATCTTATTCCTTGTTAACTCTGGGTCTCCCTGCCAGCCTGCCTTAGAACTTTTGTCTCTTTCCACTGTCACACTTTGTCTCAAGCTACATATCCCAGCCTCAGACCTACTGCCTGCACTTTCAATCTGTTTTCTCCCTTCTCCTGATGTGTTCTTGAGATCTCGGGGTTATTGGCTTTTTTCCCCAGGACTACAGCTCTCAACCAGTTTTTACAGGACCAGCTGGTGACCTCACTTGCTACTTGACTGCTGCAGCTCATTTAAATGCAACCAACGGCCTTGGAGTTTTAATAAGAAACTTGGAGCTCCTAGTTCTGTTGCGACTTGGTGGCAGCTCAGTACCTGCTAAAGTGTTGCTTCCCCCCTGGCCTCACAGAGGGACTGTAAAAGGTTCGAGTTCTGAAAGCTTGAGTGGAAGCTGTTGCGTGCAGGCTCCTGGGCCCAGAGAGGACTGCTTTTCTTTTCTGAGCCAGCCTCCTTTTTATTTCCTCCTGGCACGTGTCTGCTCTACTGAGGTCTCCACTAAGGGCTCTATGCTCAAGACAAGCAGCAACACGAGGGAGGCCAAGTCTGGTGCGAAGAGAAGAGGTGAAGAGTCACTCAGATGTTGCCTTGGACACAATCCTGCACCTCAGGCAGACACTACCCCACTGCCCCACAGAGTGGACCCCACAGAGCTCCACTCTGAAGTCTTGATGGGGTAGCCATGGACAGACTGAGGCAAACTCAGAAATTTGCACTTCTTTTGCCAAAAGCAAATCTTAGGTAACAGAACTTTATCTTTCATTTGGAAACCCCTTTTCTTCTTCTAACAGCTATGTGTATCCCACTTACAAAAAAGGAAAATGAATCTTCAAGATTCACCAAGTGATGACACTTGGCAAGTCTGAAAGGGAGAATTCCTAGCTCCACTCACTGCTCTCAGATTTCCTGATAAGTAATGGTGAAGACAAGGCAGGGAGTGAGAACTGTGTGTTTAGTTGGGGTCTCCTTGGGGATTATAAAAGACAAACAAACAAAAAACCTTGACACTCAATAAATAAACCATTTATAGAAGCTAAGATAAGGAGTTCCCGTGAGCTTCGGAGCCACTTCTGTTTGCTGCTGTTCTCCAATTAGCCGAGAATGCAAGCAGATTGTGCGAACGCAGCACTAAGCCCCGTGCCAAACACCTTCTCAGGTTTTTTCCCCTCTGCATTTTGCTAATCCCTGGATGAAACATAATCGCAGAGAAATGTTCAAGGTTGGACACAACAGGGAGGAACTCAATGTTGGCTCCCACCCAGTGGAAATAACATGCCACTGGACTCAGCAAGGCAGGAATAAGGATGTTAAACAAATACACTTCTCTCCAGCCTCCCTAGCAACAGCTTGTTGCTTTCTACAGAAGCCCTGAGTTTCCTCAAGCTGTTCATTCCGCTCCAAGGTTTCATCACCTGAGATATGTTTTATAAGAGAGAAACAGGGAAGTCAACGGGTAAAAATTCCAATCAGGAAAAGAATGGAAAGAGAATTAAGTCATTTATTCCCCTCTAGGGAAAAATAAAAGTAGCAAAAGTATTTATATAGAATAAGTATATAATTATGTGTAATAATTAAACTCCAGCAACTTGCAGTCATCATTCTTTGTCACTTTGTCTCAAACCAGAGGAAAACATTTCTCCCTATTGTGGTTTCAAGTTAAGATTTCTGAATTAGAAGTTCCAGGTTCCAACTGACTCCTGTCATTTGTGTTCTGATGATGGAATGGGAAAAGAAATCAGAGAACAGGACAGAACTTTCTGTAATAAAAAGGGAAAAAAATCCTGTCTAAAAGTACTTAAAATATAACACCTATCTCAAATATACACACATTTATATTTATATCTTATTTAATCTTTACCACAGTCCTGAGATTGATGTTATTATTCCATTTTACAGATGAAAATCTGAGGTGAAGAGGGGTTTAAGGCCACACAGATTGAACCATGGAGTGAACTGGAGATGGCTATGCGGTTCTCCTAAACAGAAAAGGGGGCTCAGAACGGTTTAGGAGAGGTACCGCTGGAGATTAAAAACAATCACAAGAGCAAATACTTGTGCGTGCTAAAAAGCAAATAAAAAATAGAACATGGCCAAAGTTCTAGACCTCTTCCTGAGGGGTTAGAAAGTGCTCAGTGGTGACTTTGGCATCTCTGTCCACTTATAGTCCAGAAAACTGAGGCTTTGTAATGTAGGTTTGCCTGCAGGCATGCGATAAATTTGTGCTGAAACCCAGTCTGAAACAGGTCTCCTCATTCCTGCTGATCTCGCTTTCATGAACCCAAACGTGATGGAACCAGGAGGGGCATCAGCATTTTTACTGGCCCTGAAATGGAGAAGGTAAAATGGCAGCCTGTCTTATTGCACTTCCTGGAGTGAATCATGTGGCTTTTGATTAACTTGCTTGGGGTTTGATTAACTTGCTTGGGGCTTCTTTCCTTTTTTTTTTTTTTTTTTTTTTTTTTTTTTGAGACAGAGTCTCGCTCTGTCACCCAGGCTGGAGTGCAGTGGTGCAACCTCGGCTCACTGCAACCTCCACCTCCTGGGTTCAAGCGATTCTCCTGCCTCAGCCTCCCAAGTAGCTAGGACTACAGGCACCCGCCACCACGCCCAGCTAATCTTTGTATTTTTAGCAGAGACGGGGTTTCACCATGTTGGCCAGGCTAGTCTCGAACTCCTGACCTCAAATGATCCACCCACCTTGGCCTGGCCCTGAGGCCATGAAGCCAAATACGGCCACTAGCTGAGCACTGGCTTCTATGCCTCTTAAAAGTGTCTGCAAGCATGATAGTCACTCCATTTTCCTGTAGATCATCCAAAATTCTCTATGAAACAGTCTTTCCTCTTTTATTCATTGAGCCCTCTATGTTCCAAGCACTGTACCACACATCAACAACACAGGGAGAATGCAGGTTCCCTTAACCAAGTAAAGTGAAGCCCTCCTCCACCTAGGTTCACATTAAATGTGTAATTCTCTCACCCTTATGACTTAATAGAGTTTGCCAAACTTCCCTGGACTTGAAGATGATACACAGGAGTGAGAACTTCATAGGCTTTGAGTTCTGGTTCTGGTTCTGGTCAGCTGTCTATTCTTGGGCATGTCACTTGACCTATTTGAGCTTCAATTTCCTCATCTATAAAATGGAGGTGATAATTCCTGTCTTGCAGGATTTGGGGTAGTGCTGGTTATGCAACTGGCACAGAGCGTGTGGTCAGTGAGGGGGACCCATTATTTTGCTACATTCAGTTTTCATCAGCATAAATTTCTAACTCCACTGTTTATTCTGAAGACTTACTTTTTTTCCCCCTTCCATAGTGAGTAATCACTAAAAGCCAATTATTCCATCCACTCTCTGGTTTGGGGTTTTCTTTTTGTTCTTCATTTGATAATTTCCTCCAAAAAAGTATCTGCCTGCCTCCTGGGTAAGAATATTTCTGGCCAACTTCTTTGAAAGCCTTTGGCAGAGGTGAACACATTTCTAATAAAATGCCACTAGAAAAGAGAGTAGAGGGAGAGACAATCATACCCCTTCTGTCTAGAAAGCCTTTTACATGCACAAAGAGCTTTCTCATCCACTGCCTCCTTTCATCCTACAACAATACTGAGAAGTAATCAGGGCTGAAACTGTCAGTCCATTTTACAAATGAGGAAATTGAGGTTTGCAGAGATTGCGTGTCTTGAGGGGCACACAGGCAAAATGCAATGAAGATAGATCTCTAAAGCAAGTCTCTGACTTTCCATCGATGCTCCTTCTACCACAGGGAACCGCTTCTGGGATAAGTCCTTTTTCTTGTTGCAAATTAAAAGTAGGGAGGATTTTTTAATATGGCTTAAGTGCAAGGGGGTGAAGTCACTGGGAGACCCAGGCCTGCCTTGCTTCCTGCATCTGTGAAGAAGTTCTCCATACAGCTTCCTTTTCCAGGAACCAAGGGCATTAGGGCCTCTGTTTCTCTACTCAGGAATTGAATTTATCCAAATCTAGAATTACTGGAAGCCCAGAATCTTATCCACCAGCCCAGCCTCCCTCAAGTTTCCACTTGTGACTACATGTGAAACCCTGTATGAGCAATTATCCTGCATGAGCCTGAGCCTCCTCATCTGTTAATTCGGGATAATAATGCTACCTCTCACTGTTGGGATATGTATGAGAAAGCAGCTTCCATCTTATGGGCATCTTATGAAGGTGTATTACATGTCAGAAATTATTCCAGGTACTGGGGATAAGCAGGGTACAAGACAGAAGGGAACCCTCCTCTTACGGAGCTTACCTGCTAAATGGGGGAAGTAGATAAGAAACAAACAATGAACAAGGTAAGTTCCCAGTAGTAATCACTGCTATGGCGATATATAATATACAAATGAATGAATATTCATTTAGATGAATATTTAAAAATTATTCAAACAAACTGAAATAATCTTAACTTTGTATCAATTTGGTGATACAGCCACACAGAGTAAAGAATTACTTCAGGTCACTTTAAAATACAGTATTTTGATTATACATCTCTGGTAAGGTATATTATCAGGACAAAAAGAACTACAAAGAGATCTTATACTGCATTCAGGTGTCTTATTGTAATTTTAATTCACATTGGAAAATCAATGTGAATCCTTTGTTCTCTTAACAAAGCATATTTCCTAGCTCTATCCATTGAAAAGGCTTAGAAACTGACAACCCAGTAGCAGTAAGCTCCTACATCGTGGCCTCTAAATGCGATTTCCTTTCAAAAGAAACCAAACATTCTTAGAGAAATGTTTGACTTCAGGTCTAGTGCAATAAATATACAAGATGAGCCTGATATCTTGAACCAGAAAGCAGGGAAACTATCAAAGACTAATTTTAATGAGAGTCTGCTCATTAAAACAGGACATCGGAGTCTATTTGAAGGGGCTCCTATTGGCCTACAATAGGATAACATGAACATCAAAAAGATTAAAACACACCCAATAATATATATATCTGATATACATCCATGGGTTCAGAACAATTGTACAATGAAAATTTACAGTACCTTTTTTCAAGTTACTAAGCCACCAACTCATTATTCTGAAAACTTGCTTTTAAAAATTGAGAGGAATTAAGCATTTATCCTGTCTTTCCTGCATGAACTGGATTTTGGAGAAACTAAACTGTTATTAGGGAAAATTTTTTTAGAAGAATTCCAAATAATAAGTGCAAAAAAAGAAAAATAGAAATATAAAAATCACCATTTTGCAACTCCTAATGAAATAATGTATCAAGCAACAATCATTGAAGGTCCCAAAATCATCAGATGAAAGGTTGATGGGGAGCTTTCCAGTGGAAGGGACAGGTGGACACCACCTGAATGTATCAGTCAGTTTTGGCATCAGTAAAGGGGGGGCAGCTGAACACTGTGTGTTTCATAATGTGATATACTCCCTCTGAAGTACTGCCAAACAAACTTGAATCTGATCAACACTCAGTAGCAGTGTAGAGGAAATCCAAGGGACAGAGGAACAAACCAAACAATACCATGAGGAAGCAATCAACCAAATCAAAAATGTAGAACCTCCTTCAGGTCACATAACCCGATATCTCTACCAAATCAAAGGTATTAAAAAGAGGTGGTAGATATTAAAAAGAGGTGGTAGATAAGGGAGTTTTTAAAGAATAAAAAAGACTTAGGAGATAAAACGACCAAATACAATGTGTGGACCTTGCTTGGATCCTGATTTGAACAAACCAACTGCAAGAAGGCTATAACAAATCAGGAAACTGACGATGGACTGGCTATTACTATTTATTTTTAAATTTTTAAGGTATGATAATGGCATGGAGATATACCTTAACAGTTGGAGATCCACACTGAATTATTTAGGGTGAATTACATAATGTCTAGTGTAGTGGGCTGAATAATGACTCCTAAAGATGCCTGTGTTCTAATCCCTGGAACCTGTGAATGTGTTACTTTGCATGGCAAAAGGAACCTGGTGGACATGATTAAATTAAGGATCTTCAGATAGATCGGCCTGGGTTATCCAGGTGCACCCAATCTAATCACATAAGTGATAGAGAAGAGAGGCCATAACACAAAGGATGCAGGATGCGGGCTGTGGGCTGCGGGATGCGGGATGTGGGCTGCCTCCTGCAGATGGAAAAAGCAAGGAAACAGATTTTCCCCCGGAGCCTCAAGAAAGGGCCATAGCCCTGCCAGACACCGTAAAATAATAAATTTGTGTTGTTTTAAGTCACCGAGGTAATTTCATCAGCACTAATAGAAAATGAATACCTATGGGATCTGTTTTTAAATGCTTAAGAAATAAAAGTGGTGGAGAATAAATGAAAGATTGGAAAAATATCGATGATAACTGTTGAAATGGGAGAGGAGTGCTCTGAGTTTCATTATACTATTCTGTCTACTTATATATTTGAAATTTTCCACGATAAATGAGTTTTTAAAAACTACTACAGGGTAGGTAGTGAGCAAAGGAAGAAGAAGGGCTTGTGGGAGACAATGGAAGAGTGGTTTTGTGGTGTGGCATGAGATTGGAGGTCTCAGACCTGCGACCACCAAGAGTGACACATGTCTTGGGTTAGGGAGATGGCTCCCAGGCTCCCTTTTTTGGTGCTGAGTGCTTTCTGGGTGCACTGAACTAGAAGTAAAAGGCGCTCTCTAGAAAAAAACTAATCAACAATTTACTAAACATTTCTTGAGCATCTACTGTGGCCGTGATCACTAGATATAGCCTCCATGCTCTAAGAACTTGACCTCTATGCAAGAAACTACAGCAAACCCAGAAAGATGGCAGAATTAAAACCCAATTCATTGAACTCACACACTCCTTTGGCAGTGGAAGTGACTGTGAGCTCTGACTTGTCTCTGAGAGTGAGGATTAAATGTCTATAAAAGCATTTGCCACACCCTGCCCCATGAAAAGTATCTGTGTGGTCACCAGCTTCATTGGCGCACACATCAGCCAAATGAGCTCCCTGGGTCATTCACACTGCCTCAGTGGGCAAGAAAGAAAGGCCTACTCACACTGGCTTAAGGAAAAGTGAGTTTGGTGTAAGGAGTCAGGGCAGTAAATAAGGCAGATCTAATAAGGGGCTGAGCTGGAACCAGCTAGCTATAGGAAACACAGCAACATCTTTCTCCCTCTCATTCCCCACACAGCCTCTCAGAGTCTCCCCTTCCTCTTTAACCCTGCACCTCTTTTACTCTCTCCGTTAGTTCTGCCCACCAGCATCCTCTCTCTTATGAGGTCAGATCACATCTTGAATAATTAACTTTCTTTAGACCTGATCCTGTTCAGACAGTGGCATCCATTGTTCAGGGAATGTTGGGGCTGTCAATCTAAAAGGAAGGGAAACAAAGAAACCCTCCTCCATGCCCACTTTTGGAAAAGAGACTTCTGACACTGATGGCAAAAACGTTAGTCTTGAAAGCCAGGGCTTTTGATTGGCAAGAACCAAGCGAATGTGGAAGCAAAAGAGTCTGCTGGGCCTTAATCAGTTTTGTGGTATGGAAACACAAAAGGCAAAATCCTGAACAGGACTGATGCCATAATCCAGACTGATGGCACAGATTATTAGGTGTGGAAAGAGACCAGCAGACCCCAGAGGTGAATGGTTCCACAGGCTGCAAAATGGATGGCACCACGGGAACATGATGAGGCAAACTGGCAGGAGCCAGAGTGGGAAAGTGGAAGTAGAGTCTTGTCCAGAAACTGTCAAGTCAACACCCACAGGCTTCCGGTCACCATTCTTTGCCTATCCAGAAGCTCACTGGGTAGCCTCATTGGTCAGCAAGGCTCTCCCATTGACGGCAGCCTGCACATGGCCTGACAATTGTTCCAGCAGGAGTAATGTTCTAACACGCTGTTCACCCTATTCTAATTTGCATTTAATGTAATGGCACAGGACACTCATGAGCTCCCCAAAGAGAAATGACACGCAGAAGGAGGCAGAGTGTGGAAGTAAAGGCCCCAGCACCGTCTCTGGCATAGAACTGAATCCTAGGATCTTTACCTAAGCAAGGATATTGGTGAACCACTGCCCTCTTATATTTAGCACAAAAACAGGCACTCCAGGCCCAGAGGCACTGATCAATCAACTGGAGTCACGGCATCTTGAGGCCTCTGTCCTGGAACAGACAATCCAACTGGCTCTACTTGGGTAAAGTCTATTCCTGTGCCTCTCATCTGTGGCCGGGCGTGGAGTCACATGGCCTGCTGCCTCCTCCCTAAGAAGTATGGGAGCACGTGCTCCAACTCCTCCCCACTCCAAAACCCATCTTCCAAGTCTTCCTCATCTCCTATTGAGGTCTTCAGGGACTCCACACCGCCAATCCAGTCATTATTTCTCTCTTCTTTTCTTTCCTGGCCTCTGAGCAGCATTTGGCACAGTTGATCGCCCCCTCCTTTTTCATCCTCAATACTCTTGATGTCGGTGACACCATCCATGCCCACTTTTCCCCCACTTCAGTTGCTATTCATTCTCAGTCTCCTTCGCAGCTTTTCCTCCTCTGATCAAACATTTAATGTTGAGATTCCCAGTGCTTGGCCCTACAGTATCTTCCTAAAAGATCACATCTAGTCTTATGGCTTTAAACACCATCGCTTTGCTAGTGACTGCCAGATATCCCTAGCTCTGACATCTCCAATGAGCATCAAACTGATATATCCAACCACTTACATGATGTCTTCACTTAAAAGATCTCATTTAGGCCAGGCGCAGTGGCTCACGCCTGTAATCCCAGCACTTTGGGAGGCCGAGGCGGGCGGATCATGAGGTCAGGAGATTGAGACCACGGTGAAACCCCGTCTCTACTAAAAATACAAAAAAATTAGCCGGCGCTGTGGTGGGCGCCTGTAGTCCCAGCTGCTCTGGAGGCTGAGGCAGGAGAATGGCGTGAACCCGGGAGGTGGAGCTTGCAGTGAGCCATCTCGCCACTGCACTCCAGCCTGGGAGACAGAGCGAGACTCTGTCTCAGAAAAAAACAACAACAAAAAAGATCTCATTTAAAAGCCAAAAGATAACTCTTTATCTTCTGCCACAAATTTGTTCTTCCTGGTTTCAGTAAATGGCCCCAACATTCACCCAAGTGCTGGAACTCGAAATGTAAGGAGTCACCCTCAATCACCCTCTTTCCCCTAAATCCCACATCCAATACATCAAGCCAAAATATTGCCCTTATTCATCTATCTCTCTCCATCTCCACAGCAACAGTCCTGATCCAAGACCTCGTTACTTCTGACCTGAGCTCCTGGAATCCATCATCATCTTACTAACTTCTTGCTGCCATGCTTACCTTCCTACAGAGCAGCATGGCTGACTCCCTCCTGATTTTATACCTCAGCTCAAAGTCACCTCCTCAGAGAGGCTTCCCTGACCTCAACTAGCTCCCCTCCACTGGCCCACTCTGCCATGTCACACTTTCACTTCATTTATATCATTCAGTGTCATCTTATTTACCTTGTTCTTTTCTGTCTCCCCTCACCAGAATATAACTTCTATGAGAGCAGAAACCTTGTGTTCCAAACACCTAGCACAGTCCCAGCATTCAATAAATATTTACTGAATGAATGAATGAATCCACAAACTCCTATGTAGCTGGGGACAGTCTTTCTGTTCCAAAAGTAAGTGCAGGTTAGGAGTGGAAGAGCAGAGTGGGTAGAGCAGGGAGGGAACCCTTTGTCCAGATTGGGTAAGACAAACTGTTATATTAATAGAAGAAAATCCAGATTTGAGGATTTGGGAGAGGACAAAGACAGCAGTGCCTTCCATTCTACAGTAATTTCACAGGGTTCAATTGTCACAACGCCCCCTCCTTGGGGGAGCGGGGGACAAGGAGGAGTACCATTCTTACTTTTTTCACTAATGAAGCAAAGAATGAAGTAATTTTCCAAGGTCACACAGCCAGTTAATAGGATTTGGGTCTGGAGTCCTGATCACCAGACGCCCAGTTCAGCAATCCTGCCTGTCTGCCCTTGGGCCACTAGGAAAGCTGAGTGGTGAACTGTGTGAGTGGTGAGAGTTCTGCCCTCCATACTCTGGGCAGCTCCCTAGTTTGAGGACATGAGCAGGCTCAGGAAGATGCCAGGCCAGCCTCCTTCCTGAGAGAGGCGCTCTCTACTGACTTGCCTTTCCCCAGTCTCGTTGGACACTTGCTCAGGAAGCTCATGACATAAGCACCCCTAAGCTTCCTTTCAATTCTTTGAGCCACAAAAGGGACACTGGATGATCTGGCCAAACCTCTCATTCTACAGATGAGGAAACTGAGACCTAAAGAGAGGTATGGCTTGCCCAAAGTCACATAGTGAATTAGTGGCAAATCTGGGGTGCAACCAGGGCCCCTGCATGCAGAAAAGTATAGTAACATACCCACCTCCCAGCCCTGTTCAATTTTTATATTTTGCAAAAATTGCCTACTTTTTGAGACAGGGTCTCACTCTGTTGCCCAGGCTGGATTACAGTGATGCAATCATAGCTCACTGCAGCCTCAAACTCCTGGGCTCAAGCAGTCCTCCCATCTAAGCCTCCTGAGTAGCTGCGACTACCAAACCCAGCTAATTTTTAAATTTTTTGTAGAGATGAGTCTCACTACACTGCCCAGGCTGGTCTTGAACTCCTAGCCTCAAGCCATCCTCCCACCTCAGGCCCTCCCAAAGTGTATATCTTTTGTTTTTAAATGAAGCATTATAACACAATTGAGAGTCCCTGTGTACCCTCCCCTAATTCCATTCCCCACTCCTTTTCCCCCGAGGTTACCTGAATTTGGTATTTAACATTTCCAAGTGTTTTTATACTTCTACAACATATGTATGTATACATAAACAGTACATAGAATCATCTTGTATGTTTTAAAACTTCATATAAACATCACTATCCTGTACAAGTCCTCCAAATGGCCATTATGTTCTTGAGATTTAAAACCATGTTGGTAAATGCAGGGCTGGTTCATTCGTTCAAACTACTCAGGTACCGTAATTTATTTATCCCTTTATTGATGGGTATTTAGTTCTGTTTCTTTCACTGTTACAAATAATGTTGCAATAAGTATTTGGGGGACACAGTTTTCCATTTTCCTATTGATGGACTCATTTTTTTCCCAGTGTGTTGCTATTTCTGTCAATGCTGCAATGCCCCTAGACACGTGGCCCAGAGTTTCTCTAGGGAATCCACCTGAGAGAAGAACTGCTGGGCTTCAGCTTTACTAGATATTGCCAATTTGCTCTCCAAAAGTGGTTGTACCAATTTACACTCCCACCCCATTCAGTAATCTTTCCATTATGCCAAGCTGCTGCCTTATTCTGCTTTCAATTCTTTATAATTTATGAAAGGAAAATATAAAAGAGGTGCTATTACCTTATTAAAAAATCCAGCTTCCTTTCCCTGCAGAAAGGAGAGGAGAAAAGAAGGGCAATTGCATATTGGATTAGGGCCTGGCATGCATTCATCAACTTTATAGTAGCGCCGACTTGGAATTTGGGTCTCCTGAGGGGGAGAGTGGGGCCACTGGAAACAAGAGACACTTTCACCACGGCCTTCTCCAGGAACGCAGATATAATTTACTCTAAGGTACAAAAACGTTTGCACTTAGAGCCTCCCTGGTTCCAATCAGGACATGAAGGGAAAGTGCCAAGACACCAGAGAATAAGCCAGTTCTCATAAACTTTCCAGCCAAGTGCTGCAAAGTCTGGAAGGTAGAATCAGGACTGGTAATGAACTTGAGTGCTCGGGCCAGGTCAGCTCTGAGCTCTTCTGAGCAATGCCTGGCAGCCCCCTCACGACTGCAGAGGGCCCTCACTCCCTCCAGCCCCTTACTGCTCTGATGCCTTGCAGCAACCTCATAGACCTGTGTCAGGTGTCTGCCCAGGTGGGGTACCTTCTTCTCCTGGGTTTTAAGAGAAGGGATTCTTCTGGCTTCCTCTGAAACCCTTCCTCCCCAGTCTCAAATCATCTCTCCCTCTCCTTAGACTCTCATGGCACTGTGCTCACCACTGTGTCATACAACTTACTTAGGACTCAGTCTGCCTGCCTTGATCCAGATTTGTGAGTGGATCCCCCAAAGACTATCGTCCCCTTACAGCAGCGATTATGTCTTTGTCACCTTGGTACCCTGCCTGGTATGCACCCACTGTTCTGCTCTGGGAGGAAAAAAGGAAAAGAAAGACAAACAAAAACACCACACAACAGTTCATCAGGCCCATCTCTGAGCTCCCCACTCCTTCCCATCAATGATTTCATTCTCCTCACTCTGTGCTGTGCATATTCGCCTCCCTCCCTATCTTCCCTACCAGGCTGTGTAAGCCCTGCTTGCGCCCTAGAGTGGGGCGTGCTGTGGGCAAGTGCTCAGTAGTTACTGCATGGCACATAGTAGGTGTGCACTGAACTGAATGGCATTGGGACTTCGTTTTCAACTTCAGATTCAACCCAGTTCCTCTAATCAGCTGCAGGTATATCTTTATTGGTGAAAAGAAAATGTCAGAATTTGCTCATGAGAGTTTGGGGTGGAAGGGAAAAATAAGAGTCCTGCTGACTCCCCAGGATGAAGGCTGAAGACGGGAGAAAGCCTGAGGGGAGGAGGAAAGAGGCCCATTTTAATTGGACAGCTTTTTCCCCCCTTTTATTCTTCTTGTTTTTAAGTTCCAGTCTTGGATCCTAGAAATTACAGGCTCCTTCAGCATCGCCTCTGCGGTTGGAAAAAATGCTTATTTCACTTTTAAAACAAACAATGGAAAGTTCCTTTTAAAGGAAAAATCTTATTAGCCCAAGTCCAAGGAGATCTGCTGAGAGTCAGATCTGCTGGGATTGCCTACTGGGCAAACTGGGCCTCACAGGGTGCAGCCCCAAGACAAGGTCTGGCCGACCCCCACCCAAGGGCTCCCTTCTCAGAAGAAGAACCCACCCCTCCCCGCAGAGCAGCATGCAGAAGACCTCCCAGTGAACACTCACAGGAGGAAACCGCTCAGACATGAAAGGGAGGAGAATATCCTTTACCCAAATAAACAGCCAGAGGAAGATGCAGAGGGAAGCGAGTCCATCAGACAAAGCCACAAATTAAGATCACAAGAGGGCTTGGGATTCGGGCTCTGTCTTTAAAACATCTTCCAGGAAGCTGCCCCTGGGGCAACCCTGTCATCATGCTGGGCTCGAGTGGCCCTTCCAGTGGGCATCTGCGCATGTGCTGAGTCACTGGTGACATAGAGTTGGCGGGAGCCTGAGAAGATGGGAATAGAGGTGAAATAGGCCATGGGTTAGGGTCAAGGATGTGGAATGGGGCTTGTGGAAAGGAGGAGATGGAGCCCTTCATAAAATCCTGGGTGGCACCAGACGACAGAAAACAGCCTGGGGCCGGAGCTAGCTCTCTGTCCTTGACAGAGCCTTCCTCACCCACAAGCAAGGCCTCAGGCCCTCCACAAAGAGTCTCACCTCTGGGACTCAAAGTGCTTCAGTTGTTACAGCAGACTCCGCTCAAGCTGTTCTCCCCATTCCTCACCGCGTCCTTTGACGCGGGTCAGCAGTGGCTGGTGTGGCACATCTCGGGATTAGACAGCCTCCCCGATCCTCCTCTACTTGGGTAGTAGAGGTAGTGTGAAGGCATTCTGATGCCACCTGAAGGCTCACCTGGTCTTGTTTAAATGTCTCAGTGCTTGGATGTGAGGACACAGGAACCACTGGTGGGAATGGGCACAGGCACAGTCGCACTGCAAAGAAATCTGGCAATATTTAAAGAAAACCAAGTATGGGGTTCTCCAAGCTCAAGCAATCCTTTTTACACAGTTTGGTAAGGGGATATGTACAGAAATGTTTGTGTGGTATTACTTTGGTGATGGAGAGTTAAGAGAATCCCAAATGTTAACCTCTAGGGGAGTGGATAAGAAAAATGAGGGGCACGCATACCATATCAGAACTCAGGACTGCAGCTAAGAGCAACGCACGGGCCAGGACACTGTACATGCTTACCTCAGAGAGTAAGGAAGGACCGAGATGAGTGACAGCCTTCCCACTTAAGAAGTCAGAAAAAGAACCACTCAGCCCACAGGAAGAAGAAAGCAGGAAATAAAACTTAAGGTAGAAGTTAAGGAACCAGAAAATAGATAACAGAATCAACAAAGTCAAAAGCGGGTTCTTAGAAAAGGTAAACCTCGGCAAGATGAATCAAGAAAAAAAGGGCGCTAAAGCGCTCCATTTTAGGAATGAAAAATGGAACATGACCCACACATCCTGTAGAGATTAACAGATAATAAGAGGATACTATGAACAACTTTATGTCTGTAAATTTAAAAATTCAGATAAAATGAAATAGATAAATTCTTAGAAAAATACAAGTTGCCAAAAGTGACTCAAGCAAAAATAAAGAACCAGGGTAATCTTATAAGTACTAAGGAAATTAAATTACTAGTTTAAAATAGCAGTAAAAAGACAACCACAGTCCAAAAGGCTTTACAGTAACTTCTATAAATCATTTAAAGAATTGATCATTCCAATACAAATAAAATAATGGAATAAGAGCAATTTATTCTCCCATCTCCAATTTACCGAGGAGACTAAAAAGAGATCAATGCAAATGACAGCATAGTACAAGCAAAAATATTACAGGACAATCTCACTCCAAACATTCTGAACAAAAGATTAGCAAACAAATATTTTATTAGAAATAAATTTTAAAACAATACATCCTGGCCAAGTTAGAATCTATTAATTATATAATTATATTAACAATTAATAAATCATTACATTAATGTTATATTAAAGGAGGAAAACCCTTATGATCATCTCATTGCTTTTTAAAGCAATGAATTCCTTATAAAGCATTAGGTAAAATTCAAAAATTGACAATGGGAAAACAAAAGCTTTTTGCAAACTAGGATCCGAAGACCTGTTCTTGAATCTGATCAAGAATATCCACAAAGAACCTGCAGCAAACGCATTCCCTGAAATCGCAGAAGCCCTCCCTTTGTGATGGCAGAAACATGGGGCTGTCCCTTTCTACTCCTGTTCAATGCTGTCCAGCCATCTCCACAGGACACATAAAGAAATGTCAGGATTGGAAAGAAACAAAATTACCATTATTTGCAGATGATTTGGTTTTCCATTTAGAAAACTCAAAATAATCTTGAGATAAATATTAGAGTTAATAAAATAGACTTTAAAAGTGATATTATAGCAAAAACCACAACTACTTTTGCACCAACCTAATACGTAAGCTGATTCCCTTTCTATATTCCAGTAAAAACAGCTAGACAATGTAATAAAACACTGCACTTAGAATAGCAACAAAAATATATCCAGAAATAAATCTACCAAAGATGTGAAAGTCCTCTACAGATAAAGTTATAAACATGTATTAAGAGATACAAAAAAGACCTAATTAAGATGACTGTACTTAAATAGGAAGACTCTAGATCCTGAAGTTGTCAATATTCTCCTCAGTTGATGCACAGTCAATGCAAGTGCAAGCAAAATCTCATTACGTGTGTGTATATGACAGTGGTGGCAGGGGGACAGCAACTAAACAAGGTGGTTCTAAAAATTTATATGGAAGAACAAAAGTCAAAAATAACTTAAAGATGAAAAACAAAATGGAGGGACTTGTCCTACCAAATATCAAAACTTTCAATAAAGCTATAAAAATGAAGACAGTGCGGTATTAGCACAAGAAGAGACGAAGAGACCTGTGGAAGAGAATAATCAACCCAGGACCAAACCCAATACAAAACAGGCATTGCAGGGTGGACTGATCAATATAACTAAGACAATGTGTTATCTATGTGAGATAAAAATAAACTTAGAGCCTTACCTCACACTCTACATTAAAAAAAAACACCAACTTTGGGTGGGTTAAAAACCTGTGAAAGGCAAAAGTTTACATCTTTCAGAAGACAATGGGAGAGGCTATCTCTATGATCTCAGAGCCAGGAAGGAATTATTTAACAAGACAGGTAAATGCAAACTATATAGGATCATACTGACAAACTTGACTATATTAAAATTAACTTAAAGAGCTGATATCATGCAACAGTAAGAAGCAATGAGCTAAATGAACATATAATCACATGGATAGTCCTCAAAACACAGTGCTGAGTAAAAAAATATGAAGCAGAACAAAAATTATAGCATATTTCTGTTTATGCAAATTAAAAACATGTATACACAAAACAGTACATATTTTACAAAGATACAAACAAATTTAAGGATATCCAAATCATTCCAATGCATTAGGGTGAATATTCAGAATAAATAAGAACGTGAGTCAGAGAGAAGGGGGAAATGGAATAAAATGCAACAAGAGAAGGGCTTGCCCAGGCTAGTGAAGACAGTGTACTACCAACTAGGGAGTACAATTACCTCTACTCTGCTCCTCAAGTTCAACAGAAAAAACAAAACAAGCAAATAAAACAAACAAAGATTGCCAATGTTACCTCAACCATGAATATCTCAACTTTGGATTTAAGGCTGTTTAACTTTGGATTTAAGGCTGTTTCATTCTTTTTTTTCCTGATATCCATGACGATTTCACAAAATGCCCCAAAATTCCATTAGGAAGTAAACATGTCTTGAACAAGCACCACTTTATAATTATTAGGTGTTTTAGGTTGAGTTTCTTAGAAGCAGAACCTGAGGCAAGAATTCTGTGTATAAATGTTTTATTGAGGGAGTGAATAAAGCAGGATAGGACAAGGGAAGAAGATAGGCAAAGAAATGGGTTCAGAGGAAGTCTAGTCTGTCTGATCCCGTGGGGAGCTCTGAAGTATGAATTACCACCTAAAATGTATGCCACTTACACAAAAGGATACCAGCCTCTTATATCCCACTATCAGTCAGGGGTACAACAGTCACACTTAGGGGCACTTGTAAGTGACATGAGTCTGAGTAGGAGGGCATCTTTGAGGCAGGCTATCCCAGTCTACCCTCTAGCCTTCCAAAATTCACTTCCCTCCCACATGCAAAATACACTTCCCCCTTTCCAAGTTTCCCAAAAGTCTCATACCATTATGGCTTCAGATCAAAGTTCAGAATCCCTTCATCTAAATGAGGTCTAGGTGCTCATGGGGTTCCTTTGAGGGTAGTTCCTTAAGCAAGCTCCTTGAATACGCTACTTTTGATTTTAAAACCTTCAAACTAGACAGACAAGTTATCCCTTCCTCCCCCAACACTTGATGTTGGAACATGGATAGGATAATTTCTACAGGAATTCCTGTTCAAAAGCAGGGGAAATGGGAGGTACAAAGGAGTCACTGGCCCATAGCAATTCTGAAATCTCATGGGGGCAAATTCCCTGATTAGGAATCAGTCTTACTTCTGATTGAGTCAAAAGCCAGAGAACAATTCTCCTTGGATTTTGACTCTAACATCCAGGCTCTTAGTTCCAGCCCCTGTGCTCTTGATTTCCCCTTGTGAGTCATTCTTTTTTTCTTTATTTTTGTTTTTTGTCTCACCCTGATTCCTGCCAGAATTTTGTGGTCCAAAGGCCTTTATTTATTTTGTACTAATTCTGTCCCTTTCAGTACAAGCCGGATATGTTTTTGTGATTATTATCTAAAAACTTGTAGCTTTCCTATGAATGTCATTGGGGGTTTTCTCCATTAGACAAAAGCCACATACATATAAATCTCTTTGAGATAAGCCCTTCTCTACCCTGGGCTTCTACTGCAATCAGTTAGCTTTACTCTTAAGCTTCTTAGAAACTTTAGCACCTTTTGTCTATCTGAATGGTACTCTAAGGCATCTCTTAGATCTTTTCTGAAATCTTAACAATGAATTTTACAGCCACAGCCTCAGCTTTATTTTTGGACCATGTTTTCCCAGCAGTGCCCTTGATTTGATCTTTAGTTAAAAGATATTTCTTAATTTTTAGCATCATTTGGCATCTAGAGATGTTAGGAAGTGTCTAAATCACAAGTCCTTACTCCTCTTAGCTTATCTCCCTCCTGTCGCATTTTAGTAGAAGCATCATGAATCAGGTGAAACTTCTAACACTCTAGCTGGAAATATCCTTACTAGATCACACAGTTCATTAGGTGCATTTTCTATTTCCACATGACTCTAGGTGACACTTTTGCTACCCTTTCTGCCACTAGGTATTCAGGATTTCCCTTTATCCAGCTTCCAGTAACATGTTCCTTTGTTCCTGTTAGGGCCTATCAGCAGCCTTCTCATCCAGACTGTTCAAGGCACTTCAGGCTTTCAGCAGCACTCTCTTTAATGTCCTTCCAGCTTCCATTTACCTCCTGGTTCCAAAGCCACTTCAACTTCTGTAGGTATTTGTTATGGCAACCCCCTCTTGCAGATACCAAAAACCTGTATTCTTGATTGTCATGTAACAAATTAACCCCAAAACATTTATTATGACACAGTATCTGTGGTTCAGAAATTCAGGGGCAGTTTAGCTGAGAGGTTCTTACTTGGGGCCTCTCATGTAGCTATAGTCAGAATGTTGGCAGGAGCCGAAGTCACTAAAAGGCTTGACTGAAGCTGGATGGCTCCCACACATGGGAGTTAGCAGGAGGCTCAGTTCCTCACCAAATGGCCCTCTCTACAGGCTATTTGAGTGTCGTGACAACATGACATCTAACTTCCCCAAGAGCGAGTAATACAAGAGAAAGACTAACTATGTTTTAACAAGAATCACTCTGGTTGCTGTGTGGAGAATAGACTGCAGGAGGGCAAGGGTAGAAATGGAGAACTTACTAAGAAGCTAATAAGATGATGTAGGCAAGAAATGATGGTGGCTTGAACAAGAGAGGAGCAATGGAGATGGTAAGATCCTGAATATATGTTGATATTTTGAAGGCAGAGCTGGCAAGATGTACTGCTAGATTGTAGATGGAGTCTGAGAGAAGGACCATGGAGATCAACCAGGTTTTGACCTGAGCGAACTGGAGGAATGAGATCACCATTCACTGAGGCAGCCACCCTCCATATGATTTAGGAACCTTTATTATCTATATTTCAGAGGTGAGGAAAGTGAAATTTTGAGTGCTTAAGTAACTTGCCAAAGGTATCCCAGATGGTAGGTGACATAGCTGGTTCTTAGTGATGTAGTGTACTGGTTATTAACTACTGTACACTACTGTCTACTGAGCCAGGAATATTACTAGATGGATCACTTGCCAACATACTTTGTTAAAGCAACTGGCAGATGTCTGTGTGCTTCCAGATGACTTGCTCAGCAGTAGGGGCAGGGCATCAAGGGAATACACATCCCTACATTCACATGTGTGTGGCCACAGTGCTCACTGCCCATGCCACCCTGGCCAGGGTCTGGTGCTGAATGTGAGCCATGCTAATGTGGAAGCTTCCAAACATGCACTCCGCACTCCAGAGAGAAGGCAAGGTCAGGGGAATCTTGCCCCCCACATGCCACCAGGCTGCCTGCTTTCCAGCCAGTAACTGTTGGTACTTTAGGAATTCACTGCTAGGGTCAGCTCTTTAGTGCAAACCTGCTACGGGCTCTTTGTTAGATGATGCCAAGGGCAGGAGCCTGAAACATTAAGCCAGGGCCCCTGGGACATTCATTTCTGCAGTTATCCATATGTGGACTGACAAGGGAGGCAGCATTTAGCATTGTTTGCAGTCTGGATTCCTTCATGAGCAATTGGATTTTCTATTTCTTCTCTAATTCAGTTTCTACCCTCACTGACTAAGCTACATCCCAATTCCTGATGAGGACTAGGAATTCCAAGTGGCTGCCCTGGGACAGAAGGGATCCTGTTTCCAGGCTGGTCCCCGTTAGCCCTGCCCTTGCTTGAGAAACCCTTTACAGTCTTGCGGAGTGAGAATCTTTTCCTTTTTCTCTTTCTTTTCCTTTTCCCTCTCTATAGGAGAGTATATAATGGCTGCTTTATATACCTAGTAAAATTTTTGGATAAGTCCTCCCAAAAACAATGTTTCTTTGATGTTGTATTAAAGAAAAAAATATACTTTAAGCGGGGAAAGCAAAGCACATTTCTGTGTTTTCATGCAGGGCCTAATTAGGGAGAATTTCTGGGAGGTGAACCTGGAAGTAGGGGGCCTCGGTGTCTCCTGCTGATCTCAGAAGGGATCTGGGGTGTCACCACTTTTTAATTTTAAATAGAAAAACACAGACAGAGACCCAATCTCTAAAGGGAATAGATTCTAAGTGGGGACTGCAGAACTTTGGGATACTGAGACACAAAGAGTTTGAGGGAAAATGTCCAGCCTCACTTAGAAAAATGTAAACTAAAACAAGTCACCATTTGTCACCTATCAAATCAGCAAGGAGGTTTTAAAAGATACATCTGACACCAGTGAGATTGTAGAATGACAGCTGTTCCCATGCAGGTGAAAGAATAAACTGTTATAAACTCTTGGTAGGCAGTTTGGCAGTTTGTATCAAAAGCCCTTAAATCAGACCAACCCTTTGAACCACCAATCCCTAAACTACAGGTTTGCCATAAAGAAATATTGCTAGATATGCACAGGGCTTTGGGTAAAACAATGCTGTGGCAGCTTTGCTTATTTGAGAAAACACTTAGAAACAATGATAGGAAAGGGGTTAATAAATCATTATGCCTCCAAATGCTGACATTAAAATGTGTTGTAGGAGAATATGTTGTGATGTAGGAAAATAAGCATCTTTTATTGTCAAGTGAGAAAGATGTGATAAACGGAGATATATATATATATATGTATAAAATCAACAGCAGCATAGCAAAATGACTAAGAGCTCAAACTCAACATTCAGATAACCTGGGCAACTTAACTAATTCTCTCAAAGTCTTAGCTCTTCGGCTATGAAATGGGGATGAAAGGCCCTTCCTTCTTCATGTAGTTATGAGGGCTCAATGTGAAGCCCATGGCACAGTATCTCCACCTGGTGAGTACTTAACAAACAGTAGCAGAGATGTCTCTCTACCAAAAAGTAACAAGTGGAATCTCTGGGATATCAGTTGATAGGTTACTTTTCTCAGTTGTCTTATTGGTGATTTTCTGTGTTTTCTATTATTTTGTGCAGGAAATATGTCGTACTTCTGCAATCTGAATATCAAATAAACCCTTATAAATAAAAATGAACTCTAGGCTCAGAGCGGCAGCAGGAGGTGAATCCCGCAAATGCCTGAGTGTCTCGCCACAGAGACCATGAGGGTGCCGGGAGCCCCTGGTGGGTCAGAGGTACGCCTTCAGCAGGCCTCAGGTCTGTCCTGCCCCTGGCCCAACTGGGACCATGGCTTTAGTCAGCACTGGGAAGGGAGGGCACCTCCTCTCAGGTGCTGTTCTCATCCCGGAGTGCCCGGCCCAGGCCCCTCCATGCTGCATTCAGTCAGTGCAGGAACTCTTCCTGTGGGCCTATCACAATAAGGTGGAGATGGTAAGTGCCTGCCTGAGCCAGAAGGTCCCCACCATGCAAGGACCTCCATATTCCTTCACCCTAGTGGGCTTACCTGCCTGGAATGCTACTCTCCCTCATTGTCCCTCCCCGCTTCCCTGATCCTTCTCAGCCTTCCGGGCCCAGCTCAAGCCCCACCTCCGTCAAGAAGGCCTCTTGGGCTGCCATAGCCTCCACAGTCTCTTCCTCCCCTGAATGCTTTTCACCCCTGCTGGGCTCACCAAGCACAACCCCATGCTTTCCTTGGGAGATGAGACACTACAGCTCCTCAGCTCTCATCCCAGTCAATCAGACTCACTCCAGGCTTACCACGTGTGTGCCCTGCACATGTTACCTGACCTCTCTGGGCCTCCGTTTCTCATTTATAAAATGGGGATAACTGCACTGCTTTGCCAGCTTGTTGTAGACACTAGAAATAAAACATGAAAGGCAGGTACCACTCAACAGTCATCATTCAATAAACGGTAACTGTTATTAAAAGCTAAACATTGCTTTTCTTTTGCAAATCACCCCTCCCTGTCAATAGAAGAACTAGCAGGCTGTGAACAGAGGCCTGAGGAGCTCAGCATGAGTGAAGCATGTGATCTCGGGCACACTGACCTCTGAGAGGTTGGAGAACTTTTCTGCTTCCTTCTTGGTTCACAGCTGAGAGGACAGGAGTTTTCCCCAACGTGTTCTATGATTTAATCATGTGTGTGGGTTTCTGTTCCCTTTTTGGAAAGTGTGTTTTATATCCAATGTCACACACCCTGAATTTGTCTAAAACTCTCCAGTACTTTCCAGGTTTTGCAAACACTGCCCTGTGACAGAACGTCCTACCTTGGATGAGCCACTTGGGGAAGTGGCGACAGCAGAAATCACCTGTATTTCAAGCACAAATAAGGATCCAGCATGTCTCTTGAAGGGCTCACCAAGGAGACTACAGGTGTGGAAATAACAATCGAAGCCAGAGTGGAGGCAGCCAGAAGGCCACTCCAGGGCAAGGCAGGCATGGGTGGCTTCCAAGGCCAGGGCCTGAGCTACACAAGGAGTATAGGCTTGAGCTAAGAGTGTGTGCTGTGAAGGTCACAGGTGGCCTACTGATCTCCCAAGCTGGGCATTGCCATGTCTAAGACTCTCCCGATGGAGCTTCGTTCTTCTGAGTTGAGCTCTGCTGCCTCTTTAAGCATGGCCATACTCTGGATAGGATTAATTACTCAGCTTACTTGTGCCTATTTGCACTAAGATGTTGCTGAAAAAGCCAACAACCCAAATGAAAAATAGCCAATGGATACAGTGAGTTAACAGAAAATGTACATACATTGCCCTTAAACTTATAAAAAAATCGGTCAATGTCACTCATAAGAATGCATGTTAAAACTCCATTGAGATACCATTTCTCACCTATTAGGTTGGCAAAAATCCAAATGTTTGACAAATACACCTAGAGATGTGCTAGTTTTTGTTACTGACTCTCAGCTCCAAACCCACCCCTCTCGCTTCTGCTTTGCAATGCTGGGGCTGGACCTCTGCAAACCCCTTCTCTAGTTTGACAGCTGTTGACCTCTTAGGCTCTGCCAAGAGGGGGCACTAGATGGAGACTGCAAGGTTGGAGGGGGCAAAAGTTAACTCCTTCCTTCCTATTTTGCAACCTGTCAGCCTCCTGTTTGGTTACTGTTCTTGAGAAGATTGCCCAGCCCCTTCACTGATAAAATTGGTAAAACTGGTGAAAGCACAAAATAGTATATAACCTTTATGTAGAGAAATTTCACAATATCTAATAAATTACAAATTCAATCACCATCTAGCTCAGTAACCAATCCCTCTTCATTCTAAATGTTCAAGATCACCTATTGCAGCATTATTTGAAACAGCAAAAAGTGTCCATATATAGGGGATTGGCCAAATCAACTATGGTATGTCTGTACAATGGGTACTCTGCAGCAGAATAAAAGAGAAAAACTTACATTGTTAACTAAAAAAACCAAAGTATATAACCATGAATGTGGTGTTCAGCTTTCATATAACAAACAGCATAAAATTAGAAAATATATTTGCTTATAGTTACATATACAAATGTTGGAAGGATACACAAGAAACTAATAAGAGCAGACATCTAGATGGCTAGGTGTGGGGTGCTGGGAGACAATTTTCTGCATGTCTTCTGAGCAGAGACCATGACAGCATATGTTGTAGATTATTTTTCCAAGGATGTGTGTACAGAAACAGGCTTAGAAGATATAGTGTCTCTCTCCAGAGCAGAAAAGAGATTTGTTTGCTGTCTGGTAAAAGTAAAATAATGTCTTTCTCCAGGGCAAATATTGGGTAGGTATGTTCTCAGCCCAATATAAAACATTAGGGTTTCCTAATCTCGGGATTCCTGAATTATGATGCAAACCTACTGCATGTATGGCACCCACCTTGGCCACTCCACATGCCCGCCCTGGGGGACACAAGGAACTGGTATGAATATCAAATGCATGCTGTCTGTTGTGCCATGAGTAATGAAGTCCTTTGTTTCTTACCTAATTCTTACATCTTCTGCCTGTATAACAGTGGTGGCTTATATGTTAGCTTGCAAGCAGGGTAAAATCAAACCGTTCACAGTTCTAGATGGGGGGAGGAGGGAATTAGGTGGCTAGAGATGGAGCAGGACAAGACTTCTTACTGTGTATCTTTTCATATTATCATGAGTTTTGAAGTACACAATTATATTACCTCTTTAATCATAAATAACATTTAGTTTGAAATTAAAATGTTACTCTTATAAGTAGGCAACAAAATTTTAGAGTGCTGGGCCTGGCAAGAACATAGGAGGATGCTGAGTATGACCTTGGACTCTTGCAGAGGAGAGGGCCAAGACTCAGGGACATGGCATGACCTACACAGCTACTTACCAGAGGATCCTGGATGAACCCTGACCTCCTGACTGCCAGTTCTTTATAGTGCCCAGGCTGGATCAGGGAGATATAGGTGAGACAAGGATGTTGAAAACAGAGGTAGAGATTATGATTTTGACCTCACAATTTAGCCTAGAACCAGCCCCGCCTGAAATTAAGTAGTCAGGCTGTCCGGGGAACTCAACCTTCATTTCTTACAGTAACATCTACTGCAGAATATGCTATTTAGTAAACTGTCTCAAATTATGTTTGGGAGCAAACAAAACATTTTAAAAGGCATGCTGATATGCTAATTCAACCTAAACCACTCTCCCTATTACAAGCAACTGTGGAGAGAAGGCAGGTTTGAGGCTCTCTTAGACTCACTCCACATTCCTAACAAGTCAGTGGCAGCATAAAGTAGACAAGAGAAATGTGGGGTACAGGAGTTTTGGTGGGCTTTTGTAGAAAGATGATCAGAGGCCAAAAATGTGGTATATCTATTCAGGAATCATATATCATATCTGACCCTTCAAAGGTAGGGCGGCTATAAGTTTTTAATAAAGGTTTCTCAAATGAATAGAGAAGTATGTATTGCCATCACTCAGGCAAATTTCTAGAATCAATATTATCAGGCTGCTAATACTTGAGAACCAGAGAAGGATCACACGATTGTTCCTACTGCTGTGGAGCTTGATATGGTGTGGAGAAAGGGTGGAGGATGGGCCCTGAGAAAGTGCTTCTTCAATCAAACTAGCTCCACCTGATTCCTTCCTTTCATCCATCTGTCCACTTGTCCATCCATCCATCCATTTATCCATCCATCCACCCATTCATCCATCCATCCACTCACCCAGCCAAACAACTATCTATCCATCCATCCATCCATCTATCCATCCATCCATCCATCCATCCACTCACTCAGCCACACAACTATCCATCCATCCATCCATCCATCCATCCATCCATCCATCAACCCACCCCCCCAACCAATCCCTGTCCTATAAGATCTTTGAGAGTATTGAGCTTTTAGGGGAAATATACAGAGATTATTGGAAGACAGTTAGAAAAGTGCCAGAGTGCTAATATCTGTCGCAGATATGCATGAGGTGGAAGGGTAATGTTGCTTGTCTATTGGCCTGGTCTGTCTCCCTTAAACAGTGAGCACCTTAAAGGCAGTGAACTGCACTTTATTAATTTCTGCATTTTTGGGGCTCAAGGCAGCACACATTAAGTCAACATTTGTTGAATGAAAGAATTAATGTGTGTTAGAGAGTATCAGTCAGAATGAACTAGATTATGCTCTGGTTACCAAAACCTCACTGGCTTAGAATGATTAACAAAAGGTTGATTTCTTGCTCATGAAACAAGTCTTTCAATTGGCTGGGAGCTCTAAATTATCAACACACTGGAATTGGTCTGACGGAGTCGTCACCATCTGAAACAGTGTCTATCATCACGGCAAAGGGAGAGACAGAAATGACAAATTGTTCACTGCTCAGAGGCGACCCATATCAACCCCATTAACATTTCATTGACCAAAGCAAGTGCTTCCTCCCTTAGGAAGACAATCTGTAAGTCTGTGCAGACCTCTGGTGGAGGTCCCAGATCCCTGGGCAATGCACAATATTCCCATCATCAAGTCTACATTGGATGTGTGTTTTTTCCTGATATGAATGCCTATGACAAGTTATCTGCCCCATACCCACAATGTACAAATGTGGTGTAGGGGCAGAATGACACTCCAGTCCTAAAAGGGGAATGGAGAATTTAGCAGACAACAAACACCCGCCCTGCCCACTTTGAGGGCACCTATCATTGGATGGGGATTGTTTCTTGATTAGGCCTTCATTTCCAGCTCTGAAAGAAGCTCCCATTGTCCACTGCCCTCTGAGATCTCTGGATCAGCCCTCTGGAATATTCTTTCTCTTTGGCCAAGTCAGGAGTGAGCTCTGGAGACTGTGTCCCCCTTGGAGGCTGAGCAGCTTTCTCAGAGAAGCCACTGTCTGATACAATAGTGGTTCCCACAGCATAAGGAAACCTCCAGCACGGAAAATCACACACTAGCTCTGAATGCTTCCACCCAGAAGTGACACATACCACTGTGGTTCACACAGCATGTCACATGGCCAAGCTTGGCTCCAAGGGGCAGGGAAATGTAATACTTCCATGTGCCTGGAAGGAGAATTGGAAGTACTAGGTAAATGACATTTGCAGTGAGTGAATTTCCTCTGGCACTGGAAGTCAGACTGTCATAGCCCAATGGGTTCTTTCTTCCTGCTGCCCAGAAAAGACAATGCACTAGGAACAGCAGGTACTGCAGCAAAGAAAGAGCTTAATAATTGCAGGGCCAGGCAAATGAAAGGATGATAGAGACGATGTTATTTCTCAAATCTGCCTCCCTGATAATTCAGAAGCTAGACCTCAAACTATGAAATTATTACAAGAAAACATTGGGGAAAATCTTCAGGACATTAGTCTGAGCAAGAATTTCTTGAGCAATACCCCAAAAGCACAGGCAACCAAAGCAAAAATGGACAAATGTGACGATATCAAGTTAAAAAGCTTCTGCACAGCAAATGATACAATCAATAAAGTGAAGAGACAACCCATAGAGTAGGAGGAAATATGTGCAAACTACCTATCTGACAAGGGATGAATAACCAGAATATATAAGGAGCTCAACTTTACAAGAAAAAAAAATCTAATCATCCAATCAAAAAAATGGGCAAAAGATTTGAACAGACATTTCTCAAAAGAAGACATACAAATGGCAAACAGGCATATCATATTAGTCCATTTTCACACTGCCATAAAGAAATACCCAAGACGGACTGGGTAATTTATAAAGGAAAGAAGTTTAATTGACTCACAATTGCACATGGCTGAGGAGGCCTCAGGAAACTTACAATCAAGGCAGAAGGTGAAGGGGAAGCAAGCACCTTCTTCACAAGGCAGCAGGAGAGAGAACGTGTGAAGGAAGAACTGTGAAACATTTATAAAACCATCAGATCTCAAGAGGACTCATTATCATGAGAACAGCACGGGGGGAACCACTCTCATGATCCAATCACCTCCCTCCCTCGACTTGTGGGGATTACAGGTCCCTCCCTCAACACGTAGGGATTACCATTCGAGATGAGATTTGGGTGGAGACACAGAGCCAAACCATGTCACATATGAAAATGTGCTTGACTTCATTGATCATTAGAGAAATGCAAATCAAAACTATAATGAGATATCATTTCATTCCAGTTAAAATGGCATATATCTAAAAGATAGGCAATAACAAATGTTGATGAGGATGTAGAGAAAAGGGAACCTTTGTACACTTTTGGTGGGAATGCAAATTAGTACATCCACTATGGAGAACAGTTTGGAGGTTCCTTAAAAAACTAAAAATCGAGCTACCATATGATCCAGCAATCCCACTGCTGGGTATACACCAAAAAGAAAAGAAATCAGTATATCAAAGAGATATCTGCACTTCTATGTTTGCTGCAGCACTGTTTACGATAGCTAACATCTGGAAGCAACCTAAGTGTCCATCAAGAGATGAATGGATAAAGAAAATGCGGGACAGATACACAATGGAGTACTATTCAGTCATAAAAAAGAATGAGATCCTGTCATTTGCAACAACATGGATAGAACTGGAGATCATTATGTTAAGCGAAATAAGCCAGGCATAGAAAGATAAACGTCGCATGTTCTCACTTATTTGTGGGATCTAAAAATCAAAACAATTGAACTCATGGGCAGAGAGAGTAGAAGGTTAGTTACCAGAGGCTGGGAAGAATAGTGTGGAACTGGGGAGGAGTGGAGATGGTTAATGGGCATAAAAAAATGGAAAGGATGAATAAGAACTACTTTGTGCTATTTGATAGCACAACAGGGTGACTATAGTCAATAATAACCTAACTGTACATTTTAAAATAATTTAAAGAGTGCAACTAGATTGTTTGTAACTCGAAGGATAAATGCTTGAGGGAATGATTACTCTATTCTCCATGATGTGCTTATTTCACATTGCATGCCTGTATCAAAACATCTCACGTACCCCTTAAATATATAGACCTACTATATACCATGAAATTTTTTAAATGAAAAAATGTAAATAAATAAATAAATAAATCCAGAGGCTAGGGTTTTTAAGAGTACTTTGGTGAGCAGGATACTGGAGAAATGAAACAATTGATTGGCTTAGGATGAAATCACAGGGGTGTCTAAACTGTCTTCATGCAGCTGAGTCAGTTCTTGGTGGCAGGGTGTAGGGAGGGGGGTCTCAGGACCAGGTGGCATCTTTTGGTTTACCAAAATGCTAAATCTGAAAAAATATCTCAAAGATCAGTTCTTTAGGTTTCACAATAGTGATGTCATGTATAGGAGTAGTTGGGGGAAGTTATAAATCTTGCAATCTTTGATTATGTGATGGTGGGGTAGTAAGCAATTTATAGAAAAGCAAACTAAGCAATGGCAGGTTACTATTTATGCTGATTCCTTAACAAAGTTCAAGCCTCCACCATAGTTCTAGCCTTGTCATATGAATGTAGCTTCAATCTCTGGACAAGGAGAGGATCAGTTTTCCTTGCTTCAAACTTTACCTGTGAACTAAAGTCCTCTCATCGTTATCTTGGCCTCAACACTAGAATAAGCAAAAAAACAAAAACAAAACAATAATTTAGCCTGTGAGGTTAGAAGTAACCTCTAACCTCAGTCAGTCATGTTAGATTTCCCTCATTACTTATAATTTTGCGAAGGCAGTTTCAAGACCAGCTTCCAAAAAATGGCATTTGCTTACCTTAAAGAAGGTGCAGAGAAGGGTAGCTTCAATCAAGGTGAAGCAGAGAAGGCAAAAGGAAGCCTGAATATGAGGCTGTTCCCTCAGGCTGCAAGATGAGGCTGTAAAGGAAAGGGGCTGAGACTTAAAGCTGGGAAGGGTGCCCTCCAGAAGAGGACACCCAGGACTTGTGTCCCCATCCCCCTGACCCCCAAGTCTAAGATGAAAGATTCTGCTGGGTGAGGCTGCAGAGTTGAGTTCTGGCAAATAAAAGGAAGGCTGATCTCCTAGGTGGGAAAGTATGGAGCGTGTACTCCCAGCTGGGGTGCTCATGGATGACCTGCATCATTTCTTTAGTAACATAAAGGAGGCCTGTGAATCAGGAAGCTACAGATGTTCCAAAATGTCCCTAACCTCTTGAGGGTGACGTCATCACAGCTCCCAGACATGTTTCTCCTTACTTGGGCCCTGGCCCTGACAGAGGGGGACCTAGGGCTGACCTGGATGGCAATTGTGGAAATAAATGGAATTTATTAAAACTCTCTATTATACGCTGTTCTTAAAGAAATCAAACACTAGCTTTAAAGAAATGTAGTTTTATTTTTTTTCTACGGACAAACAGTATAATCTGAAACAAGCTATTGGCAAGTAGGGGCTTTAGAGCTTCCTTTGGTGCCACAAAGAAGAATGAAGTGGAATTAGCACATCAATTGGTTACAGGTGAAAAATGGGTCTAAAGTATTTAAAAGCTGTTTGTTCTCCTAAGGCAGTTAAGCATTCCCCTCCTCCCTGCCTTCCTTTTTTTTTTCCCTTCTGAGCTCTTCCTGCAGTTAGTAAAGAGGGCAAGCTCTGGCCTGGCCTCTGGCCCAATTATTGCCACTTCCCTGCCTGTGGATTCTCCTCAGCAGAGGTTTTGCCTGCTAATAAGTATCATTTTCTCTAGGCTGGCTTTTACACTTGCCCAGAACTGTCTGAAACTGTAGGCTGCTTCTGTAATCAGCAGCAAAGACAGATGTCTGAGGCTTCTGGTCTTGACTTTTTTTTATTTAAGTTTTCCTACTTATTTGTAAAATTTTATTATATATTAAGGATATTAAACATACAGGTTTGTTACAGAGGTATACACGTGCCACGGTGGTTTGCTGCACCTATCAACCCGTCTCCTGCATTAGGTATTTCTCCTAATGCTATCCCTCCCCTGGCTCCCCACCCCTTCACAGGCCCTGGTGTGTGATATTCCCTTCCCTGTGTCTATGTGTTCTCATTGTTCAACTCCCACTTATGAGTGAGAATATGCAGTGTTTGGTTTTCTGTTCTTGCGTTAGTTTGCTGAGAATGATGGTTTCCAGCTTCATCCATGTCCCTACAAAGGACATGACCTCATCCTTTTTTATGGCTGCACAGAATTCCATGGTGTAGATGTGCCACATTTTCTTTATCCAGCCTATCATTGATGGGCATTTGGGTTGGTTCCAAGTCTTTGCTACTGTGAACAGTGCTGCAATAAACATACGTGTGCATGTGTCTTTATAGCAGAATAATTTATAATCCTTTGGGTATATACCCAGTAATGGGATTGCTGGGTCAAATGGTATTTCTGGTTCTAGATCCTTGAGGAATTGCCACACTGTCTTCCACAATGGTTGAACTAATGTATACTCCCACCAACATTGTAAAAGGGTTCCTATTTCTCCACATCCTCCCCAGCATCTATTGTTTCCTGACTTTGTAATGATCGCCATTCTAACTGGCATGAGATGGTATCTCATTGTGGTTTTGATTTGCATTTCTCTAATGAACAGTGATGATGAGCTTTTTTTCATGAGTTTGTTGGCCACAAAAATGTCTTTTTTTCAGAAGCGACTGTTCATATCCTTCACCCACTTGTTGATGGGGTTGTTTTTTTCTTGTAAATTTAAGTTCTTTGTAGATTCTGGATATTAGCCCTTTGTCAGATGGATAGATTTCAAAAATTTTCTCCCATTCTGTAGGTTGCCTGTTCACTCTGACGGTAGTTTCTTTTGCTGTGCAGAAGCTCTTTAGTTTAATTAGATCCCATTTGTCAATTTTGGCTTTGGTTGCCATTGCTTTTGGTGTTTTAGTCACGAAATCTTTGCCCATGCCTATGTCCTGAATGGCATTGCCTAGGTTTTCTTCTAGAGTTTTTATGGTTTTAGGTCTTACGTTTAAGTCTTTAATCCATCTTGAGTTAATTTTTGTATAAGGTGTAATGAAGGGATCCAGTTTCAGCTTTCTGCATATGGCTAACCAGTTTTCCCAACACCACTTGTTAAATAGGGAACCCTTTCCCCACTGCTTGTTTTTGTCAGGTTTGTCAAAGATCAGATGGTTGTAGATGTGTGGCATTATTTCTGTTCTGTTCCATTGGTCTACATATCTGTTTTGGTACCAGTACCATGCTGTTTTGTTTACTGTAGCCTTGTAGTATAGTTTGAAGTCAGGTAGCGTGATGCCTCCAGCTTTGTTACCAATATCGTGAAAATGGCCACACTGCCCAAAGTAATTTATAGATTCAATGCTATCCCCATCAAGCTACCATTGACTTTGTTTACAGAATTAGAAAAAACTACTTTAAATTTCATATGGAACCAAAAAAAGAGCCCATAAAGCCAAGACAATCCTAAGCAAAATGAACAAAGCTGGTCTTGATTTTTCAGAAAATTTAAGCATCACATCCATGTGGAGGAAACCCTTCCTGTCTGACAGATGTGAGAGAAAAACAAAAAACAAAAAAAAAAAGAACTTTTATCTGGGGAATGTGAGTCCTTTTAAACTATCAGACCCAGAGAGACATTAAAATGAGGCAGCAATCACATCCTACTCCCTCCCTTTTGAGACTTGTATTTATCTCTTGAAACTGCTTGCTACTGCCACAGCTATAAACTAACCTAATAATGCTGCTCCAGGCACTATAACCCACACCCTATAGCTTAACAATGTATAGTCAATCTATAGGTTGTTATTTTTAATGTACAGTCTTGGTAAACAACTTGTTACAGTAGGTAGTCAGGCAGATATGAGCAGGGCAGGAGAGCTTGCCCATCACAACAAGGAAGGTCAGGCGACCATCAGGTGACGGCCAGGCAGTTGTTAACTGTCTCTCTAAAATAACAATTGGTCGCAGTCAGTGCCAGGGAAAAGCAGACTCCCTATAGATTTTTAAAAAAAAACAAAACCTGAAACTGGTGATCAGCAGCTTCCTGATAAGATTTCAGGAGTTGGAAGAGTGGGCTCACACATGCGCACTAAGAGGCAAAATGATGGCGTTTAACAGGTATATGACCCTCCGTGGACATTCCACCAGCGAGGGAAAAAAATGTCTCAAGTGAGCATGTGTACAACTCCAGTACACACACTGTGCATGCTCACCTCCCAAGTGCTAGCAGGCCACTGTGCATGCAGACAACAGACCCCAAGGGAAAAATCAGGGGAGAAAGGATGCAAGACCCTGGAAGTAGGCCAATGTATAAAACCCCAAGGCAAAGGTCAAGCTGACTACTTGCCCTTCAAGTCGCCCACTTGGACCTCTTCCAAGTGTACTTTCCTTCATTCCTGTTCTAAAGCTTTTTAATAAACTTTCGCTCCTGCTCTAAAACTTGCTTCGGTCTCTTCTTCTGCCATATGCCCCTCAGTTGAATTCTTTCTTCTGAGAAGGCAAAAATTGAGGTTGCTGCAGACCCATATGGATTCACCGCCAGTAACTCAGATGCCTGCCACCGGTAACAAACTCAGAAATGGACTCTTCTTTCCCTTCAACAGTGTACTTGTAACTGCTGCCAACTGGAGAGTATATTTGGGACAACTTGAATCAATGCTCCTGGGTTGTAATCTTCAAGCTGGGCCCAAATAAACTTTCTACTTTTATTAATTTTGCCTCAGCTTCTTCCTTTTAGGTCAACATGTCTAGCATAAATCAGCAGGACTCAGAGTGACTCCCCGGGACCCCAACCGCTTGGTGTTTCTCTCAGAAAGCAGCGCTCGGTACCAGCATAAACAGTCTGTCTTCAGAAGTCCCGTTGGGTGTTTCAGATGAGTTTTCCTGAATTCAGACCTCCCACTCTTTGGTTAAAGGTCTAGACTTTCTTTGGACCGTTTTTCAAACTCTTTCTTGAAGAGTGAGGGCTTCAGTCTTTGGACAGGAGATTCTGGTGGAGAGCTCTGTGGGGAACTGCCTTTTTTCCCACTTCTGTCTCACAGCAGAAGTTCGGGTCAAGGTTTTTCCACCTCTGCCTCAGGACCAGAGGTTTGAGTCAAGGTTTTTCTGCCTGCCTCACAGCAGAGACTCAGGGCAAAAGGCTGGCAGTTAGGCACTGGTGGTTTCATTTTACATAGTATGCTTTTAAGATTGTGGCTGTTTTCTATCTCTTGAAAATTCAGGGTTAGCCTTTCATTTGTGACTGGTTCCTGTTTGTTACTAAGTGAAAAGTGTACCCCCGTTTTGCTCTTCCAGACTCTTATAAGGGTCTGGCCCCACATACTTTTAGCATTCTGCTGCCACCTGGCAGTTAGACACACTCAGAGATTCATCACACTTTGACCCTAAACACATTCCCAGCCTCACTTTTGAAAAATTCCTAAATGATGGGAAATCAAGCTTCAAAATCTCAATGCTCCTTTTAAAAACACCAGCTGGATTTATGTAGAACACTTATAGGGTGCCCTCTTGTAGATATCCAGGAACGTGGACCCACCTAACCTGGGATGGTCATAAGCAGCAATGACCAAAAATGAAGGCCTTTAAAAATACCAAAAACAGGCCAGGTACAGTGGTTCACGCCTGTAATCCCAGCACTTTAGGAGGCCAAGGCAGGTGGATCACGAGGTCAGGAGATCAAGAACATCCTGGCCAACATGGTGAAACCCCATCTCTGCTAAAAATAGAAAAATTAGCCAGGTATGGTGGCACGCACCTGTAGTCCAGCTACTCAGGAGGCTGAGGCAGGAGAATTGCTTGAACCCAGGATGCAGAGGTTTCAGTGAGCCGAGATCGTGCCACTGCACTCCAGCCTAGGCAACAGAGCGAGACTCCGTCTCAAAAAAAAAAAAAATTATTTCTGTGAACAATTAGGAACAGCTGGTTTTAGAACCAGATAAATTGAATAGGAGACTTATTTCCAATACACCTTAAAACCTCTAAAAGAAACTCTAACAGAAAAAAATTGCCTCTTCCATTCAACAGGTAAACAAAGGAATATTTGAAACTATTAAAATAGACTTCACAGGCTTTCTCCCTTTCACCTCTCACTGCTCCTTCAGATGAGCCCTGTGATCTACTCATCCCTTTCTGCTTGTTCCCTCAACTCCCATACACCTTTTAGCCAGAGATATTCTGGAATTTTACAGTGTACACATTTCCTTCTCTCAGAGGGGAAAATGAATTTAAATTTAGAACAGAAGGAACAAATGGAGCAACTGCAGGATGGAAATAAAACTACTGTGATTATAAAAATGCAGATCTAACAACTGTCCTAAACCAAGACTAATAAATACACTGATTTTCTGACCCAATATCAAACAATACCCTTTAAACTTTATCGTGTCTTTGAAATGCTAACATCCAGAAAATTAGCAAAGCAGCAGTCCAACTCAAATCAGATCAGAAATAAGTTAAAATCCTTTAAACACTCAAACTTCCTGCTTTGGATCCCCTGCAGGATTGACACACAAAAAAGCACTCCACCCTGTAGTCTAGTGGCCAGGGTGGCCCAGGTTCAATCCCTGGTCAGGGAAATAGTCCGATTTGTTTAAAATTATTTGCATGATTCATGACCTTTTGGGATACTCATTTGTTACTGGTCCTTTTCCCTTTCCGTGGAGAGCTTTTGGGCTCCCTTCTTTTTCCATTTGTGGGGCATATGGGGCTTCGGGTCCTTGTGCACAGGTGCTAGGCTGAAAGGCTGAGATCCAAGAAAACATGGCCAGACAGAAATGTGAGTTTACTCCATTTGCAGCTAGCAAAACCTTCCTTTCTTTGAGCTGTCTTTGGGGTAGTTCTGGATCTTGTGAGGACTGCTTTGAACTTCTTTGGAGATACTTCACGAAACCAACAAAGATCAAAAGACACAAAGAAGGCCATTACATAATGGTAAAGGGATGAATTCAAAAAGAAGAGCTAACTATCCTAAATATATATGCACCCAATACAGGAGCACCCAGATTCATAAAGCAAGTCCTTAGAGACTTACAAAGAGACTTAGACTCCCACACAATAATAATGGGAGACTTTAACACCCCACTGTCAATATTAGACAGATCAATGAGACAGAAGGTTAACAAGGATATCCAGAAACTGAACTCAGCTCTGCACCAAGCAGACCTAATAGACATCTACAGAACTCTCCACCCCAAATCAACAGAATATACATTCTTCTCAGCACCACATCGCACTTATTCCAAAATTGACCACATAGTTGGAAGTAAAGCACTCCTCAGCAAATGTAAAAGAACAGAAATCACAACAAACTGTCTCTCAGACCACAGTGCAATCAAATTAGAAGTGAGGATTAAAAAACTCACTCAAAACCGTTCAACTACATAGAAACTGAAAAACCTGCTCCTGAATGACTACTGGGTACATAACAAAGTGAAGGCAGAAATAAAGATGTTCTTTGAAACTAATGAGGACAAAGACACAACGTATCAGAATCTCTGGTACACATTTAAAGCAGTGTGTAGAGGGAAATTTATAGCACTAAATGCTCACAACAGAAAGCAGGAAAGATCTAAAATTGACACCCTAACATCACAATTAAAAGAACTAGATAAGCAAGAGCAAACAAATTCAAAAGCTAGCAAAAGGCAAGAAATAACTAAGATCAGAGCAGAACTGAAAGAGATAGAGACACAAAAACCCTTCAAAAAAAATCAATGAATCTAGGAGCTGTTTCTTGAAAAGATCAACAAAATTGACAGACCACTCTCAAGACTAATAAAGAAGAAAAGAGAAGAATCAAATAGACACAATCAAAAATGATAAAGGGGGTATCACCACCGATCCCACAGAAATACAAACTACTATCAGAGAATACTATAAACACCTCTATGCAAATAAATTAGAAAATATAAAAGAAATGGATAAATTCCTGGACACATACACCCTCCCAAGACTAAACCAGGAAGAAGTTGAATCCCTGAATACACCAATAACAGGCTCTGAAATGGAGACAATAATTAATAGTCTACCAACCAAAAAAAGTCCAGGACCAGATGGATTCACAGCCAAATTCTACCAGAGGTACAAAGAGGAGCTGGTACCATTCCTTCTGAAACTATTCCAATCAATAGAAAAAGAAGGAATCCTCCCTAACTCATTTTATGAGGCCAGAATCATCCTGATACCAAAGCCTGGCAGAGATACAACAAAAAAAAGAGAATTTTAGACCAATATCCCTGATGAACATTGATGCGAAAATCCTCAATAAAATACTGGCAAACCAAATCTAGCAGCACATCAAAAAGCTTATCCACCATGATCAAGTCAGCTTCATCCCTGGGATGGAAGGCTGGTTCAACATACACGAATCAATAGACGTAATCCATCACATAAACAGAACCAATGACAAAAACCTCATGATTATCTCAATAGAGGCAGAAAAGGCCTTCGATAAATTCAACAGCCCTTCATGCTAAAAAAAACTCTTCAATAAACTAGGTATCGATGGAACGTATCTCAAAATAATGACAGCTATTTATGACAAACCCACAGACAATATCATACTGAATGGGCAAAAACTGGAAGCATTCCCTTTGAAAACTGGCACAAGACAGGGATGCCCTCTCTCACCACTCCTGTTCAACATGGTGTTGGAAGTTCTGGCCAGGACAATCAGGCAAGAGAAATAAATAAGGGGTATTCAATTAGGAAATGAGGAAGTCAAATTGTCCCTGTTTGCAGATGACATGATTGTATATTTAGAAAACCCCACCGTCTCAGCCCAAAATCTCCTTAAGCTGATAAGCAACTCAGCAAAGTCTCAGGATACAAAGTCAATGTGCAAAAATCACAAGCATTCCTATACACCATTAACAGACAAACAGAGAGCCAAATCATGAGTGAACTCCCATTCACAATTGCTACAAAGAGAATAAAATGCCTAGGTATACAACTTACAAGGGATATGAAGGACCTCTTCAGGAGAACTACAAACCACTGCTCAATGAAATAAAAGAGGACACAAACAAATGGAAGAATATTCCATGCTCATGGAGAGGAAGAATCAATATCGTGAAAGTGGCCATACTGCCTAAAATAATTTATAGATTCAATGCCATCCCCATCAAGCTACCAATGATTTTCTTCACAGAATTGGAAAAAAAACTACTTCAAAGTTCTTATGGAACCAAAAAAAGAGCCCACATAGCCAAGACAATCCTAAGTAAAAGAACAAAGCTGGAGGCATCATGCTACCTGACTTCAAACTATATTACAAGGTTCCAGTAACCAAAACAGCATGGTACTGGTACCAAAACAGAGATATAGACAAATGGAACAGAACAGAGGCCTCAGAAATAACACCACACATTTACAACTATCTGATCTTTGACAAACATGACAAAAACAAGAAATGGGGAAAGTATTCCCTATTTAATAAATGGTGCTGGGAAAACTGGCTAGCCATATGTAGAAAGCTGAAACTGGATCCCTTCCTTACAACTTGTACAAAAATTAATTCAAGATGGATTAAAGACTTAAATGTTAGACCTAAAACCATAAAAACCCTAGAAGAAAACCTAGGCAATACCATTCAGGACATAGGCATGGGCAAGAACTTCATGACAAAAACACCGAAAGCAATGGCAACAAAAGCCAAAATAGACTAATGGGATCTAATTAAACTAAAGAGCTTCTGCACAGCAAAAGAAACTACCATCACAGTGAACAGGTGACCTACAGAATGGGAGAAAATTTTTGCAATCTACCCATCTGACAAAGGGCTAATATCCAGAATCTAAAAAGAACTCAAATTTACAAGAAAAAAACAACCCCATCAAAAAGTGGGCAAAGGATATAAACATACACTTCTCAAAAGAAGACATCTATGCAGGCAAAAGACACATGAAAAAATGCTCATCATCATTGGTCATCAGAGACATGCAAATCAAAACCACAATGAGATACCATCTCACACCAGTTAGAATGGCAATCATTAAAAAGTCAGGAAACAACAGATGCTGTAGAGGATGTGGAGAAATAGGAATGCTTTTACATTGTTGGTGGGAGTGTAAATTAGTTCAACCATTGTGGAAGACAGTGTGGCGATTCCTCAAGGATCTAGAACTAGAATTACCATTTGACCCAGCCATCCCATTACTGGGTATGTACCCAAAGGATTATAAATCATACTACTATAAAGACACATGCACACGTATGTTTGTTGCGGCACTGTTCTCTATAGCAAAGACTTGGAACCAACCCAAATGTCCATCAATGATAGACTGGATTAAAGAAATGTGGCACATATACACTATGGAATACTAGGCAACCATAAAAAAGGATGAGTTCATGTCCTTTGCAGGGAGATGGATGAAGCTAGATGAAGCTGGAAACCATCATTCTCAGCAAACTATCACAAGGACAGAAAACCAAACACTGCATGTTCTCACTCATAGGTGGGAACTGAACAATGAGATCACTTGGACACAGGGTGGGGAACATCACACACCAGGGCCTACTGGGGGAGGAATAGCATTAGGAGAAATACCTAATGTAAATGATGAGTTGATGGATGCAGCAAACCAACATGGCACATGCATACCTATGTATCAAACCTGCATGTTGTGCACATGTACCCTTGAACTTAAATTAAAAAAAAAAAGTCATACCTTGGTTAAGCCTTATTGGTTTTGGTGAGTCACTTGGGAGGTTGCCTTTGGTTAAAACAAAAGTTCAAATGCCAGGAATACCAGCTATTTTTCCTGGCTAAAATCTGATAATAAGAGGTATGCAAAGACTTTTTTTTTTTAAGCTCTATGGTTAAAGTCAGCTTAATTAAAAGCTGATATACAAGTTCCTCCTTTCTCTTTGTTGTCTTTGGTCGCACATGAAAGAATCTAGAAGAGACTTCTAATGACTCAAATTCCCTTAAGGCACACAGAAAAGAGTACCACTAACCCTCTTTTTGGGGTATTCTGTCTTCCTGTGGAGTCTGAAGAGTCATGGACGAGTTCCTCTCAGGTCTAAAACTCTGCTTTCTTTTGTATTGTATTACCTGATCTCTTTGGCTTTGAGGGGTACCAGAGATTTCTCTGTACTGTGAGAGAGCACTTGACCTTTGTATGTGTGATGGCTGCTGAGTCAATGGCAAGAGCTGCAGTTTTGGAGGTAGCTGACAGCAGCTGTTTAAAATGAATGGTTATTTTCTAAAAACTTTAAAATTTTTATTTTTGCTTTCTTTTTTCTCTTCCTTACTTTAGGAAGTATAATGAATGGTTACTATTAGAGAGGGCTACTCATTTCTTTGCATGTTTAGATTTAAAAGGCATGATTTAAACACTTAAAGAAATGTGTTTCTAGTAAAGTGCACTGTGAAAGCATTGCGTGGCTCAGTCCCATGGCATTCTCCTCTTTCTGGGAACTCAGGATAAAGTGTAAAAGTGGAGTCCTTGATTTTTAAATATCTAGATGTTCTGCCTCCCAACTGCACCTGCTTTTCACATAAATTATTAGGCCATTAAAAATTACAAATGCTTTGTTGGTCATGTTTCTTAATGGGCTCTGCCCTGAACATAGCAGTCCAGTTGGAAAACAGGCTAAATTAAAAGCTACTTATCTAAATAAAATTGGTCTCCTTATAAAATGCTATGGCATTTTCCTATCATTTGTGTTACCTTGGCATCCATTTTAAATCTTTCTCTAACACACCCAAACTCCTTCTTGAAAGAAGCCAAATTCTCTCTGTCTCTCTCTCTCTGATTTGAGAAGTAAATTTGCTATCATGTTTTCTCTAAAACTCCGTAAGGGCTTCAGCCCTGTGAGAGAGATAAACTTTAACCTTTTTCATTCACAAAGACACAGTTTGAATCCCACCATCCTTTCAAGCTAGTGACTTTTACAGGTCTCATGGTTAAGAGTTTTAAATCAAAGCTATAATGTCTTTATTTGTGCCTGTCTGTATTATGTGTACATATATACATGGCTGTTTGTATATTGGTTGTGATACCATTGACTTATAAATAAATGAGGGCTCATAAGTTAAATAACCCAAATGCTTTTCAGGTCCCTGTGACTTTAGTACTCTTTGGTAAATAAAGATAGTTTTTAAATTGTTGATAAAATAATAGAAATGTCTTCAGAATTTTAGACATTTTTGCCTGGGTCTACTGATCAGATCTGTTTATAATGTCTCTACTAGATATTTTAAAGTCATAAAGCTGTTGCTTTTATGATATTTTTGACACTTGCTTAATTTGTCTGTGAGCTTATGTCTTTGAATTTGGGCCTTTAAATCCTGTGGTATAGATAGTGGCCATGGTGAGGCCTTGGGACAGTGCCTGGGCTGCATCCTCCCTGGGTCAGCTATGCCTCTTGACCATGCTGGAAAGGCTGCATCCAACCTTTGTCCTGGGATCTGCATCTGACACATAAGTAAAATCGGTTCCTAGGTTTTTCACTGAAAATCAGGGTTACTAAGAGTTCACACTGGAATTAATATATGCAATTAAAACTACTAAGTATAAGACAAACAATTCTACATACAGAGTATATAAAGAAAGTAAGATGCAAAAAGAGTTTTTAAAAAGAATAATTTTTTTCCTTTTACATGAGAGAACTTTGTGTGGTCAAAACAAGAGGGCAAGGAAAGTAAATTTTCACCTAAGGTAGAATGCCAATATAAAAAGGGGATATACAACACAAAACTGAAGGTTTAAGCAAGTTGTAGAAGGCCTGTAGAAGATTAATCTCATGAAAAGAATTTTATGTGTGATTAAGTTGGCTAAATTAGAAGGGGATTATTTTTCCTAAAAATGGAGCATATCAAAAATACACTGATGCAGGGCCAGAGTTAGGCCCCTGGGTCAAAATAACAGGGTTTTCTTGGAGCACTGATCTGTTCTTTAATAGAAAATTGTAAAGGTTAAAAGGTTTACAGAAATCTTGTGCAGTCAAAACTGAGATTGAAAGATGGCCGAATAGGAACAGCTCCGGTCTACAGCTCCCAGCATGAGCAACGCAGAAGACGGGTGATTTCTGCATTTCCATCTGAGGTACTGGGTTCATCTCACTAGGGAGTGCCAGACAGTGGGCGCAGGTCAGTGTGTGCGCGCACCGTGCGTGAGCAGAAGCAGGGCGAGGCATTGCCTCACTTGGGAAGCGCAAGGGGTCAGGGAGTTCCCTTTCTGAGTCAAAGAAAGGGGTGATTGACAGCACCTGGAAAATCGGGTCACTCCCACCCGAATACTGTGCTTTTCCGATGGGCTTAAAAAATGGCGCAACACGAGATTATATCCCGCACCTGGCTCAGAGGGTCCTATGCCCACGGAGTCTTGCTGATTGCTAGCACAGCAGTCTGAGATCAAACTGCAAGGCAGCAGCGAGGCTGGGGGAGGGGCGCCCGCCATTGCCCAGGCATGATTAGGTAAACAAAGCTGCCAGGAAGCTCGAACTGGGTGGAGCCCACCACAGCTCAAGGAGGCCTGCCTGCCTATGTAGGCTCCACCTCTGGGGGCAGGGCACAGACAAACAAAAAGACAGCAGTAACCTCTGCAGACTTAAATGTCCCTGTCGGACAGCTTTGAAGAGAGCAGTGGTTCTCCCAGCACACGGCTGGAGATCTGAGAACGGGCAGACTGCCTCCTCAAGTGGGTCCCTGACCCCTGAACCCCGAGCAGCCTAACTGGGAGGCACCCCCCAGCAGGGGCACACTGACACCTCACATGGCAGGGTGTCACTCCAACAGACCTGCAGCTGAGGGTCCTGTCTGTTAGAAGGAAAACTAACAAACAGAAAGGACATCCACACCAAAAACCCATCTGTACACCACCATCATCAAAGACCAAAAGTAGATAAAACCACAAAGATGGGGAAAAAACAGAACAGAAAAACTGGAAACTCTAAAAAGCAGAGCGCCTCTCCTCCTCCAAAGGAACGCAGTTCCTCACCAGCAACGGAACAAAGCTGGATGGAGAATGACTTTGACGAGCTGAGAGAAGAAGGCTTCAGACGATCAAATTACTCTCAGCTACAGGAGGAAATTCAAACCAAAGGCAAAGAAGTTGAAAACTTTGAAAAAAATTTAGAAGAATGTATAACTAGAATAACCAATACAGAAAAGTGCTTAAAGGAGCTGATGGAGCTGAAAACCAAGGCTCGAGAACTACGTGAAGAATGCAGAAGCCTCAGGAGCCGATGCGATCAACTGGAAGAAAGGGTATCAGCAATGGAAGATGAAATGAATGAAATGAAGCGAGAAGGGAAGTTTAGAGAAAAAAGAATAAAAAGAAATGAGCAAAGCCTCCAAGAAATATGGGACTATGTGAAAAGACCAAATCTACGTCTGATTGGTGTACCTGAAAGTGACAGGGAGAATGGAACCAAGTTGGAAAACACTCTGCAAGATATTATCCAGGAGAACTTCCCCAATCTAGCAAGGCAGGCCAACGTTCAGATTCAGGAAATACAGAGAACACCACAAAGATACTCCTCAAGAAGAGCAACTCCAAGACACATAATTGTCAGATTCACCAAAGTTGAAATGAAGGAAAAAATGTTAAGGGCAGCCAGAGAGAAAGGTCGGGTTACCCTCAAAGGGAAGCCCATCAGACTAACAGCTGATCTCTTGCCAGAAACCCTACAAGCCAGAAGAGAGTGGGGGCCAATATTCGACATTCTTAAAGAAAAGAATTTTCAACCCAGAATTTCATATCCAGCCAAACTAAGATTCATAAGTGAAGGAGAAATAAAATACTTTACAGACAAGCAAATGCTGAGAGATTTTGTCACCACCAGGCCTGCCTTAAAAGAGCTCCTGAAGGAAGCACTAAACAGGGAAAGGGACAACCAGTACCAGCCACTGCAAAATCATGCCAAAATGTAAAGACCATCGAGACTAGGAAGAAACTGCATCAACTAACGAGCAAAATAACCAGCTAACATCATAATGACAGGATGAAATTCACATATAACAATATTAACTTTAAATGTAAATGGACTAAATGCTCCAATTAAAAGACACAGACTGGCAAATTGGATAAAGAGTCAAGACCCATCAGTGTGCTGTATTCAGGAAACCCATCTCACGTGCAGAGACACACATAGGCTCAAAATAAAAGGATGGAGGAAGATCTACCAAGCCAATGGAAAACAAAAAGGCAGGGGTTGCAATCCTAGTCTCTCATAAAACAGACTTTAAACCAACAAAGATCAAAAGAGACAAAGTAGGCCATTACCTAATGGTAAAGGGATCAATTCAGCAAGAAGAGCTAACTATCCTAAATATATATGCACCCAATACAGGAGCACCCAGATTCATAAAGCAAGTCCTGAGTGACCTAAAAAGAGACTTAGACTACCACACATTAATAATGGGAGACTTTAACACCCCACTGTCAACATTAGACAGATCAACGAGACAGAAAGTCAACAAGGATACCCAGGAATTGAACTCAGCTCTGCACCAGGCGGACCTAATACACATCTACAGAACTCTCCACCCCAAATCAACAGAATATACATTTTTTTCAGCAGCACACCACACCTATTCAAAAATTGACCACATACTGGGAAGTAAAGCTCTCCTCAGCAAACGTAAAAGAACAGAAATTATAACAAACTATCTCTCAGACCACAGTGCAATCAAACTAGAACTCAGGATTAAGAATCCCACTCAAAGCCGCTCAACTACATGGAAACTGAACAACCTGCTCCTGAATGACTACTGGGTACATAACGAAATGAAGGCAGAAATACAGATGTTCTTTGAAACCAATGAGAACAAAGACACAACATACCAGAATCTCTGGGACGCATTCAAAGCAGTGTGTAGAGGGAAATTTATAGCACTAAATGCCCACAAGAGAAAGCAGGAAAGATCCAAAATTGACACCCTAACATCACAATTAAAAGAACTAGAAAAGCAAGAGCAAACACATTCAAAAGCTAGCAGAAGGCAAGAAATAACTAAAATCAGAGCAGAACTGAAGGAAATAGAGACACAAAAAACCCTTCAAAAAATTAATGAATCCAGGAGCTGGTTTTTTGAAAGGATCAACAAAATTGATAGACTGCTAGCAAGACTAATAAAGAAAAAAAGAGGGAAGAATCAAATAGATGCAATAAAAAATGATAAAGGGGATATCACCACTGATCCCACAGAAATACAAACTACCATCAGAGAATACTACCAACACCTCCATGCAAATAAACTAGAAAATCTAGAAGAAATGGATAAATTCCTGGACACATACACTCTCCCAAGACTAAACCAGGAAGAAGTTGAATCTCTGAATAGACCAATAACAGGAGCTGAAATTGTGGCAATAATCAATAGCTTACCAACCAAAAAGAGTCCAGGACCAGATGGGTTCACAGCCGAATTCTACCAGAGGTACAAGGAGGAACTGGTACCACTCCTTCTGAAACTATTCCAATCAATAGAAAAAGAGGGAATCCTCCCTAACTCATTTTATGAGGCCAGCATCATTCTGATACCAAAACCAGGCAGAGACACAATAAAAAAAGAGAATTTTAGACCAATATCCTTGATGGACATTGATGCAAAAATCCTCAATAAAATACTGGCAAACCAAATCCAGCAGCACATCAAAAAGCTTATCCACCATGATCAAGTGGGCTTCATCCCTGGGATGCAAGGCTGGTTCAATATATGCAAATCAATAAATGTAATCCAGCATATAAACAGAGCCAAAGACAAAAACCACATGATTATCTCAATAGATGCAGAAAAAGCCTTTGACAAAATTCAACAACCCTTCATGCTAAAAACACTCAATAAATTAGGTATTGATGGGACGTATTTCAAAATAATAAGAGCTATCTATGACAAACCCACAGCCAATATCATTCTGAATGGGCAAAAACTGGAAGCATTCCCTTTGAAAAATGGCACAAGACAGGGATACCCTCTCTCACCACTCCTATTCAACATAGTGATGGAAGTTCTGGCCAGGGCAATTAGGCAGGAGAAGGAAATAAAGGGTATTCAATTAGGAAAAGAGGAAGTCAAATTGTCCCTGTTTGCAGATGACATGATTGTATATCTAGAAAACCCCATTGTCTCAGCCCAAAATCTCCTTAAGCTGATAAGCGACTTCAGCAAAGTCTCAGGATACAAAATCAATGTATAAAAATCACAAGCATTCTTATACACCAACAACAGACAAACAGAGAGCCAAATCATGAGTGAACTCCCATTCACAATTGCTTCAAAGAGAATAAAATACCTAGGAATCCAACTTACAAGGGATGTGAAGGACCTCTTCAAGGAGAACTACAAAGCACTGCTCAACAAAATAAAAGAGGATACAAATAAATGGAAGAACATTCCATGCTCATGGGTAGGAAGAATCAATATCGTGAAAATGGCCATACTGCCCAAGGTAATTTATAGATTCAATGCCATCCCCATCAAGCTAACAATGACTTTCTTCACAGAATTGGAAAAAACTACTCTAAAGTTCATATGGAACCAAAACAGAGCCCGCATCGCCAAGTCAATCCTAAGCCAAAAGAACAAAGCTGGAGGCATCACACTACCTGACTTCAAACTAGACTACAAGTCCACAGTAACCAAAACAGCATGGTACTGGTACCAAAACAGAGATATAGATCAATGGAACAGAATAGAGCCCTCAGAAATAATGCCGCATATCTACAACTATCTGATCTTTGACAAACATGACAAAAACAAGCAATAGGGAAAGGATTCCCTATTTAATAAATGGTGTTGGGAAAACTGGCTAGCCATATGTAGAAAGCTGAAACTGGATCCCTTCCTTATGCCTTATACAAAAATCAATTCAAGATGGATTAAAGATTTAAACGTTAGACCTAAAACCATAAAAACCCTAGAAGAAAACCTAGGCATTACCATTCAGGACATAGGCATGGGCAAGGACTTCATGTCTAAAACACCAAAAGCAATGGCAACAAAAGCCAAAATTGACAAATGGGATCTAATTAAACTAAAGAGCTTCTGCACAGCAAAAGAAACTACCATCAGAGTGAACAGGCAACCAACAAAATGGGAGAAAATTTTCGCAATCTACTCATCTGACAAAGGGCTAATATCCAGAATCTATAATGAACTCAAACAAATTTACAAGAAAAAAACAAACAACCCCATCAAAAAGTGGGCAAAGGACATGAACAGACACTTCTCAAAAGAAGACATTTATGCAGCCAAAAAACACATGAAAAAATGCTCACCATCACTGGCCATCAGAGAAATGCAAATCAAAACCACAATGAGATACCATCTCATGCCAGTTAGAATGGCAATCATTAAAAAGTCAGGAAACAACACGTGCTGGAGAGGATGTGGAGAAATAGGAACACTTTTACACTGTTGGTGGGACTGTAAACTAGTTCAACCATTGTGGAAGTCAGTGTGGCGATTCCTCAGGGATCTAGAACTAGAAATACCATTTGACCCAGCCATCCCATTACTGGGTATATACCCAAAGGACTATAAATCATGCTGCTATAAAGACACATGCATACGTATGTTTATTGCGGCAATATTCACAATAGCAAAGACTTGGAACCAACCCAAATGTCCAACAATGATAGACTGGATTAAGAAAATGTGGCACATATACACCATGGAATACTATGTAGCCATAAAAAATGATGAGTTCATGTCCTTTGTAGGGACATGGATGAAATTGGAAATCATCATTCTCAGTAAACTATCTCAAGAACAAAAAACCAAACACCACATATTCTCACTCATAGGTGGGAATTGAACAATGAGATCACATGGACACAGGAAGGGGAACATCACACTCTGGGGACTGTTGTGGGGTGGGGGGAGGGGGGAGGGATAGCATCGGGAGATATACCTAATGCTAGATGACGAGTTAGTGGGCGCAGCGCACCAGCATGGCACATGTATACATATGTAACTAACCTGCACGTTGTGCACATGTACCCTAAAACTTAAAGTATAATAAAAAAAAAAAAAACTGAGATTGAGATTGGATAGATTTGTTTTTTGTTTTTTGTTTTTAATTACACTTTAAGTTCTAGGGTACATGTGCACAACGTGCAGGTTTGTTACATATGTATACATGTGCCATGTTGGTGCACTGCACCCATTAACTCGTCATTTGCATTAGGTATATCTCCTAATGCTCTCCCTCCCCTCCTCCCCCCACACCACGAAAGGCCCCAGTGTGTGATGTTCCCCTTCCTGTGTCCAAGTGTTCTCGTTGTTCAATTCCCACCTATGAGTGAGAACATGCAGTGCTTGGTTTTTTGTCCTTGCGATAGTTTGCTGAGAATGATGGTTTCCAGCTTCATCCATGTCCCTACAAAGGACATGAACTCTTCCTTTTTTATGGCTGCATAGTATTCCGTGGTGTATATGTGCCATATTTTCTTAATCCAGTCTATCACTGATGGACATTTGAGTCGGTTCCAAGTCTTTGCTATTGTGAATAGTGCCGCAATAAACATATGTGTGCATGTGTCTTTATAGCAACATGATTTATAATCCTTTGGGTATATACCCAGTAATGGGATGGCTGGGTCAAATGGTATTTCTAGTTCTAGATCATTGAGGAATTGCCACACTATCTTCCACAATGGTTGAATTAGTTTACAGTCCCACCAACAGTGTTAAAGTGTTCCTATTTCTCCCCATCCTCTCCAGCACCTGTTGTTTCCTGACTTTTTAATGATTGCCATTCTAACTGGTGTGAGATGGTATCTCATTGTGGTTTTGATTTGCATGTCTCTGATGGCCAGTGATGATGAGCATTTTTTCATGTGTCTGTTGGCTGCATAAATGTCTTCTTTTGAGAAGTGTCTGTTTACATCCTTTGCCCACTTTTTGATGGGGTTGTTTGTTTTTTTCTTTTTTTTTTTTAATTACACTTTAAGTTCTAGGGTACATGTGCACAATGTACAGGTTTGTTACATATGTATACATGTGCCATGTTGGTGTGCTGCACCCATTAACTTGTCATTTACATTAGGTATATCTCCTAATGCTTTCCCTCCCCCCTCCCCCCAACCCACAACAGGCCCCGGTGTGTGATGTTCCCCTTCCTGTGTCCAAGTATTCTCATTGTTCAATTCCCACCTATGAATGAGAACATGTGGTGTTTTGTTTTTTGTCCTTGTGATAGTTTGCTGAGAATGATGATTTCCAATTTCATCCATGTCCCTACAAAGGACATGAACTCATCATTTTTTATGGCTGCATAGTTTTCCATGGTATATATGTGCCACATTTTCTTAATCCAATCTATCATTGTTGGACATTTGGGTTGGTTCCAAGTCTTTGCTATTGTGAATAATGCCGCAATAAACATACGTGTGTATGTGTCTTTATAGCAGCATGATTTATAGTCCTTTGGGTATATACCCAGTAATGGGATGGCTGGGTCAAATGGTATTTCTAGTTCTAGATCCCTGAGGAATCGCCACACTGACTTCCACAATGGTTGAACTAGTTTACAGTCCCACCAGCAGTGTAAAAGTGTTCCTATTTCTCCACATCCTCTCCAGCACCTGTTGTTTCCTGACTTTTTAATGATTGCCATTCTAACTGGTGTGAGATGGTATCTCATTGTGGTTTTGATTTGCATTTCTCTGATGGCCAGTGATGGTGAGCATTTTTTCATGTGTTTTTTGGCTGCATAAATGTCTTCTTTTGAGAAGTGTCTGTTCATGTCCTTTGCCCACTTTTTGATGGGGTTGTTTGTTTTTTTCTTGTAAATTTGTTTGAGTTCATTGTAGATTCTGGATATTAGCCCTTTGTCAGATGAGTAGATTGCGAAAATTTTCTCCCATTTTGTTGGTTGCCTGTTCACTCTGATGGTAGTTTCTTTTGCTGTGCAGAAGCTCTTTAGTTTAATTAGATCCCATTTGTCAATTTTGGCTTTTGTTGCCATTGCTTTTGGTGTTTTAGACATGAAGTCCTTGCACATGCCCGTGTCCTGAATGGTATCGCCTAGGTTTTCTTCTAGGGTTTTTATGGTTTTAGGTCTAACATGTAAGTCTTTAACCCATCTTGAATTAATTTTTGTATAAGGTGTAAGGAAGGGATCCAGTTTCAGCTTTCTACATATGGCTAGCCAGTTTTCACAACACCATTTATTAAATAGGGAATCCTTTCCCCATTGCTTGTTTTTGTCATGTTTGTCAAAGACCAGATGGTTGTAGATGTGTGGTATGATTTCTGAGGGCTCTGTTCTGTTCCATTGGTCTATATCTCTGTTTTGGTACCAGTACCATGCTGTTTTGGTTACTGAGCCTTGTAATATAATTTGAAGTCAGGTAGCATGATGCCTCCAGCTTTGTTCTTTTGACTTAGGATTCTCTTGGCAATGTCAGCTCTTTTTTGGTTCCATATGAACTTTAAAGTAGTTTTTTCCAATTCTGTGAAGAAAGTCATTGGTAGCTTGATGGGGATGGCATTGAATCTATAAATTACTTTAGGCAGTATGGCCATTTTCAAAATATTGATTCTTCCTATCCATGAGCATGAAGTGTTCTTCCATTTGTTTGTGTCCTCTTTTATTTCGTTGAGCAGTGCTTTGTAGTACTCCTTGAAGAGCTCCTTTACATCCCTTGTAAGTTGGATTCCTAGGTATTTTATTCTCTTTGTAGCAATTGTGAATGGGAGTTCACTCATGATTTGGCTCTCTGTTTGTCTGTTAATGGTGTATAGGAATGCTTGTGATTTTTGCACATTGACTTTGTATCCTGAGACTTTGCTGAAGTTGCTTATCAGCTTAAAGAGATTTTGGGCTGAGACGGTGGGGTTTTCTAAATATACAATCATGTCATCTGCAAACAGGGACAATTTGACTTCCTCATTTCCTAATTGAATACCCTTTATTTATTTCTCTTGCCTGATTGTCCTGGCCAGAACTTCCAATAACATGTTGAACAGGAGTGGTAAGAGAGGGCATCCCTGACTTGTGCCAGTTTTCAAAGGGAATGCTTCCAGTTTTTGCCCATTCAGTATATTAGCTGTAGGTTTGTCATAAATAGCTGTCATTATTTTGAGATATGTCCCATCAATACCTAATTTATTGAGAGTTTTTAGCATGAAGGGTTGTTGAATTTTGTCAAAGGCCTTTTTTTGCATCTATTGAGATAATCATGTGGTTTTTGTCTTTGGTTCTGTTTATATGCTGGATTATATTTATTGATTTGTGTATGTTGAACCAGCCTTCCATCCCAGGGATGAAGCCCACTTGATCATAGTGGATAAGCTTTTTGATGTGCTGCTGGATTTGGTTTGCCAGTATTTTATTGAGGATTTTTGCATCGATGTTCATCAGGGATATTGGTCTAAAATTCTCTTTTTTTATTGTGTCTCTGCCAGGCTTTGGTATCAGGATGATGCTGGCCTCATAAAACGAGTTAGGGAGGATTCCTTCTTTTTCTATTGATAGGAATACTTTCAGAAGGAATGGTACCAGCTTCTCCTTGTACCTCTGGTAGAATTTGGCTGTGAATCCATCTGGTCCTGGACTTTTTTTGGTTGGTAGGCTATTAATTATTGCCTCCATTTCAGAGCCTGTTATTGGTGTATTCAGGGATTCAACTTCTTCCTGGTTTAGTCTTGGGAGTGTATATGTGTCCAGGAATTTATCCATTTCTTCTAGATTTTCTAGTTTATTTGCATAGAGGTGTTTATAGTATTCTCTGATGGTAGTTTGTATTTCTGTGGGATCGGTGGTGATATCTCCTGTATCATTTTTTATTGCATCTATTTGATTCTTCTCTTTTCTTCTTTATTAGTCTTGATAGTGGTCTATCAATTTTGTCGATCTTTTCAGAAAACCAGCTCCTGGATTCATTGATTTTTTGAAGGGTTTTTGTGTCTCTATCTCTTTCAGTTCTGCTCTGATCTTAGTTATTTCTTGCCTTCTGCTAGCTTTTGAATATGTTTGCTCTTGCTTATCTAGTTCTTTTAATTGTGATGTTAGGGTGTCAATTTTAGATCTTTCCTGCTTTTTCTTGTGGGCATTTAGTGCTATAAATTTCCCTCTACACACTGCTTTAAATGTGTCCCAGAGATCCTGGTATGTTGTGTCTTTGTTCTCATTGGTTTCAAAGAACATCTTTATTTCTGCCTTCATTTTGTTATGTACCCAGTATTCATTCAGGAGCAGGTTGTTCAGTTTCCATGTAGTTGAGCGGTTTTGAGTGGGATTCTTAATCCTGACTTCTAATTTGATTGCACTGTGGTCTGAGAGACAGTTTCTCATAATTTCTGTTCTTTTACATTTGCTGAGGAGTGCTTTACTTCCAACTGTGTGGTCAGTTTTGGAATAAGTGCGATGTGGTGCTGAGAAGAACGTATATTCTGTTGATTTGGGGTGGAGAATTCTGTAGCTGTCTTTAGGTCCACTTGGTGCAGAGCTGAGTTCAATTCCTGGATATCTTTGTTAACTTTCTGTCTCGTTGATCTGTCTCATGTTGACAGTGGGGTGTTAAAGTCTCTCATTATTATTGTGTAGGAATCTAAATCTCTTTGTGGATCTCTAAGGACTTGCTTTATGAATCTGGGTGCTCCTGTATTGGGTGCATATATATTTAGGATAGTTAGCTCTTCTTGTTGAATTGATCCCTTTACCATTATGTAATGGCCTTCTTTGTCTCTTTTGATCTTTGTTGGTTTAAAGTCTGTTTTATCAGAGACTAGGATTGCAACCCCTACCTTTGTTTTCCATTTGCTTGGTAGATCTTCCTCCATCCCTTTATTTTGAGCTTATGTGTGTCTCTGCATGTGAGATGGGTCTCCTGAATACAGCACACTGATGGGTCTTGACTGTTTATCCGAAATGCCAGTCTGTGTCTTTTAATTGGAGCATTTAACCCATTTTCATTTAAGGTTAATATTGTTATGTGTGAATTTCATCCTGTCATTATGATGTTAGCTGGTTATTTTGCTCGTTAGTTGATGCAGTTTCTTCCTAGCCTCGATGGTCTTTACAATTTGTCATGTTTTTGCAGTGGCTGGTACTGGTTGTTCCTTTCCATGTTTAGTGCTTCCTTCAGGAGCTCTTGTAGGGCAGGCCTGGTGTTGACAAAGTCTCTCAGCATTTGCTTGTCTGTAAAGAATTTTATTTCTCCTTCACTTATAAAGCTTTGTTTGGCTGGATATGAAATTCTGGGTTGAAAATTCTTTTCTTTAAGAATGTTGAATATTGGCCCCCAGTCTCTTCTGGCTTGTAGAGTTTCTGCCAAGAGATCAGCTGTTAGTCTGATGGGCTTCCCTTTGTGGGTAACCGGACCTTTCTCTCTGGCTGCCCTTAACATTTTTTCCTTCATTTCAACTTTGGTGAATCTGAAAATTATGTGTCTTGGAGTTGCTCTTCTTGAGGAGTATCTTTGTGGCATTCTCTGTATTTCCTGAATTTGAATGTTGGCCTGCCTTGCTACGTTGGGGAAGTTCTCCTGGATAATATCCTGCAGAGTGTTTTCCAACTTGGTTCCATTCTCCCCGTCACTTTCAGGAACACCAATCAGATGTAGATTTGCTCTTCTCACAGAGTCCTATATTTCTTGGAGGCTTTGTTCATTCCTTTTTACTCTTTTTTCTCTAAACTTCTCTTCTCACTTCACTTCATTCATTTGATCTTCAATCACTGATACCGTTTCTTCCAGTTGATCAAATCAGCTACTGAAGCTTGTGCATTTGTCACATAGTTCTTGTGCCATGATTTTCAGCTCCATCAGGTCATTTAAGGACTTCTCTACACTGGTTATTCTAGTTAGCCATTCGTCTAATCTTTTTTCAAGGTTTTTAGCTTCTTTGCAATGGGTTCAAACTTAGCTCAGAGAAATTTGATCACCTGAAGCCTTCTTCTCTCAACTCATCAAAGTCATTTTCTGTCCAGCTTTGTTCTGTTGCTGGTGAGGAGCTGCGTTCCTTTGGAGTGGGAGAGGCGCTCTGATTTTTAGAATTTTCAGCTTTTCTGCTCTGTTTTTTCCCCAACTTTGTGGTTTTATCTACCTTTGGTCTTTGATGATGGTGACGTACAGATGGGGTTTTGGTGTGGATGTCCTTTCTGTTTGTTAGTTTTCCTTCTAACAGTCAGGACCCTCAGAAGCAGGTCTGTTGGAGTTTGCTGGAGGTCCACTCCAGACCCTGTTTGCCTGTGTATCAGCAATGGAGGCTGCAGAACAGCAAATATTGCTGAACAGCAAGTTTTCCTGCCTGATCATTCCTCTGGAAGCTTCGTCTCAGAGGGGTACCTGGCCGTGTGAGGTGTCAGTCTACCCCTACTGGGGGGTGCCTCCCAGTTAGCCTACTTGGGGGTCAGGGACCCACTTGAGGAGGCAGTCTGTCCGTTCTCAGATCTCAAACTCCATGCTGGGAGAACCACTACTCTCTTCAAAGCTGTCAGACAGGGACATTTAAGTCTGCAGAGGTTTCTGCTGCCTTTTGTTCAGCTATGCCCTGCCCCCAGAGGTGGGGTCCACAGAAGCAGGCAGGCCTCCTTGAGCTGCAGTGGGCTCCACCGAGTTCAAGCTTCCCAGAAGCTTTGCTTACCTACTCAAGTCTCAGCAATGGTGGGTGCCCCTCCCCCAGCCTTGCTGCCGCCTTGCAGTTTGATCTCAGACTGCCGTGCTAGCAAAGAGTGAGGCTCCGTGGGCATGGGACCCTCTGAGCCATGCGTGGGATATAATCTCCTGGTGTGCTGTTTGCTAAGACCATTGGAAAAGCACAGTGCTAGGGTGGGAGTGACCCGATTTTCCAGGTGCCATCTCTCACCCCTTCCCTTGGCTAGGAGAGGGAATTCCCCGACCCCCTGTGCTTCTCAGGTGAGGTGATGCCTTGCCCTGCTTTAGCTCACACTCAGTGGGCTGCACTCACTGTCCTGCCCCCACTGTCCGACAAGCCCCAGTGAGATGAACCTGGTACCTCAGTTGGAAATGCAGAAATCACCAGTCTTCTGCGTCACTCATGCTGGGAGCTGTAGACTGGAGCTGTTCCTATTCAGCCATCTTGTAAATAAACATCTGGATAGATTTGTTTATAAAGTTTAATTAAAATTAGCTTTACATTAATAATACACTGATGCAAAGGTAAGATTTGTTTTTCTCTTTTGAACAATATTTTTGTGAAGTACTAATAAGGATTAATTTTTTGTTCACCTTCTGAGTGGAAAAAAGAGGGAAAGACATTTTTTCATCCAATGCTGTCTTTATTAGGTCTTTTGATTGCTTGGAAAACTGAGTCTCCTCTCTATCAAAGAGTAAAGGTGTTGTTTTTTGTGGTTTTTTGGTCCTATTTATATGCAAAGAAGGTTTTTGCTTTCAGAAATATTTGAATTATCACTTTGGTTAAATGAATGACTATTATTAGTGGCCTGTAATCCTATTTTGATCAAATATTTTAAACCTTCAGTATCTGACATACTCCCAAAATCAAATTTAAAATTCTAAAATTAAGTCTTTTCCAGAAGAAAACCCTGGAAGTCCAAGAGAGATATATTAGGCTTATTTGGTATATTAAAATCATATGGGAAGCACTGTCAAATAAGAAATAGTATTTAACTTTGAGTTATATTTGTATAGCTATGTTAATATGTTCCAAAATTGTAGGAGATTCCACTTCAGATATGTCTTGGTATATGAAATCAGTCATGATTATGATTAAACTGCTGTATGCCACAGGAATAACCAAATTTCCTTGTCAATTTTGTCTTTAACCATAGCTATCCTAAGTCTTTTGTCATTTACAGACAATTAGTATTCTACTTTGATTCTTCTGAAAAACAAAACAAAACAAAACAAAAAATGGTTTAAAGCAACGGAAACAAAAGCCAAAATAGGCAAATGGGATCTAATTAAACTAAAGAGCTTCTGCACAGCAAAAGAAACTATCATCAGAGTGAACAGGCAACCTACAGAATAGGCGAACATTTTTGCAATCTATCCATCTGACAAAGGGCTAATATCCAGAATCTACAAAGGCCTTAAACAAATTTACAAGAAAAAAAAATCCCATCAAAAAGTGGTGAAGGATATGAACAGACAGTTCTCAAAAGAAGACATTTATGCAGCCAACAAACATCTGAAAAAAAGCTCATCATCACTGGTCATCAGAGAAATGCAAATCAAAACCACAATGAGATACCATCTCACACCAGTTAGAATGGCAATTATTAAAAAGTCAGGAAACAACAGATGCTGGAGAGGATGTGGAGAAATCAGAACTCTTTTACAATGTTGGTAGGAGTATAAACTAGTTCAACCATTGTGGAAGACAGTGTGGCGATTCCTCAGGGATCTAGAACCAGAAATACCATTTGACCCAGCAAAGGATTATAAATCATTCTACTATAAAAACACATGCAGCCGGGCACAGTGGCTCACACCTGTAATCCCAGCACTTTGGGAGGCCGAGGCAGGGGGATCAAGGCAGGGTCAGGAGATCAAGACCATCCTGGCTAACATGGTGAAACCCTGTCTCTACTAAAAAATTAAAAAAAATTAGCCAGGCATGGTGGTGGGCACCTGTAGTCCCAGCTACTTGGGAGGCGGAGGCAGGAGAATTGCGTGAACCCAGGAGATGGAGCTTGCAGTGAGCCAAGATTGCACCCCTGCACTCCAGCCTGGGCGACAGAGCAAGACTCCATCTCAAAAAAGAAAAAAAATAAAAAACCACAACACATGCACACATATGTTTATTGCTATTGCAGCACTGTTCACAAAATAGCAAAGACTTGGACCCAACCCAAATGTCCATCAATAATAGACTGGTTAAAGAAAACGTGGTATATCTACACCATGGAATACTATGCAGCTGTAAAAAAAAAAAAAAGGATGAGTTCATGTCCTTTGCAGGGACATGGATGAAGCTGGAAACCATCATTCTCAGCAAACTAACACAAGAACAGAAAACCAAACACCGCATATTCTCACTCATAAGTTGGAGGTGAACAATGAGAACATGTGGACACAGGGAGGAGAACATCACACACCAGGGCCTGTCGGGGGATGGGGGGCTAGGGGAGGATAGCATTAGGTGATATACCTAATGTAGATGATGAGTTGATGTGTGCAGCAAACCACCATGGCACATGTATACCTATGTAACAAACCTGCACATTCTGCACATGTATCCCAGAACTTGAAGTACAATAACAAAATTTTTTTAAAAATTTGCTACAATCCAAAATTTGCTTTTTCTTCAAAGAAATTCATGAAAAGGGACCCTGACAAGTACTCTTGAGTACAGACATCTGATAACTTCAGAGATCATACCACTGGACTAAGTAAAAATCTTCAAAACTCAATAAACTAACGTGTTCATGAAGATTACTAACCCAACATCAAGCAGAACATGAATTACATGTCACTAAACTGATAAAGAACTGAAATGATTTTTAAGACCTTTTATTTCAAACATTGCTGATTTTTTTTATATTTTGTTTTCCAGAGTCAAAAATACATTTTTCTTTTGAGCTATTTATAGGTTATAGCAATTGGGTAATATATCTTTATAAGCAAAATCAAAACATTTGCCTTTCTCTCTACTTTGTTTCCCCCAAATTTGGAAATTATTCATGGGTATTCTTATTTCATGGCAATCTAGTAATCTGCACTAGTTCAATAAGAATCTGTTTTCTGTAACAGGACACAACTGAAGACATTGTTTGGTGGTGGTGGTGTTTTTAGCCAGACTTTGACTGGAATGGTATATTTTCAGAGATGATCAGACTGCTTTGAGGAATTGAGGTTGACTTTATAGAGCTGATAAAAAGCCTCTTGGAAAGACTGGCCTGAAACCTTATCTTACACAGTTCCCTTTCAAGATTTCTGTCCTTGTGGTAAGTAAAGAATGTCACTTTTAGACAGGTTTGGGAACCTCAAGATATTTTGGGGACCTTGTGAAGAGACAAATTTACCAATTCCTACAGGTATTACAATGGCAGTCTAGTGGTGAATCCTTGGCTTGATTTCCTAACCTCAAAACTTTTAACAGTGTAATCCAAAATTCCTTATGAAAGTTCCAGCAAAGTCAACCTAAAAGAGCCTATTTGGCCAATCATTTTTCTTGCACTTTATGCAAGTAATCAGACCAAGTATAACATTAAAACTTATTTTACAAATAAATTGGTCCTACTAAGATTTATCGTTGGTAAAAATGGGGGCTGAAAACAGAAAAAAATTATGTTTCAGAAGAAAACTACAGTACACCTGTTATTAGACTCTAGCCCTGTCCATTTTTCTGAGTTTTTATTATCTTCCTACAATTTGGACTACATCCTGAACTACTTCCTGGATACAAGTCTCTAAAAAAGGACCAGGCTTTAATTTTCTTCATGATGCGTTTAACTGACTTCCCCAATGGAATAGGTTTATTAAAAATTTTGGCATACACATTTTCTTCTTTATTATAGTCCTTGTGTGTATTATATTTCTACTATATATCTCTCATTGTTTTACTACTTCTAAGAAAACTAAATTCATGGTACCCTACAGACTAGAGATGATTTAACAAGTGACAGCAGCTATAGATCAATGACTTTGACAGGACTACCCTAAGATCGAGCCTTCCCAGCAATGAGGGACACCTTGACACTCAGATTTTGATCATCAATGCTTTCAAGAAGAAATATTTTTGATCAAAAGAGGGAAATGAGAAAATAAAAGAAAATTTATCTGAGAAACGCAAATCCTTTTAAATTATCAGACCCAGAGAGGCATGAAACTATAGCCACAATCACATCCTACTCCCCCACCCCATTTTTAAGATATGTATTCATCTCTTAAAACTGCTTGCTATTGCCACTAGTAGCTACAAAGTAACCTAATAATGCTCCACCAGAAACTATAACCCAGTCTATAGCTTAACAATGTATAGTCAACAGTTTATGTTATTTTAAGGTAAAGTCTTGGTAAACAACTCAGGAATGGCCTCTTCCTTCCCATTTGTAACTGCTGCTAATTAGACAGTATACTCAGGACAACTTGAATCTATACTGCTGGGTTGTAATCCTCAGGCCTGGCCCAAATAAACTTTCTACTTATATTAATTTTGCCTCAGCTTCTTTACCTTTTAGGTCAACAGACAACAGGGACTAGAAGCCTTTTTGGAGTAAGGAAGTGGCATTCCCAGGTGACAGTGCTGAGGAAGGAGGCTGGGGTCTCCAGGGATATAGCTTACAATTCCTCTCTAAATCCTGGGTTCAAAGAGCTGGGCTCCCAAATGTCCCAGGAAAGCTTTCTTGTGGCAACACAAACTTGCACCAGCCCCCTACATCTGAGCCATTTGAGGTGATTTATATGAAGATGATTGCAGGATAATTCATTGAGACATGAATTCATGCTGTATTTTTCCCTCTGTTCCAAGTGGGAAGCTTCTCTGTGCTCCTGCACCTCTGGGGAGCCTTGTGGTACAGGCTGGGGTTAAAGTCTGCTTAGAGACGATGAATTTCCTGGACTTTGCCTTCCAGGAGCCAGAGCAGCTTAATGGGATCACGCAGTAGAGGAGAGGGCAGAGAGAAGGAAGGAGCCCCATCCAAAGGAGCTTGTGGAGTTCCCCTCATGAGTAGAACCAGCAGCCCTCCTAGGGAGGTGGAGGACCTCCAAGAGTACTGGTTACCAGGATGGCCAAGGATAGGCCTGAATATCTGGCTTCCCTCTAAGCCCAAGCCTAGAACCTGAATTTCTGTGCAAAGATGCACCACTCTTCCACCAACACTCCCCTGCATCCTTGCAGCTGTTAAGGTGAAGGGGACTCAGCTCACTCTTGGAAGCTGGCTGCATCACTCCAACCACTTGGACAGGATGGAATTCCTGAGCAGCTCTTCACTCATTCGCTGGCTCACTCAAATAACCAGTGGGTCTGGAGAGCAGACCAGCACTCAAAGCAGAAATTGCTTCAGTGCATGTGATTTGTTTTCTGAGGCTTGGTCCCACACCTCAGGGCTGCACTGGGGACACAGAGGCATCAGAAGGCATTAAGGAACCAGCTAGGCATCCCCATGCTTTCAGGAAGCAAATCACCTAAACCCTACCCTCTGACCCAAGCCAGGTAAGAGAGACCACCAGGGGGCCAAGTCCCCCAGCTAGGGTAATGTCCGTGAATGTCTTGTAAGAGAGCCCTTTGAATACAAATACCCACAGAAGCTGCTGACTCTCCTCCAGTGCCTTAAAAAGTGGCCCAACCCTGGTGTCAGCCGGGGTCATCTGTCCCTTAAGATCTAGACCTGATTGTCTTGAACCCCTCCCCCTGGCATGTGCAGTGCCCTCACCAAGACTTCTGGGAATTCTCAGAGATTGGTGCTTCTTCTATCCTCTTCTGGCGCTGATTTCAGAATTCTGCTGAATTATCCTTCTTCTTCATTTTGTGTCTCTTCCTATGACACCTCCCAGCACAGACCCAGAAACTTTCCCTGATCCCCAAGCTTCTGAGTACAAGCAGGCATGGAAGTTGGATGTAGAGATTTTTCTGAAGATTTAGGGGCAATAGCTGGAAACGTGCATCTCACTCCAAGATGCAGGGAAATTTAAAAGTGGACTTAAGTTCTTAGGAAGCCCCTGGGCATTTCCTACCCTTCTGCCTCCGTTCCTGGTTGCTGCAGCCCTCTCTTCTCTAATCCTCTCCCCGAGCCCACCACCAATTCTGGTCCCTTCTCATGCAGACTAGGATGGTTCCCTATTCCTCTTCTTACTCCAGCCTCCCCTAGGGGCCCCTCCCACCCTCATGTCCTACTGTGCATTTTTTTTTTTATTTGTTTGAGATGGAGTCTCACTCTTTCACCCAGGCTGGACTGCAGTGGCACTATCTCGGCTCACCACAACCTCCGCCTCCTGGGTTCACGCCATTCTCCTGCCTCAGCCTCCCGAGTAGCTGGGACTACAGGCGCCCGCCACCATGCCCGGCTAATTTTTTGTATTTTTAGTAGAGACGGGGTTTCACCGTGTTAGCCAGGATGGTCTCGATCTCCTGACCTCATGATCCACCCGCCTCAGCCTCCCACCTACTGTGCATTTTACTAAACTAAGATCATTCCTTTCCCATGTGAAACTGGTACTGGTTGTGGTAAAATAGTAATTTCCTACCTCTGAAAGTACCATTATTTTACAGATGAGGCCAATTGGACTCAGTAGTTTAAATAAATCAGTCAAGATCACATAGCAAGAGGAAGAGTTGGGATTGCACTGGGATCTGTCTTCACAGAAAGTTGCCTTTCCTTCTGGGCTGCCTCTGATTTGGCTGAGGTCTTGGCCTGCAGGAGGGGTCTGCTGCAAGAGGGGCAGGTGGTTCTGAGAGGGGATCTTCATGACCCAGGCAGGAAGCGAGCATGCCACTGCCTTGTCAAAGTTCCAGAAGCAGTGGTGTTTGGAGTCCTGAGAACAGGCAATCCTGAGTTCTAGGGAGCCTATGTTAGGTGGCTGGACCGAGACCGCCAGGGTGTGAGGGGCTGGCACAGAAGGCTGGGCTTTTGCTCGCAGGCAATGAGGAATGAGAAACCAGGCAGAGCTGGGAGGGCTAGAAGGCGCCTTTAGCCATAAAGCAAAGCTACTAATCCTGGGTGCCAGGAGCAGTGCTAAAGCCTTTTACATTACATCATTTCTAATACACACAGTAAGCCCCAGAGAGAGTCATCCTTTTACTTCACAGATAAGGAAGCTGAGGGTCTCAGTGGTTGAGTGACTTGCTCAAAGCCCCACAGTTAGGAAGTAAACAGGCAGCCAGAATGCAAACTCCACACGTCTGCTTCCTAGTCTCCCACGTGCCATGTGGGTTCTGGGAGAATATTCAGCTGCTGGGGGCCGGTAAATTGTGTGTCTGTTCCCACCTCAGGGACTCTGCCGCTGTTCTGGAATACTCTCCCACTAGGTTTCAGTACAGCAGGCCCCATCTTGTCTTTGGGACTAAGTTTAGGGGACTTCTCCTTGCAAAAGCCTTGCTGACCTCCTAATCCAAAGAAGCCCCCAGGCCCTCTCCCTCTCCTCACTCTGTCATATTTTCTTCTTGGAACTTAACTTGAAATTTTCTCATTTGTTTATTACTTATTGTCTCCCCCATGCCCTAAACGTGAAAGTGGAATGTATCTGTCCTGTTTTCCCAAATCCCCAGTGCCTAGGTCCGCCAGCACTCACATACAAATATCTGGCAAAGTGAAGGAGGCGGCAGAGTCTGAACACCAGCAAAAGCCATCTCTTGCCCATATCAATAACCCTCTCTCCACAGCCCAACCACCTCAGTGGCAGCTTTTCTACTCCATTTCCCCATGAAGAATTGCTGTGGGAGGAATGACAACTGGACCAGATGTCACCTGACAGGAGTCCAAGCCAGATCCTGCTACCCTACCTGGTGGGTCTCCAAACTGGCAGACCAGTCTGCCCTGGTCCTTTGGAGGTCCTCTACCCCAAGTCTGCCCAGGAATTCCCTTCAGCCTTTCTACAACCTCTCATGCTCATTGACCTTTAGGCTTTAGGGAAACAAAAACAATTCTGCCCTATAAAGATGTCAGGACCCTGACTCCAGGTGGCCAAACCCTTGTCATGAAATGGAAGGAACACAGGGCCTGGAGGTGGACTACTGGCTAGAGGCCTGGGGATGAGGCCCAGACCCTGAGCTAGGGACTGGAGGCTCCTGGTTCCATGTGCAACACGCTCAGGATCACTGGCTGTGGCTGAACTCCACTTCTACCAAACACATTCAATGATGTGTTCCCTTTGTTTACCCTGTGGGGAGCCCAGAACATCAATGAAATATAAAATTGAAAGCACATTGTACTTCTCAGATGAAAAGTGCCACAGTCAGAGAGATTCACAGCCATACTGTTCACTCGTGCTGGTCAAATGGCTTTGGCTGGGAGATTTTTTTATGGCTATGAGTTTTAGAGTTTAAAGAAAAAAATACAGCTTGTTTCATAGAGCCATTATGGGATTTTTCTGTTGAGGCACACAGTCTCTGCACAGCCCTAAAATGTTTTGACAGCTCAGGCAAATTCTCAGGAAAACCTGAGACCAGAGCGTGCCAACCAGCCGCTTATCACTCCGCTCCCACAGCCCCAGCGCTCGGCTGGAGCTTCCCCTGCTGGCTCCTCAGCAGGCCCGGCCGCCACCCTGCCCGCGGGACCAGCCGCACGCGGCCCAGCTATGAATCAACCTTGTCCTCCCATTCCAGTGCGGGAAATGGGATGATGAATTCGTTTCCATCACCACACTGCCCATAAGTCACGGCTTGAAGGGCATTTTTTTCTTTTAAAGTTTCCAATGACAAAGATTTCATTATCCAAAGCAATAATTTTTACCCGGAGCAATGCAAGATTTCACTCTACCTGAATTAGGCCCATATGTGAAAGGGCAGCCTGAGAACGTCAGTGTCTGGGGGCGGAGAGGAGGGTGGGGAAGGGGGAGGCTGGTCTCTGTGTTCTCGCCCTGCCCCCACACGTTCCCTTTCTCTCTCTGTGTGGATGTTCGCTTTCTTTGTTCTCAGTCTCCTTCCTCCTGAGCCAACCTCTCTCCTTGTCACTGGGCACCCCCATGATCCTCTCCCCAGGGTACAACCCTTCCTCCAGTGACAACCCCAGGCCTGGGCTGACACTGTCTGTTTATTCTGCTGGCCTGTTCTCCCTACTGCTTCACATCCACATACTCCCCATCCCCCGCCCATATCAGAGCCAAAGAAGGGCAAAGAATCATCAGCATTGCTCTCACATGGAGGCCAAAGGGCTTTCCTTTGAGTCAGAAAGGCAATTTCAAAACTGCACTACAGAAGTGCACTGCACTGCACAAGATCCCCGGGGGATTGGCTCATTCTCAGGCTCCGGATGTGCCACCTTCTGCCAGGCCCCATCTTTTTACCCTGTTAGTTTTCACACTGAGGCCTCATTGCTCCAAAGCCAAAGCCTAAAGTCACAGGAAGCATATATAAGAATCTAAAGAAGGAAATATGGGGACCTTCTACAGCAGCGCAGAAGCCAAGACAGGGCCCTCTGCTCTCAGCCCTCCTGGAAAGCAGCACTTGAGGGGTAGGGGGTTCCTTCAGGGACTGGCTGGTATCTTTTGAGGACTGGCCTGGCCAGGGAAGGCCAGGAGCCCTGCTGAGAAGGGCTTACTGTTCTCAGGGTAAGACTGGGGTGCCCCTGGCATCTCCCACTGTCCACATCCCAATCCCACAGAGCCTCCTGCTCCACCTGCTTTCCCACTAACAATGCTGCCGCCATCAGTCCGGGGACAGGCCCAGGTCAGATCACCTGTGACAAGCCCAAGAGGAAATGCTAGTGTCAGATTCGAGGGAGCCACGTACAGCCAGTCTACATTTAAACAGCAAGTATTAATTACAGAATCCCAGCCAAGTACAAAAGACAAAATAAATGCACGAATGTATTTCACTTCCTCTTAAAGCAAATACAAAGTAGGGCTGATATTAACTACCAAAATGACAAACTTTCATATGACTGACCTACATGCACACACAGTTAGAATAAACACCAGGGAAGAGGCCCAGACAGTGACCTCAGGAGTTCAGGCAAGCAAGGGAAAACTGGAGGCTGGGCCAAAGAGTCTTCACAGAAGAGTGGTGCTCTGGTGTGGAGGAAGTAATAATCTGAGTCTTCAAGAGAGTGCCAGAGTAGTGGAGTGTCCTCCCGGAGGGGTGGGAGTGATGCTGGGAGTTAACTGAGCCCATCCATTGAGTTTGGAAGCCCAAGCTAAAGATCTAGACCTCTCATTACTTCCCAATCAGTGACAAAGGGAGTGTTTTGAAGCCATGTTAGCCCCCACAATTCTCAGCTACCACTATTACATATCGTTAACTCCTCCCACCAGGTGCAGCAAAGCACATTATGAGTGTTACAGTGAGCATGGGGATAGGGAGACAGGACAAAATTGATCCGAGGTGTGATGCCTGTGTTGGGAGGCCTCTAGTGCACTCGCTAGCTAAGAGAGGCCCCCGTGCCAACCCCCTGACCCGCACGCGGCCCCACTGCAGGCCAATCTTCAAATTCCTGCCTCAACAGTCTCACCTACTACCTCATGTCAGGAATCTGGAGCTCTGGGTTAGCAGGTGGAGTTGCGGCTGATATATGTGACATCAGGGTGCTGTGAGATTTGTAGGCAGCGGCAAGTTTTAATTAAAATTTTTTCTTAGGCCAGGCATGTTGGCTCATACCTGTAATCCCAGCACTTTGGGAGGCTGAGGTGGGCAGATCACATGAGGTCAGGAGTTCAAGACCAGCCTGGCCAACATGGCAAAACCCCATATCTACTAAAAATACGAAAATTAGCCAGGTGTGGTGTGGTATCGGGCACCTGTAGTCCCAGCTACTTGGGAGGCTGAGGCAGGAGAATCACTTGAACCCAGGAGGCAGAGGTTGCAGTGAGCCAAGATTGCACCACTGCACTCCAGTCTGGGTGACAGAGTGAGACTTGGTCTCAAAAAAAAAAAAAGAAAAAAAGAAAAAAAAATTCTTAGAGGTGAAATTCACATAATATAAAATTAACCATTTTAAACACAATTCAGTAGCACTTAGTACATTCACAGTGTCATGCATCTGCTGCCTCTATTTAGTTGCAGAACATTTTCTTCACCCCAAAGGGAAAACTCATGCCCACGAAGCAATCACTCCCAAGTTCTCCTCATCCCAGGCCCTGGCAGTCACTGATGTGCTTTCTGTCTCTTTCCAGATGTTTCATATAAGCAGAATCATACAATATGTGACCTTCAGTGTCTGGCTTCTTAGCATGTTAGCTTGGCTTAGAAACTTAGCATGTTTCTGAAGTTCATCCATGTTGTTGCATGTATCAGAATTCCATTCCTTTTTATGGCTGAATAGTAGTATTTCTTTGTATGTATATACTACACCTTGTGTAGCCATTCATCTGCTGATGGACAACTGTGCCCACCTTTGGCTAGTGTGAATAATGCTCCTATAAGCATGTACGCCCAAGTATTTGTTTGAGTCCTTGCTTTCAATTCTTTTGGGCATATGCCTAGGAGGGGAGTTGCCGGGTCATATAGTAATTCTATATAATATACTTTTGAGGAATGGCCAAACTTCTTTCCGCAGGGCTGCATCACTTTACATTCCCACCAGTGGAAAGGTTCTGAGAATCCTCAGACAGATAGATAGTGGTAGGGGATGCATCTGATGGTTTTGTTTGAGTCAGGGTTAGGGGAGGCTGAGCTGGAGCTACTACCTGGTGCTCTCGTGGCACCCAAGTCCTCCGCCATTCCTAGAGCCCAGAACCGTGTGCGGCTCAGAGCAGGTCCTCAGAATTGAGGTGTAAAGGAAGCAGTGAAGACTAGGAAGATGGTCACAATGATGATCCTGGGTCGCAGAGTCCTGAGACACCACAGTCACACCGTGAAAGTCAAGGCTGAGACCTGAGACTACACAGGCTTCCCCACTCGGGCTCCTGCAGATAGCAGGCTGGGAGCTGCACTCCTTTGCAGATACCATTACTGGAGATAGGACTGCAACATGAAATGATGAAAATGTAAAACATCAGGGAACATGCTGTAAATCACTTATTTGCAACCTGCTGCCTCCCAGACATGCCCGATCGGAGTGAGATGCTGCAGCAGCTCGGGATTTCCACATGGCCTAGACCAGGTTTTCCTTCAGGTGCCAAGACCCTGACCTAAGAACTGAAACCATGTGGGGAAAACACCTTGGGGGCCTGACTCATCCTGTCCTCCAGCCGAAAGCATCGTCCCTGAGTCTTCTCCTGGCATCGAGCCCACCAGCCCCAGGCCTTGGGAAAACCCCTTTGCCCCTCCATGCCTGTGTTTTCCCAATTTGAGAAATGATGATGCCTTGGCTTGAACAGCCTCCCAGGCTCCCCAGCAGATTCCAGATGTATCTTTGATTCGTGGAATTTACCCATAGTCTTGGCTCTCCTCATCTGGTCTCAGTGAAAAAAAATCAAGAAACAAAGAAAAGAAGTGGCCAGTTCCACAAGGCCCTATGAACAGGCTTCTCAGGGCCAGTGTCAGCAGCAAGGCTCCTGAGGCCAGGGGTCCTGCCATCCACCTGCACTGGCCCAGATGGGAAAAGGGGCTGCTCAGGAATGTGTAGGGTTTCAAGCACAACTGGCATTCCTTCAAGTGTGCAGTATGAGGTATGGCCCCTTAGAAGCAAAACCCACACTGAAAATCAAACTAAGAGAGAAAGTGAAATGATGGGCTGTCTGCCTGCTTTCCCAAGCACTCCCCTCAGGACACCTTTAAATGCTTTAAGTGGAACTGTGTCTCTGCACACTTTTGCAGTTTCATGTATACTGTCTGAAGCAGAGGTTAATGTATATAGCCTTGTTGCAACTGGGTGGACTTTCTCAGTTCCCTGGTTGCTTGGCCACCAAAGCAAGCCCCGAGCAGGAGGGTGGAGGGCAGTAAGAGAAAGAGCATGGGATTTGGGGTCTCAGAGGATCTGCAAACCACAGCTGAGCTGTGGCTAACACCAGCGCCAGTGATGGAGGAGCTATAAATCTTGTGTGCCCTCCAGCGAGCCCTTCTCACCTCTGGGCCTCAGTTTCCTCCTTTCAACAGTGAGAACATCAGACCAGATGACCCTCCGGGTTGCTCCAATGTTCTAGGCAGTGGACCTTCATGGAGCAACTGAATATTCATGAAGTTGTGAGCAGGCCAGTCCTAGCCAGAGCCAAGCAGATGCACTAGCAAGACCCCCTCCCACCCATTAAAGAGTAATGATGGTGTGTCACAGTCCATCGGCTGAGTAGGCCACTCAATTCTCCATCTCATCTACCTTCTTTGATCTGAAGGTCACACAAATGGTTCCCCTTTAAGTGCATGGAGAATACTGTCCTGCCATAGGAACAGCATTTAACAAAGCTGGGGGCCCGAGGTGCCCAAAACCATCATCATAATAAAGTAAAAGATCAATGTATCCAACAATGCCACCCCTGTTTGCCAAATTTATCAGCCACAACAGCTTTGCTGTGAGGTGAAATGTTGGGGGCTGGGTTGGGGAAATCAGTCGCCTTTCCTTACTATGCAGCAGTTTAGCCATAATTCTTCTTCAGATTTACTTCCTGTAGCAGTCTTGTCTCCTCAGATTCTCATTTCTTAGAATCCTTTCATGATTATCCCATAGTGCCTAGAACAGGGCTGGGCACACAGTGGGTACTTAATAAGTATATATGGATCTGTTTTCAGGCGTGTCCAGGAAAAGAAGACTAGTATTTCAGTTACCTGTGGCTGCAGAACAAACTACCAATTTAGTGGCTTATAACAACGATTTATGATTTCTCATGAATCTGTGTTGACTGGATTCAGCTGGGTGGTTTGGCAGGGCTCATTTAGCAGCTGCTTTCATCTGGAAGCTTGTTTGAAGCTGGAATGTCCAAGATGGCCTCTTATCCTCCAGAGCTTCTCTCCCATGTCCCTGCATTATCCACTGGCCTAGTCTGGACTTCCTTTTAGCAGCAGGGTGGCTGGGTTCCAAGAGGAACTGTTCTAAGAAGACAAGCCTAGTGCGCAAGCACTCATAAAGCCACGGCTTGGATCATGCTTGTTAATATCCTTTTGGCCAAAGAAAGCCACATGGCAAACTCCAGAGTCAATGCAGGAGCGACCACACAAAAGTGTGACTTCTAAGAGACATAGTTCATTGAATGCCACAAAGCAATGACCTACCACAGCTGGTGAATCCCCTCTGCCCCCTTCGATGGGGATAGAGCCATGATACCCTGAGCCATCCTCTACCCTCCCAGAAAAGTAGAAGACAGGACAGGTTTCTCAGTGGAAAACCATCCTCCAGAGCATGTGAGGAAGTCAAGTCACCCACTGCCAAGTTAGGGAGGGAAGGTTCCTTGAGTCCCATCATGGTCATGCTCAAAATCTAGCAAAAGCTGGACTGTCTTTTCAGATCCTGGGGGACAAGTGGAACCTGTCACTTGCATTCATTCACTGAATATAGTACCTGAGCACTACCATCATGGAGCACTTGGGATCAAGGTGTATCAAGGGAACCTCTGCTACCAATAGCAGGAGAGGAACACATGCATTTCCACGCATGTCCTTGTTGGCCATGGGGATTGTCTTTTTCCACTGGGGAGTAATAATGTGGTGCAGTGGTTAATTGCATGGACCCTGTTGGCAGATGGCTTGGCTTCAGATTCTAGCTCTGCCACATACCAACTCTGCTGACCTGGGCAACCTGCCCAGCCCTCCTGAGCTATGGTTCCCGTGTCTAAATTCTCGTGAGGGTTAAATCACTTAATCCATGAAAAGCACTCAGAACAGAGGTTGGCATAAAATAAGCACCAGGCAAGCATTTGCTAATATTATTCATGAGTAACCCTTACATAAAGAATTCTTTTTTCAAATTACAAACCTAATATATACTCGATGTAAAAACAAACCAACCTTGCAATATCTGAAAAAAGAAAAAAGGGAAAACCCACTCACACAATTCCTCAACCCGAAAAGAATCCTCTTCACCTCCTGGCATGCACACTTAGTGTTTTCCTATGAAATATGTACACATAGCCATTCTTTTCATTACAAAAAATTGTCATACTGTTTGTAGCCTGCCAGTTAAAATGTAATAATATGTCAAAAATGTTGGCCATAAATATTAATCTACAATTTGATTTTACTATCAGCATGTATTTAATGATGTAATCTATCCTTTCCTGTGGGATATTTATATGATCTGTGATTTTTCACAAATAGAAGTAATGCTGTGATACATATCCTCATACGCATCCCTCATTATGTCTTCAGAATAAGTTCCTAGAAGAGGAAAATGCTGGGTTTGAATGGAATGCCTACCTGCAGGGTTGATTCAGATGCTGCTGTCCTGGCCTGGAGAGAATGAGTGTGCCTGGAAGGCATAGTAGGAGAGGAACATGTACCTGTCCTCCATGTCCTTGTCGGCCATGGGGATTGTTTTTTCTCACTAGGGAGTTATAGTATCAGCCTCTAGGCCAGGAACATTCTGCTGTGGTGTGGCTTCTCCTCTGCCGCAAGTAAGGCCAGAGCCGCCTTTAGAGCCTGTGGAGGCCAAAGCAACTCCATCTTGGAAGCTACCCACCATGTTGACTTCTGATTATCCGCAGTTCTGGGACGGCCTCTAAGATTTCCAGCATATCCATTGTTCCTTGTGTAAGAGCAAGTACTTACTATAAATCCTGCCCTTAGGTCAACCTTGATGTTATCATACTTCAACTGTCCTACACTTCCCTTCTGAACCACCCCTCCCCTGTGGTATATAAGCCCTGGGTCTGGAGGGTAATGGCACGTGGATCCACCATCTCCTCTCACTGCCACCTGAGACATAAACATGGTTTGTTTTCTTAAGTCTCTATTAAATGTTTCTAAGAAACTGGATTTGTCAGCCTCTTTCTTCAGCCTCTCAGCTTCTTCAGACTTTGGGGGTGGGATTGCATAGACCTGCCCATTGTAAACAGAGCCCCAGTTGCCTTCTGCCTGCCTGTAACCACTAACTGCCCCAGGTTTCCACCTAGTCCTCCTGCACCACTCTCTACACACAGAGTTTCAGTGTCCCAAAGAGAGACTTTGGCAGTAAACAGACATGCTTCAATATCCCTTTAGCAGGTGACCCCAATCCACGTATCCCTCTCGGATGCCCAACTCCAACCTGGACCTGTATTTCTGCCGGACTGTTCCACGGGATCCTCAAATTTAGCCCGGCCTAACCCACTCTTCTTGTCTGCTTTCCCATCACCTGTTCCAGCAAGCTATTTGAGCAGGTGTCCCGGCTTCAGGGGTCAGGCAGCATGGGTTTAATTCTGGCTCTGCATTTACCAGCTGGGTGATTGTGGGCAAATGACTCAACCCCCTTGAGCTGTAGTTTTTCTTAACTGCAAATTGAGGACTTTAATATGAGCCTCTCAGGGTTCTGAGGATTCAGTGGGGTGACAGCAGGTCTTACAGAGTAAATGTCTAATAAATGATAACAAGAGCAATACTGATATTATTTTTATTCTTACTACCCACTGCTCCAACTGAAAACCTCATAGTCATTCTTCCTTCTTCAAGTGTCTCTTCTCTTCCACAAAGCCAGGAAGTAAACCTTACAAATGGCCCCTGAACCCCTGCTGCTGCCCTGCTGCTGGCACACATGCATTAAGTGGTCTCCTTACCCCCTCGCCATCCTGTGGACAGCACATAGCAGATGCCCGGAAAGTTGCTTGTGTGAAAAGTACAGTGGTTCCCAGCAGATCACTTCCTTTCTCTGGACTCTGCTTCCTCATCTGTAAAACCATCTCCAAGGGCCCTTGCAGCCGGGAAACACTGTGATTCCCTATCCCTCTACTGGTTCCTTGCCCCAGGGAACAAGGGAGCCTGGCTGCATCACTCAGGCAGGCAGATTCTTAGCAGGACAGAGCGAGATAACAGCTAGGTAGATGACTTCTCTTTTTATTGCCTGAACCATCAAACCCTCCCCAAGATTTCTGGACTACTGTCCCTTGGCTGGCTCAGAAATTTCTTAGCTCTACCAATATTTTCTTTCGTAGTTCTGTAAAGCAAGCTCAAACTCAGCGAGCACCGCCTATGCAAAGACCTTAAACCACATGTTTATTTTCCTAAGCTATAAAAAGTTTATGAGGGGAGCTGGACTTCTTGTCCAGCACCATGCTCAGAATTGCTACTGCATTCCACAGGAAGACAGAGGGCTCTGTGTCAGTCCAGGGGGGCTGGAGGGAAGTAGGTGGAGTATAGCTGTCCAGCCTCCAGTGGAAAGGGCACAGGGCATGGGAAGGAACAACTGAGTGGCAAATTCATTGGGTAGTGAGGGCAGTGGAGAAGAAAGATGGGGGAAGGATTTGAGCACGGTTGCAGGTGGTTTAATCCAGCATTCTGCCTCTCAGGTCCGTCTCCTGTCAAGGCAGCTTTGGGACACTGAGTCAGCAAAGGCACTGGGGCTCGCCCTGGCTGAAGCTCACTAAGCTAGCCCTTCTGACATGACACAGCCCCTTCATCCAAGAATATGAAGTCATTGAAGCTTGATCCTGGAATAAACTGCCAAGAGGAGACACCTTCACTTAGTTGCCTCTAGTTTCCTAATGATCCCAGCCCATCTATTTACTTCTTTCCACCTAGCCCAGTGCTTCTTGAGAATCAGATGCCATGGAGTCATTCAGAACTCCAGCACCAGGGTATGTTCTGAGATACAGTTTGTTTGTCCACCAGCCTGGCATTTCTGGGGGTCCCTGATATGGACTGAGCCTCTGAGGGTAGAGTATTTCCTCTTGCAATGCAGGTCTAGGTTTTCCATTGAGCTGATGCCAACCTCTTTAAGTGGATGAGATCTTGAATGACTCTTGGATCCCAATATCTATAATACCACCTGCCAAGATCTGGTGAAGCTCACTGAGCCTGGGCCCTTGGTCCTTCAGGCCCATTTCCCACTTGGTTCCATCCTGGGAACTCCAAAGGGTCACATCATAGGAGGAAGGAAACAGAGGTGTGTGAAGGTCCTTGGTCCTCCAACTGCAGGGATTTGAGTACTAGATGGAGTGGGGAAAGGACTGAGTGACACTCAAGGTCTCCTCTAACCCTGAAATCCTATGATTTCTAGGAAAAAAAGGAAACTGCCATTTGCTCAGAGCAGTGATTCTCAAACTCAATGCCTCTATTCTGTTACAAATATATCATAATACTCCCTTATTATCCTGAAATAAAAGGTAATATATTATACTCATAATTTTAAAAGGTCAAACATCTTAACTGTAAAAAGGGCAATTTATGATAAATTAATGTGTACTGCCATATATAAATGTGTGGGCATGGCTACTTCGGAAGCCCTGATGAAGCACAGCACCGCACCGCTGAACGGACTCCCGGTGCCAGCAACATCATCAATGCAGAGTGACAAGGTGGGTCATACAGGGATTCCAAAACTACATGCAGCATTGCTGTCAGATACAATGCTTTCCTGTATTGTGAACACTGTTAAAGTACAATCTTAATTTACATACTGGTTGCATGCATTCAATGTTTTCTAAAACCGTGCAAAAAATAATCTGTATTGCGTCCTGGTATAAGATGATAAAGTCAGGTTTTTCACCTCCAGAATTGTCCAGTTAGTAATTTGACAGTTGTGTAGGGCACAGTACAATTCTTCATTTTGCAGGACAGTCTCAGGAATGGCAGGGTATTGGGCATCCTTTATCCAGTGTGCAAAATGCTAATTGCCCCTCAGCTGGTAGTATCACCCTGTTCAAAATGGTTGAATTGAAGCCTCCTCTCTGCCTGGAGACACAGGAGGCAGGAGATGGGGACACTAATCATCACAGTGTTAAGGATCTGCAAGATCTGCTGAGACATCACTACAGTTTGGTGAAGTGGCCATGGTAATAACCTGTGTTGCTGAGGTAATAACCTGTGTTATACCTGTGTTGCTGCAATGCCCAGCTTTGTCTCTCAGGTGGTCCTTGGCCTCCACCCCAGCCCCAATATCTCAGGTCTCGTTTAGCATACAACTTATAAACCAGGCTGGTAGCAGCCCTTAGGGCCCAGGAGTGGCCTTCTCTTGTCTGAGATGCTTTCAGAAGAACCTGGAGACCCTCGCTTTTGGACAAGACACTGCCCATGTACCATTTTTGCGGTGGTTGTCCTTTTACCCGCTACCCCAATTTAACCATAGAGGCACTTACAAATCAGAATGATTAAAAAAAAAAAAAAGGTTCAGTGACCTGAGCAAGTTGCATAACTTTTCTGTGACTCAGTTTCCTCATCTGTAAAATGGGAATAAGAAGATGGGTGGATACCATTAACCTTAAAAGGTTGCAAGCATTACACTTTCATTAATGAAAGGGCTTTTCAAATTTGAAAGCACAAATATAAGGTATTACTACTTTTTCATTTTGTAGCACTATTATTATTGCCAGTTCACTAAGCCCCAATGAGGCACATCCAACATGTGCTGACCACAGCCCATCTTTGGCCTCAAAGGAAAAGGAGGCCTGCAGAGCCTGAGTCTCCCACTGCCTGGCCTGGCCAGCTGTGCACCGGCTCCGCACCTGCAGGAGACTAGGTGGGCTCCCAACAGAAGGCGCAGGGCAGTGTCAGTAAGGCCACTGTGGGACAGCTGGCTGTTCTTTCCGGAGGGCAGGGCTAGGCTTCAGACATTCATTTCAGGGTGCAGTCCAGGAGGTGTCTGCCCCAAGGCAGGGCACACGACCAGAGCTGAGAGCGTGAGGATAAAAGTAGTGAGAAAGAGACTGAAGAGGCATCCTAGCACGAGATGGCGCAAGGCCTGAGAGGCCTAATCAGAAAAGGAGAGAGGGGCACCCACTTGTTTAATTGGCTTTACTGTCCTTGAGTATTCAAACCTGGCGCTTATTTCCACAGGCCTGACGCCATCATTGCCCCAGGCAGCAGGAAGCTGGCTCAAGACCTGCTCAGGCTGTTTTCCCCTGCACTCACCTTGCGCTCCCAGATCCTGGCCTTCCTCCTGTGGCGCGGTCTCAGGTCCGAACCCTCCTGCTTCTTGCGGACTCCTTCTGGCTGCCAATTGCAGACACTGTTGAGCAAATCATCAGGGGAGCAGCAAGTGTACAGGTACACCTAACGCACGCATGCCCACCTGCGTGCCTCGTGTGTACGCGTGCGTGCTCGCTCATGTGCGAGCATCGTGCGGGCTCGCCTCCAAGCTTCCAGCGAGCCTCCGTGCGTGCGCGTGCGTGCTCATGTGCGTGCGTTGTGCGGGCTCACTTTCGGGCTTCAGGTGAGCCTGCCGCGTGCATGCTTAGCAGGTGCGGGCCCTCCCAAGGTTCTGCGCTGCCTCCAACTCCTCTGGACCCAGCTTCTCTAGCGGTGATTGGAGTTGTGGTGCTCAGCGCCGATCTTGTGTGCTGATAAAAGCTGCGGGGATTGTCGAGGTCTTCCTAGGGCGGTGAAAGGTGGGGGGGCAGCTTCAGATCCGGCGAGTTTTCCACTAGCCTGGCTGCGGCTGTTACCAGCCTGTTCAGATTCGTCGTCAAATTGGAAGCCCCCGAGAGGAGACAGCCAAAATACTGAGGACCCGCAAATGCAGGCCGGGGAGTCGGAAAGGGAGATCCCATCTCACTGGAGTAAGGTGGAGGAGCTGAAACAAAAATTGGTACCCAGGCCATGACAGCCCTGGATACAGCTATCCACAGACAAGAAAGAGCTTGGTTTTCCTGTTTTGAAGCTAAGTTGTGTTGGGCCCCTTCTAGGGACTAGAAGTTTTGTATACTTTATGAGGTAGATACTGCCATCTATCTCTATTTTACAGATGGGGAAACGGAGGCCCTGGGCAGGTAGGGAACTGACCCACAGCCACACAGCTATAACTAGTAGAGCTCAGATTTGAACCCAGGTTTTTCTTCTGCGAAAACTTTTCCTCTTTCAGCCACCTCACGCAGCCTTCCTAATTTGAAGGGCCATGAGGCTAAAGAGGAAACTGACATCTCAGATTTTCAGGGAACATACCTAATCCTTAACACAGAGAAGACTGTAAGCCCCTGAGGTTTTGGAGGTATATCCAAACAGCCACACGCACAAAATGCATTTAACATTTTTATCCTGAGAGTTCACGTAAAGTTTGCTTTCTACTCCATGATACATCCGGGTCTTCTTAAATATGTTCAAAAGGTGTAACACTTGAATAAAACAGATTTTCCAGGGACCATTCTTGTTTATTCAGGCACCAATTCTGTGTCTCCAGGCAGTTTGAAGAGCAGAGCCTTGGACCAGAGGATCTCAAGTATGTGTGCTGCAGACCCTTCTCGCTGCCTGAAGAAGTCCAGGGACTCCTCCCCAGAATAATGTTTTAAATGCATAAAATAAAACACTTGAGATTATAAAGGAAACAAGCCATATCAAAATATAATTAACAATATTTTTTGAATTGAATTTGTGATACAGTTTTTTGGGGGGTTCTTTTTTTTGGACAGCTTTTTAAAAAGTTATCTTAACCATTTTTAAGTGTACAGTTCCAGTGGTAGTAAATATATTCACACTGCTGTGCGACCACCACCGCTATCCATCCACAGAGCTCTTCATCTTGCAAACTGAAACTCTACCCATTAAATGCTAACTCCGCATTCCCCTGTACTCCCACCCCCCTGGCAACCACCATTCTACTTTTCTTCTCTATGATTTTGAATACTTTTAACTACCTCATATAAGTGGAATCAAACAGTCAATTTGTGACTGGCTGATTTCACTTAGCGTAATGGCTTCAAGGTTCACCCATGTGTCAGAATTCCTTCCTTTTTAAGGCTGAATAATATTCCATTGAATGTGAATACTACGTATTATTCATTCATCAATCAATATATACTTGGGTTGCTTCCAGCTTCCGGCTATTGTGAATAATGCTGTTATAAACATGGGTGTACAAATATCTCTTTGAGATCCTGCTTTTTTTTGAGACAGAGTCTCACTCTGTCGCCCACGCTGGAGTGCAGTGGCACAATCTCAGCTCACTGCAAGCTCCGCCTCCCAGGTTCACGCCATTCTCCTACCCCAGCCTCCCGAATAGCTGGGACTACAGGCGCCCGCCACCAAGCCCAGCTAATTTTTTGTATTTTTTAGTAGAGACGGGGTTTCACCGTGGTCTCGATCTCCTGACCTCGTGATCTGCCTGCCTCAGCCTCCCAAAGTGAGATCCTGCTTTCAGTTCTTTAGGGTATAGACCCAGAATTAGACTTGCTGGATCCTATGGCAATTCTATTTTTTTGTTTTTGAGGAACCACCCTACTGCTCTCCACACAACTGCACCATTTTACATTCCTGCAGGGAGTGCACAAGGGGTTCCACTTTCTTCAGATCTTCAGCAACATCCATTTTCTATTTTTTTGATAGTAGCCATCATAATGGGTGTGAGGTGTGTGATAAAATTTTATATATGCTTCATTAAGACCTTAAATAACAAGCTCTTGTGGTGGGACCGTAATATAAAAAATATTTCTTGATATTTGTAACTATAATATGAAAATATCTGTGATTGCCAGTGAAAAAGACTGCATTTGAAAGGAATGCTACATTTCAACTTTAGGGGAATAAAAATAAAGTTTTTCTTTTCTCCTTCAAATTCAGAGAACCCCTGAAAATTTAACCTCAGATTAAGAAACTCTGCTAGAGAGACAGCTCCAGAGGAAAAGCTAAAGGAAAAGGCCTGACAGATTTGTAGGTAGGGAAGTGGGGTGACTGCAGGCTGACTTCCTTCCGTGACATTCTGCAGCCGTGAGATGGCAGAATGACCATGAGTAAATGTCCTCTCCTTTACCCTGTTTCCCCCTGTAGTCATTGGATTAGCTCCAGCCATGATGCGAGTCACTGAAGAGGATTTGCAAACCCACTGTGTCCACACATTCTGCCTTCTACAGCCCCTCACTGCGCATCCCCACTTCTCTGAACCTTGACCTTCAAGTGCTCTGGAGAAAGTCACCTTCCCAGGTCACATGGTCCCTTTTAAGACTCCTCCAGTGCAGAGGAGTTGAGGGGTCACTGCTGTCGGGAGGGCCAACTACAGGTACCACTCCACTGTGAGAAATGAGGCTGAGACCAGGAGTGCCTTTCAAAGCCTCAGAAGTCAGCCACTTAGTTCTCCCAGCCACATCTTGAAGCATTTTTACTATCAAGAAGGATCTGCATGCAAATTTCAGAATCTGTCTGTCAGTTCATTTTGCAGAGTGTTGGAACAGTGGCATAAAAGGAAATCCAGTGAGACAAGGTAATGGGTGTGGATGACTGCTAATGGGACCTTCAAGTCCCTAGGCTGTCCGCCCTGTCTTCCTTAAGCACATGTTTGGAGTTCAAGTTCAGTGAGGTGGAGTTGTGTTCTGATTTGTTGATTTTTGGAAAATACACACACACACACACACACACACACACACACACACACACCCCCACACACACACACACCAGAAAAATCCAAAATCAGTTTTCTTTCGGGTGCTTTGTTTTTAAAGAGAATCAAGATGTTAACCATTCATATATTCAATGAGGGCAGAGGCTTCTTTTCATACACTAGGTATGGGGATATTAAGAACAATTTTCCTCATAGGCTAAAAATTATTTCTTTGTTTTCTGCTATACACAGTGTGCATTTGGAAAGGCAGAGTGACACTGCTTGTGAACAGGATATTTCTTTACAATTTTTGTTACTGTTTTTCAAAAATGTTTTCCTGCTCAAGATTGAGTACCTACTTTTTAAAAGAAAATTAAACTGAAAATTGTAACAGTAACACAGCTGGGATGTCTGACTTTACAGTTTAGGAGTCGAAATATAACACCCGAGTACTGTCTCAAAGGGCAGTGTTTGAGGTCCCAGTATACTGAGTCTCTTTATCAACCCTGCTTCTGCCTTCACCTCCCCTTCTTCATATGTCAAGAAAACTCCAATATATCCATCTGGCTCTTCTTAACAGAACCGAGCTAGGTAGGGAATTAGAGAGTCCCTCTGCCTGTGGCCACTGCCTTAGTACAGGAATCACGGTGGTCATTAATGTGGGTCCTAAGCACTGATCACTGCCACTCCACTGGTTTTATTTCAGGAGATTTATTGTATGCTCATGTCCCTAGATGATAGCCTGGGCTTTGGATTTATCCTGACTAATGTTCACAATATGGAATCTCGGAGGAGAGAATTCTGGTTTCTCCCAGAAGACTCCTGAGTTCCTTATGCAAATTTGCTCACATTTCCCCAGTAAGTTTCGAGTTAATCATATGCAAGCTGCCAGAGTAATCAACCTGCTACAGATGGTGTATCAATTATCTATTGCTGCATAACAAAGCCACCCCAAAACCTAGTGGCTTAAAACAAGAACCATTTATTTGCTCATGATTCTACAGGCTGGAGGCTGGACTGAGGCTGAATAAATCAATATGCCTGGCCCTCACAGCAGCAACAGCTGAGAGCTGGTAGGACCTTTGTCTCTAGCAGAGTAGCCTGACTTACAAGGGGTAGCTCAGAGCTCCAAGATAACCGAAGCTACCAGACCTCTTAAAGCCTGGGCTCAGAAGTCCCAGAAGGTCACATTCCACAAAGTCAGCCCAGATTCAAGGGGGAGGGAGAATGGACTTCTTGATGCCCATAAGGGATGGGAAGAATGTTATTGGCTGTATTTGCAGACAATCTAGTCTTACCCCTGGACAATTTGCCAGAAATGACAATTGCATCCCAAACTGGCAGGTTTTATGTGAAGAAGTGGGGTGTCAAGGGCTTGCTCCCAGGTGTTTATGAGGGCAGGACTCAGGGGAATTGTGGAGCAAGTTGTGGGGAAAGGGAGGACACCACTGTTGCTCCAAAAGATAGGGTCTCTGGAGCTCCCTCCCACAAGCCAGCTTCAGGGATTGGCTTTAGAAAGCCTCAGCAAAACTAGAACTGAAAATAAGGAAAACCCCCAAAGGCTGTGGAAACCATTTCATGAAGTGTGAGTTGGTAAATAGTTACTAGAAACATGGTTTTGATCAGGTAAATTCAACCCAATTAGAGGCAGGAATGGACCTCATATCCCCCTGACCCCACCCATAATAAGGGATATAGTGAAATGGGAAACGCCAGCAGGCAGATGAGGTGGCAGGCTGATTTTTGGCAAATCAGTCTGTTATCTGCAGAGCACATTGTAATTTACAATGTGATTTCTCATTGCTCATTTCTTATTATTTAATGTGACTCATTACTTATTTCATGTGTTGATATTTAAATATCTTTATAAGATAGCTCAAGCCCTGAGTTCCTGATATTTTCATCTACCCACAGGCATTATATACCCTAAGAAAAACAGAGGAGGCCTAAATTGGAATTAGGACTTATCTGAGTGTGTCTGGGGAGCTCATGGGGAGGGTCACCAGAGGCATATGTGACTGAGGAAATGGGGCGGCTAGGAGAATGCAGCCCAAGAGGGGAGGCAGCCAGATGGGGCCAACTTGAGCAAGTTAAAAACAAAAAAAAACAAAACTAAAAAACACCCATAGGGATCAGTAAGTAGCCACAGTTCAGAATAGAGCTTGAGCTTGAAATCTGTCATTCTGTTGTGTCCCCTCTGAAATCCCCATGGATTCATTTCTGGGACCAAGGAGCTAGAAGGCTGAAGGAAAACAGAGGAGATCTGGCAGGGGCCAAGGTCCTCCCTAAGCACATGGATGTGAGATCCAGCGAACTGTGGATTCTTATCATTCATGGGGACTTAATCTGTGCTGATTTGCTGGAGTGGCCTGGGGAACTAGGATAAATAAATAAAATCATAGCACATTTACTTACTGATTGTTCTTCAGTGTTATGGACCTAATTCTCTATTCAGTATTTGAGATGCCAAAAAAGAAAGTGAAAAAACAGCCTGTTCACTTGCATGTCAGATCACCATGGACTTACCAGGGAATTAGGGGATACCATTAAGTAACATATCCACCCTCCTGAAGATGAGGAAATACTGGAGGTTAGCGCAGGACATGAGATGTTAGGAGTCCTGGGATGTTTCTGGTGTCCTCATGTGTCATTACATGACTTGGAAATTTGCTTAACCTCTCTGGTTCAAAGTAGTTGGGGGAAATAAATCTAAAAGTAATGTTTTGGTGGGTGACTCCAACATTTTCTACAAATTCAGTGGTTCTGAAATAGTGTGAGGCAGAAAGTTAAAATTCATCAATGGACATGAATTTAGAACAAATATACGCTGAACTTTCAGGATGAGACCTGGTTCTGCTGCAGGCTCTTCTGAGTGCCTATGGGCTTTTGTGTGTGTGTGTGTGTGTGAAACTCTTATGCTACATAAAAAAAAGCCAAAACCGAACAATAACAAAAACTTTATGCCATTGCCCTACAATGTGAGATATGTGGTTCTGAGACCTCTAATATTATTATATTGCAAGATGCTTGCAGGCCATAGTTTTCAAGTAACTTTTTGATACAGAGCCTAAAGCTTAGCAACTTTTAATATTTGCAGCTGCACTGACATCTAGGGTGTTGCTGTTCTCTCGTGCCCTGCACACCGTAGACATTCTTTTTGAAAAAAAGAATCAAATTCTCATGGGCAGGCTTTGAACTGAACCCCAGACCAGCCCAAACTACTCTCTTCAACTGAAAGCCAAACCAAACCCAAATGATATTTTTCAAATTTTGCCATTAACCAAACCAAAGATTTTCTAAAAGCCCAGCAAACCTACTTGGAAAAAAATAATTGAACCTGTTTAAAAATTTTTAAATGAAAATAAAAACTTGAACTGGAACAAAAACAAAACATAAAAGTGTTCTCCAAATTGGATAGCTATTTTATTTGGTTCAAGTGTCTGGTAAATATAAGGTCACAGTCTGTGTCTAAGTTGTAGAATTCAGCCAGAGAAGCCTGTTTCTTGTAATCATACAGATTGAGCCTCCCAAATAGGAAAATCTGGAATCTGAAATGCTCCAAAATCTGAAACTTTTTGAGTGCTGACATAATGCTCAAAGGAAATGCTCGCTGGAGCATTTCAGGTCTATGCAAATATTCCAAAATATGAAAAAGTATGAAATCAGAAATAGTTCTGGTTCCCAAGCATTTTGGATAAGGGATATTCAACCTGTAGCTATCTTCCAGGTAGTTATGTGATTTTTCATGCTTTTTTATTCATTCAATCTTTTTGATGCCTCTGCGACAGTTTCCACCTTTGTCCCCATCTTCCAGAGGGGGAAACTAGGGCACAGAGATGTCAGAAACTAGCCCTTGTCTAGTAGAGCCACTGGAGCTGGGATTCGATGTCCACACTGTACCTTGTGACAGAGACAGACTGTGAAACTGAATGAGTGGGACCATGATGGAGCAAGAGGTTCCTTAGTGGAAACACTGGCACTTGGGAAGCTTTCATCATATATGGAAAATGAAACGGTATTTTTATTACCAAGTCACTGATGTGGGGGCTTTTAAATTAGGCAGTTCAGGAAATAGCACCTTATCATTTTGTGGCACATGTTTAAATGGATTTGGCACCCTTGGGAGACCCATTAGCTCCCATGAGCAAGGACACAGGGCCCACTCTGGAGCACTTGGGACTCACCAGGGTGTGTTGCCTCACCTCTGCTCCATCTACCCCTCACCCCCACCCTGTTTCTGGCTGCCCACCACCCTGCCTCTTGGGAAAGAGGCTTCAGAAGGACTGTGGTTTGGTTATCCTTGCCTTTGCCTTGGGCAATGCCAGTCAGATCTGCCTTGCTTCTGAGTCCTATGCAGGTCCAGAGATCCCTTCACAGGGGACAGCTCAGGAGAGGTTCCTGAACCCTTCAGCCAGGTAGAGACTCTGATAGTACCTATCCCTGAGGAACTCAAAGCATGTCTCTGACTGTCTATTCCAAAGCCACATCCTAGGAGATTGAAAACACCTGTGCTTTACTCACCTTGGAGAAGGAAACAGGATTCCATGGTGAGGCAGATGGATGAGGATGAGGAGAACTGTTTCTGTGCCCAGGACCTCCAGGAATACCTGGGTGAGGAGACAAAATCCTACACTCATACTGATAGGGGCTTAGAGCCATCCAAAGCTTGGGACTGATGTTAGTGCAGTTTTATTTGCACTCTGCATTTGTGCATGTGGGCTAAACTGTTGTAACAAATAGTCCCAAGCTGTAATATGTCAACACAATACAAGTTTATCTCTTGCTCATGTAATAGTTCTGTACAGTTGTCAAGAAAGGTAGGGTGATGCTCTTCCATGTCATTCAGGGATCCAGTTTCCTTCTATCTCATGGCTCTGTCATTCTCTATGGTATCATGCACCCAGTTGATAGAAGGAGAAAACTACAGAGGATCATAAGTGGGAGACTTTCTGGCTCAGTCTGAAAGTGGAGCACCTCACCTCCTTTTACATTCCAATGGCCAAAGTCAATGACATGACATGCCCAATGGCAAGGAAAGCTGGGAAGTGGATCTAGTTGTGTGCATGGAAGAAGGGGAGAACGGGTTTTCCTGAGCAGTCATCAGTCTCTGCCACACACCTACATAGACATTGGTGAGACCTGCAAACATTTGGAAGATACCTCAGAAAGAATCTAAAGGGAAAACAAAAGATGAAGAGAGAAAGTAGAGATGTAAAAGTGATTACTGACTATGGTGAACTAAATAAATGTAATTTGAAGTCACAGATTAAAATTACTAGCTTAACTTAAAGAGTCCATCTAATCTATCCTGAGAAAGTTGTCCTAAATCTTTCATAAAAAATGTTAACTACCACTTTATGTATAAAATTAACTGTTCAAGATAAAGCAAATTCCCATACATAGGGGAAAGATAAACTGAATATTGAGTATGTCCATGCCCTTAATAATATTCTCAGTGGCTAAGTAATAATCTGAAAATGCTTAGGTTACAAGGTTACGTGGAAAAAACAGGACAGAAAGTTGTATGTACAATATCATGGCTGCTTGGTAACACTAAAAAAAAAATCACATAAAGGAAAGGCGGAAATAAACTCATCAAAATCATAGCAATAGTTGTCTTTGGATAAGGGCATCCTTAGAGATTTGTTCCCCTAGATCTTAATTTTCTGTAATGTTTAAAGTTTACAAGAGAGCATGTATTGTTCTGTCTCTCCTGTCTGTCCTAAATCAGGCCTTCCTCCTACTCTCTTTCTACCCTTTCATGCTCCCGTGTGTTGGTAAAAATTAGATATCATTGTCCTGCCCCCGATGCAATGGAATGCTCCTCCTTACCAACTCACTCAGCACAGACCCAGCAGCCATTCTAGGATCCTCATCTTTCACTGCCAGGGAAGAGGAGAGAGACCCTCCCTCACAGAACCTTCGTGGGGTTTCCTAGGCTGGGAGGATCCAAGATTACAATTGCTTTTTTTTATTGTGGGAATTTGCTTATAGGTCTCCCAGCTCTGCTACCATCATCACCCTCCTCACCAGTATACTCCATGCCAATGTCAGGTGAATGCATGTTAATATGTGTGTTGTATATACCCTTACATGTATGCAAATGTGCCTTCTTATGCTAACAAGTGTCAAAGACTCAACAGACATTAAGATCTGCAGCCAGGGCCAGGAATGGTGGTTCATGCCTGTAATCCCAACACTTTGGGAGGCCAAGGCAGACAGATAACGAGGTCAGGAGTTCAAGACCAGCCTGGCCAACATAGTGATACCCCATCTCTACTAAAAATACAAAAAAAAAAAAATTAGCCAGGCATGGTGGCAGGCACCTGTAATCCTAGCTACACAGGAGGCTGAGGCAGGAGAATCACTTGAACCTGGGAGGCAGAGGTTGCAGTGAGCTGAGATCGTGCCACTGCACTTCAGCCTGGGCAACAGTGTGAGACCCCATCTCAAAAAAACAAAACAAAACAAAACAAAACAAAAAAAAAATCTGCAGCCAGAAAACTGTCTAATCAATGGCCAATTTACATTAAGATCTTAGGGCTTTGAGATTGTTATTATAATCTATGAACAAATAAGAGGAGACCTTCAAGCTGAGACTCAAAGAATGAGAAGGAACCCGTGATAAAAAGAGCTTCCGAGTGAGATCTCAGTGCTATGCATGTGTAAAGGGCTTGAGATGGGTGTGAGTGTCTGGGAGTTGTCAGGGTTGGTTGGGGGGCAGGTATCTGTAGCCCAGGGAAGACAGAATGGGGTGCAGAGTGGGAATGGGGAGAGAGTTAAGGGAAGTGAGGATTGGATCAAGCAAGGCCTTGCAGGTCACAGTGAGATGTTTGGATTTAATTCTAACTACAATGGAAAGCCACTGTACATTTTTATGCAGAGAAATGACATGATCTGAATTATGCTTTGAGAAGTGACATGGTCTCTGGGACAGCTGTCTGGAGGAGGCACTGGTGGAAAGGCAGGAAGAGCAGTGAGTAGAGATGATGGAGGCTACCTGGGAGGTGACTGAGGTTGTCCAGCCAGAAGATGCTGGTGCCTGGAGGAGTCGATGGCAGTGTATAGATTCAAGACATATTTTTGGGCCTGGGAGTCATACTTCTAGGATTTCCTTGTGTACTGAATCTAAAGAATGAGCAAGAGGGAGTGATTGAGGCGGAATCTGAGATTTCCAACTTGAGTAGACTCCACTGCCCCTGCCTGACATGGGAATACTAAGGCAGTAACAGAAACAAAGAATCCCACTTTAGACGTGCTAAGTATGAATTAGCAGATTTTATAATGCTTTTGATTTTCTAGGAAGGACCACAGTTGGGCCTGTGATGGAATGTCTAAAAAAAATTCCATAGAACATTAAATTTAGGACAAATTCTGAAGATCCCCAATCATTTTTCCTTTTGGTATCATTTTCAGAATATTATGTCTCAACAGGAACAACTCCTTTGAACAACAAAGATAGCTGCATGGTGGTGATAGACTCCATTCAGCTTTGGAGGATAGACTAATACCACAGCACCGACTGGAGAACCACGGAGGCAGCAACTCCCCTTGAGAACTCTGCAAAGCCTACAGATGTGCAGCTAGCACAGGCAGCAGGTGTGCTGGAAAGATGAGGACTGGCCAAGAGGCCACTGCTGGGACCAGCCATTATCTCTGACTCTGTTCCTGTGTTTTGAGCTTAACAAAACTCCAAATGCATTTCAGCTCCAAATTCCCTTTCTTCTGTATGGAAGTCCCTGCATATTTCAGGGAAATCTGTAACCGATTTGAGAGCAATCTGCCTACCCTGGAGCAACTTGGTCACAAAATATACTATTTTCCCATTCTTGCAGAAACCACTGATGTGTCCGCTTCCACCATCCAGCACACTCCCACCCCACCAGTCAGGGCCTCTATGCACACATCTAACTGTTGCAGAATGGATGGCAAACCCAGCAACTGGTTACCTCCAAAATAATTTTCATCTTCCATGGAAGTGCTCCAGGGGAGTGGTTTAGGGAAGGTATACTGTAAATTAGAACAGCTTATTTTCAGAAGCCATGTTTTAGAAACTTGATAGCAGCTCCATGTTCTTGATAACTGTGCCTCTTGGAGGCTGCACAGACATTTCTGTTGACGCTGGACTGGGTGCTCCCACATGAGCTGGTTGGATCAGTCAAGTGCCTCGTGCCCTTTTCCTTGTATTTTGGGCTCATGGAAACCCCAAATGCTTTTTGCCTCTGCCCTTCCCTCTAGGTTGAAAATCTGTGTATTTCAGAGAAATTTTATCCATCTGTTTCTGATTCATTTACCCCAACTCATCATGATATTTGTTTTGCAAGAGATATTCGATAGCTAAAAAGTTATTTTCAAGTTCTTCATAGAGAAAGGCTTATGTCTTCTCGTGTACAAAAAGAACATCTCGTCCCGTAAAAGCACCTGAATTCCTAAAATAGTCAATAGAGAAGCCAAGACGGTGAGAACAGTGGCTCAAAATCTGGCTACACGTCCAACCCTCATTTCTGCTAAATCCCAGTTATTGAGGGATCAAGTGGGGACTTACTCATGTGGCATCTCAGGTTTCATTCTGAAAAGGTGGGGCGGGGAGAAGGAAAGGAGACAGAAGATGCTTCCCAAGTGATCAGTGCAGTCATGTGCTCTGCCAGTGCAGCCTCCTGAGGTTTGTGGAGGCAGACAAGCAGCAGAGGCCTTGGGGGTGGCAACATGGGCTGTGGAGACTCCTGGTAGATGGGACAGCTATGCCAACTGAGGGCAGTCCCTGGGGACCCCCAGCCTCAATAGCCCAGGAGCAAAGATGATATAAGATGGTGACTTTCATTCTGATGGACACCCTGCCTCATTTCAGAAAGGTTTTGGATTGCTTATAAGATTTGGTCCAGATACTCCAATATAAGCAGTGCATCAGAAGGGCAGAATCCTTCTCCTGGGTTAGGCCCCCCTCCCTCAGAGGTGGAACTCAGCAGAGCCCAGGAGCATGGCAGTGAGCACACTTGAGGAAGGGTTCCAAGGAGGAAGGAAACACATAGGCTCCTTGGTGGCCCCCACGGCCCAGCCATGCCCTGAACAGAGAGGGTGCTGGCTTGGGTGGCTCATTTCCATGGAGCTGATGGGTCTGTTGTGGCCATCTACCCCTCCCTCCAGTGGCCCCAACCTTCTGCTGCCCCTTTGCATCTGGGCTGTGGCCACAGCCAAGGAGGCGAGAGTCCGGCTCCTGTCACCATCGGTGTGTCTGGCAGGCCAGGCGGAGGCACGTGGGGAAACGCTGAAGCAGGGGCAGAGGCAGGCGCCATCTGGGAGCGATTAGAGGCTGACTTTTATCCCGAGGCCTCTATAAACCATCCATCAGGGAGGCAAGTAGAAAAAACACAACCTTCTTTCCCTTTTTATTTATTTATTCTCTGCTTTGTTTATAGTGACAGTGGTCACAGTTTCCCTGAAAGGAAATCACTGAAAATTACAGGGTGTTTGGTTGGGCTTTTTAAAAATTAATTTCCTCTATTTTTGCATGAATTTGATTTGCTCTCATTCCCATCCACTAACTCACGCTTAGTGAAAAATCTCTTTTGATTTGTTCTTAATGTGGAAAATGTTGGCAGTTCCACATGGCAATTGGAAAAACTCCGAGGAGCGCACACCAGGTAGAGCTTTCCAAGGCTTTCCAGAGCTGGGGAGAAGCTCTGTGTGAAGTGAGGCCACGGGCAGAGCCCCTCACCCAGCCTTTGCCCAAATGCCCAGGCTCCTCAGGCTCATCTCCCGGTTCTCCTCAAGTCCAGCTCACTGCCCAAATGCTTGTTTTCTTTCTTTCCCATCTTCAAGGCTCCGTTCTCTATTTCTAGTCAAATTATCTCACCAAAAGAATATCCCCAGTAAAGACCCCCTTCTCCTGCAAAGTGTCTATCATTGTCCCCAAACTGGAAACTTTCTCTTCTGAAATTAATTCAAGATACTGCCTTCTGAGCTGGGATGGCAATGAGCAAAGCAGGAACCATCCTTTCCTCTCTTGTGAGAACCACACTTTCCCCTGAAGGAGGGAAACCCTACCTGGCAACTGTGGGCTGCCTCATGCAGCGTGTCCTCTGGGCCAGTGGTGGAGATACACAAACAGCTTTCTCTGGAGAGGCCAAGGACATTGAGTGGTGAGTGAGCATGTTATCCTGCACATCCAATCTATTCTAAAGAAAGAGGAGGACCACAATTGGAAGGCTTTATTTTCATTGCAGGAGGATATTTAATTCTTGGGGATAAAATAATGTATTTTCCTCCTGAATGTCTCTGCTCCCTCTATGTCCCCAGCCTTCCCAGGATTAGGTCCCACTGGCCCTGTGGAGATTACCTCTCAGAAATGACAGGAGGCATTTAGGTAGCTGGAGGGAGCTGCTGCATGAAAATCAACGTCCAATGCATCTCCTAGGTGGAGAATCTGTAGAGTAGCTCTCAGCAAAAGGATCCACATATCATCATTACAATAGTAACAGGGACACTGCAGTGGGCTGAGTGTTTATGCACCCCCATCAAAATTAATATGTTGAAATCCTAACCCCCAAAGTGATGGTGTTAGCAGGTGGGGCCTTTGGGAGGTCATTAGGTAATGAAGGCAGAGTCTTTGTGAATGGGATTAGCACTTTTATAAGAGAGGGCCTGGAGAGCTCCTTCTCCTCTCCCACCATGTGAGGAGGACACAGAGAGAAGGCACTGACTGTGAACCAGGAAGGGGGCCCTCACCAGACACCAGATCTGCTGCTGACTTGATCTTGGACGTTCCAGCCTCCAGAACTGTGAGCAATAAATTTCCATTACTTATAAGCTACCCAATTTATGATATTTTGTTATAGCAACCTGAACAGACCAAGACATACACCAAACACTGTCAAGAGGCCATTTACTAAATGTCAGGTATTGTGCTGAAAGCTTTAAGTCATGATCTTGTGTAAATACTTGGTCAACCTGATAGGCAGGTATTATTACTGCCATTTTATAGATAAAGCAACTATAGCTCAGCCAGGTTAAATAATTCACCCACAATCATACCACTATGTATGTGGGAACCTGGATTTAAACCTGACTTTAGTCCTGTTTTACTGCCTCCCTTATGCTGTTAAGCAACAGGATCAAGTTGTTCAGGCATCTCATAAGAGAGCACACCAGAAAGACAGTCAGGACACATGGAGCCTCATGCCACTTCAAGAGTGGTGAGTCTTTTTGAGCCTGATTTCTTGATCCAGTAAAGCAGGCAGAGTAGATGATGTTTAAAGGCCCTTCTAGCCACACTTCTAGAGCCAAGAGACCATCACACACTATTTCTCACTAAGTTCCACCAAATTCCTCAAGCCCAGAACCACATGGGCCACATGGAAGAGCCCCCGTTAACAACTTTAAGGACCAGCGATGTGGACTTCACAGGCAAAGGAGCCAAAACCATCCCCAGAGGCAAAGACCACAGCTCGCTCTTCAAACCTGTGTTCTGAGTGGCTGGCCATGATGGAAATCTGCAATTAGCTGTTTTAATCCCTAAAATAGCTTTGCTACTATTGTATATAGTCACGTAGGAAAAGAGAAAACCAGGGACCATCACAGCAAGGTTGGGGGGAAGTTGGAGATTCAGGCCTCTGAATGCCAGCCTCTTATTTGAATTGTGTGTGGTTGCAGATAATGTTCTGATTTCCAGAGAGCTGACAGCTGGGATGAACGGCCGCTTAACCTGATTAGATATGCCTCAGCCACAGACTCTGGGGCCACAGACAACTGCTCATTTGAGATGCATGCCACTGGCACCCGTCTGAAAGAATAAAGGCCAGCCTCAAACAGACAACACATTCTTGGATGGAAACCTTATGGTTTCTACACAGCAAAAAAGGTTTATAACTCCCTGGGGTTCCTTTTCACTGAATATTCTTTGTTGAAGAGTGTTTAGAACAAACTTGTAACTTTAGCACTTTGCTGTAATTGCACCTTGTCATTTATGACCCAGTGGTATGTGGTGGAACCCCAGGGGGGAAAAGGGGGGACCAAAGGGCTACTGATTTCCTGCATTGAATCTATTCTGTCTTCCCTGACACCCTGGGCAGTAGCTCCTGACCTTTCTCCTCAGGACCCAAATGTAGTCAGCAGGCCCTGATCCTCCTTGCTCCTCCCTGCTCCTCCCTGCTCCTCCCTGCTGGGTGTCAGGACTGCAGAGCGTCTCTTTTCCCACCAGCTCATTTGCTGCCCAGAGGATGCTTCCTTGTTGATGCGCCAAGCCCCCTGCTCTGCCATGGTTTTTAGCTGTGGTTCTTAGTACCATGAGGCCTCCCGTACATCTCCAGGAGTCTTGTCAGCACCCTGTAGGAGGATGGTGGAAGGGCCAGAGGGGCTTCTTCCAAACACCCCCGCCCCTCACCACCCATCATCTGAAATGCCAGCAATCCTCAGCCTCAGTGAGCCTCCAGTTATATCACTAACCTTGAGGTACTTTTAAATGTAAAGCACAAACTATTATGGTGTGAGCACATACTATTGAGAACAACACCTTTAGAGTTCTCTCCTAGAAGGGGAGAGGAGCACATTGCTCCCAAAGGAGCAGCAGGGAATCCATTCCTTCACAACCCACACATTGGAACCAAGTGCTGAGCCATCAGTCGTCCTTATACATTTCCCCCCCTTGTTTTTTCAAAAACTGGAACCTACTCAAATACTAACTATAAACTACAAATCTTAAATCCTCCTGTTCATTTTTCTCCAAATGGTAAGACTTCCGCAAAAGTCTTCCAATAGGTCTCTCCCTGCTGCCCCTCTCACCTTAGTGGTGAAGAGCATGGAGGGAGTATCTAACTAGGATGCATGGAGTGTGGAAGTGACTAACTAGGATGCATGGAGTATGGGAGTGTCTAACTAGGATGCATGGAGTATGGGAGTATCTAACTAGGATGTGTGGAGTAGGATGCATGGAGTATGGGAGTATCTAACTAGGATGTGTGGAGTAGGATGCGTGGAGTATGGGAGTGCCTAACTAGGATGCATGGAGTATGGGAGTATCTAACTAGGAAGCGTGGAGTATGGAAGTGACTAGGATGCATGGAGTATGGAAGTGGAAGTGACTAGGATGCATGGAGTATGGGAGTGTCTAACTAGGATGCATGGAGTATGGGAGTGTCTAATTAGGATGCATGGAGTATGGGAGTGTCTAACTAGGATGCGTGGAGTATGGGAGTGCCTAACTAGGATGCATAGAGTATGGAAGTGACTAACTGGGATGCATGGAGTATGGGAATGTCTAACTACGATGAATGGAGTATGGGAGTATCTAACTAGGATGTATGGAGTATGGGAGTATCTAACTAGGATGCATGGAGTATGGGAATGTCTAACTACGATGAATGGAGTATGGGAGTATCTAACTAGGATGTATGGAGTATGGGAGTATCTAACTAGGATGCATGGAGTATGGGAATGTCTAACTACGATGTATGGAGTATGGCAGTATCTAACTAGGATGCATGGAGTATGGGAGTATCTAACTAAGATGCATGGAGTATGGGAGTATCTAACTAGGATGCATGGAGTATGGGAGTATCTAACTAGGATGCATGGAGTATGGGAGTATCTAACTGGGATGTGTGGAGTATGGAAGTGACTAAGTAGGATGCATGGAGTATGGGAATGTCTAACTAGGATGCATGGAGTATGGGAGTATCTAACTAGGATGCATGGAGTATGGGAGTATCTAACTAGGATGCATGGAGTATGGGAGTGTCTAACTAGGATGCATGGAGTATGGGAGTATTTAACTAGGATGCATGGAGTATGGAAGTGACTACCTAGGATGCATGGAGTATGGCAGTGTCTAACTAGGATGTGTGGAGTATGGAAGTGACTAACTAGGATACATGAAGTATGGGAGTGTCTAACTAGGATGCATGGGGTTTGGGAGTATCTAATTTGGATGTATGGAGTATAGAAGTATCTAACTTGGGTTCAAATCCCAGCTTAGTTTGAATTTCCTCATCAGTTAAATAGGAATAATAGTTAACTGGGTCATCTGACTTAACTGAGTTACCTCATCAGTTAATTGGGAATAATATGAGTATCTCCTTACAAGGTTATTATGACATTAATTGAGATGTGGTGTGTAAAGCACTTAGCAGAGGACCTGGCTCATACCACAGGTCCAGTTAATCTTTTTTCTTTCTTTTTTTTTGAGATGGAGTCTCACTCTGTCACCCAGGCTGGAGTGTAGTGGCATAATCTTGGCTCACTGCAACCTCTGCCTCCCAGGTTCAAGCAATTCTCCCACCTCGGCCTCCCGAGTAGCTGGGATTACACGCACACACCACCATGCTCGGCTAATTTTTGTATTTTTAGTAGAGACATGGTTTCACCATGTTGGCCAGGCTGGTCTCGACCTCCTGGCCTCAAGTGATCCGCCCACCTCAGCTTCCCAAAGTGCTGGGATTATAGGCGTGAACCACTGTACCCGGCCCAGTGAATCTTAATTATCATTATTATTGTCATTAATAATCCATCCTCTACCTGATTATCAGTTTTTACTGTGCTTGAACCCCTCTTTGATCACTTTCCAGGTTTAGGTTTCCCTATAGAGGCATTGTTCTGCCCTGTAATATAATTGTTTGGGCACTTGTCATATTACCATTATTAGAGTTATAAGCTCCTTGATAGCAGGAATCAGGTCTAATTCATCTGTGTATTTCATGCAGTGCCTCATCTGTGCTAATTATAGGTCAACCCCTGCTACAAAAGTCTCCAAGATACTCCACAGCCCACTGATTGAGATCCAGGCTCCTATCTTCACTTTGGCCCCAAATATGCATCAGATTTCTGTGGCCTCACACATTGGTCCGTGCTGTTCATGTTGTTAGAACCCTGTTCCCACCTTCACTTCTTGAACTTTTATGAATCCTTCAAAGCCTAGCTGAAACTATACTTCCTCAGGGACATATTCCCAGTGCAGTAGTCAAATGGGATTCATCCTACCTCGCATCTGTAAAATCTGACTTTAGTGCAAGAGTCAGCAAACTTTTTTCTGTAAAGAACCAGAAAGTAAATATCTTTGGCTTTGCAGGCCATATAGTCTTTGTCACAATTACACAACTCCGCAAAAGCAGCCATAAATAATGCACACAAAAATGGGCATGGCTGTGTTTCAATAAAACTTTATTTATAAAAACAGGTGGGCTGGATTTGGCCTATGGCCTGTAGTTTGCCAGCCTCTACTAGTCTCTAGTCTTTTTTTTTTTTTTTTTCTGAGACAGAGTCTTGCTCTGTCACCAGGCTGGAGTGCAGTGGTGCGATCTCGGCTCACTGCAACCTCCACCTCCCGGGTTCAAGCAATTCTCCTGCCTCAGCCTCCCAAGTAGCTGGGACTACAGGCGCACGCCACCACACCTAGCTAATTTTTGTATTTTTAGTAGAGATGAGGTTTCACCATGTTGGCCAGGATGGTCTCAGTCTCTTGACCTTGTGATCCACCCACCTCGGCCTCCCAAAGTGCTGGGATTACAGGCATGAGCCACCGTGCCCAGCCAACCTCCGCTCTAGTCTCTTACGGTGCTAATCACAAGCTGCCTTTGTATTATGGTTATCTGAGGTCAAGTCTCCTCTCCACTTCAGAATAAAAGTTTCTAGGGGGCAGGGACAACATTTTTCTGTTGCCATCTGACATGGTTTGGCTGTGTCCCCACCCAAATCTCACTTTGAATTGTAATAATGCCCACGTGTCAAGGGCAGGGCCAGGTGGAGATAGTTGAATCATGGGGGTGGTTTCCCCCATACTGTTCTCGTGATAGTAAATAAGTCTCACGAAGTCTGATGGTTTTAGAAGTGGGAGTTCCCCTGCACAAGTTCTCTTGCCTGCCACCATGTAAGATGTCATTTTGCTCCTCCTTTGCCTTCTGCCATGATTGTAAAGCCTCCCCAGCCATGTGGAACTGTGACTCCATTAAATCTCTTTCCTTTATGAATTACCCAGTCTTGGGCATCTCTTTATTAGCAGTGTGAGAACAGACTGATACACTATTACTTACAACAGGCACATAGAAATGAACAGATATCTGAAGAAAGACAGGAAGAATGAGGTAGGTAAGAGGGCGGAGGGTGTGGGTGGAAGAGACATGCACAGAGGAACTGAGGACGCCGAGTCAGAAAGATGAAGAGGTTCAGAGATGGAAGAGAAAGCAGGCAAGAGAGCCCCCAGCAGAATATCCCCAGTGCAGAGATGTAGGGAGATTAAGAACAGAGCATTATGGGCTAATTGTGCCCCCTCCTCCCCACCACCAATTTCTGTGTTGAGATCCTAACTCCCAGTACCTCAGAATGGGACTGTATTTGCAGATAGCATCTTAAAATAGGTGATTAAGTTAAAATGAGACTATTAGGGCGGGCTTTAATCCGATCTGACTGGTGTCCTTACAAGAAGAGGAAATTTGGATACACAGACAGACACAGGGATGTGTGTGAACACAGAGATAACCATGTACAGACACAGCATGAGGGTGGCCATCTGCAAGCCAAAGAGAGAGGCCTCAGGAGAAACCAGACCTGCTGACACCTTGATTTTGAACTTCTAGCCTCCAGAACTGTGAGAAAATAAATTTCTGTTTAAGCCACCCAGTGTGTGGCATTTTGTTATGGCAGCCTGAGCTGGCTAACACACGGGGGAAGGCCAATTAGAAAAACAGAAGGAAGGCCCCAGAAAATGCTCATGATTTCAAATACTTTGCCTGTGATTTCTCAAACATTCTAGCTTTCTGAAGACCTTCAAGTCTTAGTCTCTTGGGAGATGAAGGTAGCGGGGAGTTAAGGATGGATTCAGTTTCCAAGTCCTGGGATACAAGTGTGTAGCTGCAGGCTTGCATTTCTAACACCATCCAGTCCTGATGATTCTGCTGAGTGCCATCCTGTCCAGTTGCTCCACAGTGTTCCAGAAACATTTCTTACATGTCCACTCAAACTTAATCACCTAAATACCTGCCATTTCTCATGTACTTTTGAAGGGTTCTGTCTGCTTTGTAGTTTAAGGAAAGCATTTGATTTTTCTACCCTTGTAAAAACTGCAGTTGGGAGAAATAATTTTACTTTCGCTTCCAGGTTTATTTTGTTTAACTAAAGCCATTAGAAATAGCTTCAGTTTTACATTTTTCTTCAGTCTGCTTGCAAAGTGTGTTAACACGGTGGTTGAATTTCAATGGTTTGGATTGCTTTGAATGACTTCTGTGTTTTCATTCCCAATTCCTCACATATTGGTTGCTATCTAGGTGACCAGATGAAAGAGTTAATTTTTTTTTATTGATGTGTAATAGATGTACATATTTTTGGGATGCATGTGACAATTTGATACCCTCAAATAATCAAATAAAAATCTTAATTATTAAGAAAGTATTTTCACTAAGTAAAGGCTTAAATGTGCATATCAAAGTTGAAAACCTGATGTCCCCGTAGCTACAAGTTCAACTTGTATACCAAGAGACCCAGCAGCCAGATTTTTCTCTTTGCAGAAAGTGACTTAAGACCTCACAAAGTGAAGTCCCTGGGACACATGCCATGGCCCTGGGGAGCACAGCCTCTATTAGGCCAGGAAATAAAACCACCAGGAAGGGTCTAGCAGAGTTGCACTACCCTGGAGCCTGTCTTGTGGCAAACGATGCCATAGGAAGTTTTCACTTAACTAATATAATTTTGAGAGGCTCATACTAGATTTCCAGACTCATTATATTTTCCTAACCATCTGATAGAGCCAGGTGCTGTTTTTATTATCATCATCCCCATTGTACGTGAAAAGAAACAGGACAAGAGAGGTTGTCTAAAGCTGCCTTCTATGTCAGTTTTCCTTTGTGACTGTTGCTTGCCAACCAACAGTTTGCTGGTGGGGTCACTGGTGGGCAGGAGCTGGGTTCTTTCACTCCTTTATATCCCCTCTTGGCACCTTGTAATATTAGGAACAGCATCATGGGCTATGATTCTCAATGATATTTGCAATTTAACAAGATGCCCTCCTGTGCCTGCTGGAGATGCTCCCCTATGGCGAAACCAGGGACCTCTTGTGTGCTGGTACTGGTAGGATCACATGTTGTGCTCCAGCTGCCAAGGAAGGCTCTTTCCTGCAGTTGATGTGCAGAAAACAGCAGTTAGGATTGACCTCTAAGAGGAGGGTGACTCTTGAGAGATGAGAATCAAGAACCAAAAGATTCTTCCCCCCTTACTGGTTTTGGAGTATCTGGGGCTCGATTTTATTGAAGAAACCAAGCCTTTATACGAACATACATCAAATTAACAGGAAAGCCTCTGACTTTTTGCTGCAGAAAGACTTCTGCCTTAAGTATTCATTCTGAATTGGGACTGTTCCCTGGCCAGGCTGTCCCCTTGTCAACTTGGAAGCTGACCTCTCCTGCCTTACAGAGAATCAAGGGACAGAGTTCCAGTCCTCTGGCTTGGGACTGACACTGCCCACCCGGGTTACAGCCCCACTCCCAGCAGCCTTCGCACCTGCAGTGCCATGATTTAATGAGGGCTGTCAGGGATTATCGAGTTGTGAACTCTTTTGCATCCGCCAGGCTCTCATGAATGAGGCATTTTGTTCAGCTCCTTCTCACTTCGTGTTTCTTGGAGCTAGCACAGAGAGAAAAGGCAGCAAGTGAGCAGCTATTTTGGGCCAGGGTCTTATATTTGAATATTACATGATGAAATAGTGCACCTATCAAGTCTGTTGTTTTTGTAGCTTTTCTCTGCGTCTTCCTCCCACCTCAACTCACCCCATGCCACCCACCCTGGCCTTCTGAGCCCTGAGGCGCCCTTGCTGATGGGCCAGCTAGGTAATTCTGCAGTTGGTGAATCACAGATCAGTAACTGAGACAGAAAATACTTGCTGTTGCAAATCCCCTGATGAATGGTCACCGGAAGCTGGGCCTGCAAAAGAGGGGCTGTAGGCCAACATTTGAGCTCCCTGAGCTGGGCAGATTTAGAGACCGACTCACACTGAATCCTTCTTGATCCAAGTTAATTTTCTGAGGGAAATCCAAGGGGGAATGGTCTTATGATTTAGTAGTGTTTTGAGGCTCAAAAAACATTTGTCAATAAAAGAAAAAGAAAATGGTGGCTTGAATATTCAGTTGCTTTCAGTGGACAACGTTTTGGTCACTAGGAGGCAGAAACATCCACTGTGAGCGAGGGTCTCCTTTCCAGGAAGATGGTGGCAGAGCAACTGGGCCAGCCTTTGGCCTGCAGCCGGGACTATCTTTATATAACACAGCAATAAATGCTATTTAAACAACAATTATAAACAAGTATTCTTTGACTCTTCTAGCTCTCACTTCAAAGAAAACCAAAGCCATTGGATGCCACTGGAGAAAAGAATACTGTGATCATTTTCATTCTTCCCAAACACCCTCCTTCCAGCAGCCTGGAAAAGCCTTGAGTGGGACTTTACAGGTCACAGGATTCTTCTCATATATTCCAGGTAGAAAAAAAAAAATCTATTTAGGATTAAAATTTTCTTGACATTGACATTATTTATCTATCCACACTATGAGGGAATATTTCCTTTTCAAAATATACCAGCCTGTAGAATCTCTGAAAGAAGTCTGTTGACTGAGAGGCAGATGGAAGGTGGAAAACGAAAGGTAAGTCAGCTGGAGGTTCACAGGTGAGAGAATTAAAAAAGGAAAGAAACCATTGTCAAGTTGGTAACCATTAACACAGGGTCGGGCGAGACAGGCTTCAACAAAGTAGCTCTTTGTGGCTGTAAAATACTATTATGGACCAAGTCCACCACAAACCACAGGAACATCTAACTTAGAGGCCCTTGGAAGGATTGAAACACAAACCCTGAACTTTGGTGTCCTCCAACAGGCAGTGGCTGTGGGCTACTAGGAACATCCGTCTGACCCTTGGAAAGCCTGAAGGAGGTGCCTCCTTGCTCTCCAGCTTGGGCCTTGGCACTCGACTCTGTAGTCAGGGTCCCGGGTGTCCAGGATAAGGGTGAGTGTGGCCTTGTACAGATGCACATTGTGGCTTAGGTTTCTTGTGATTACTACGGATGTAGTTGAGTTGACTGTGGTGTCATGTAACCAGGATTGGTTGGCAATTCCGGAAATCTGAGGGTAAAAATAGCTGCAGACCCGCCAACCCTTGGCCAGTGCCACCACGGTGGACAGGAATGGTGGGCTGGAAAGTGCTGAGTTTCGTGATCTTTTCTTCCTTCCGGTGGTGGGAGGTTCTCAGAATAAGAAGGTCTGGGCTTTGGATTTCCCCCAAAGGTTTCTCGGTGCTTCCCGGGCCTGCTGAGTCAGTGTAGTTGGGTTTGAGTGAGCACTCAAGAAGGGATGTTGGTTTTTGAGAGAGGGGGCTTGGAGCATGAGCCGACTCAGGCTCAACAGCCAGGGGAGGTAACCACAGAGAGCACCCACTGGTTCCCAGCCTCCTATGGCCCCAACATCCTGTCACCAAGGGTTTACAGCCTCCCAACCACCCTCCAAAATAGACCCATCAGAGCCAAGGCCTCTACCCTACTCCATCTTTCTTGCTTCTTGCCAATTCTGTGTCTGAATTTTGCCATTTCCTGACTACCATCTTCACCCCACAACTGCTTCTCCTGTCTCTGTAGGAGAACTGGTTAAATGCCAAGCCCATAGCCCAGTTCCCCTCCCTAGGGTACCATCCCATGTACTCTCTGTTTGATCTTAACTCTGAATTCCTCTGTACCATATTTTCACCTTTTTCTAGTAAATGTTCATTCATTGCAAAATGCTTCAGGACCCCCTGAGAAATGGAAAACATAAGTTTTCTACACATGACCTACAGAGAAGCTGCATTAGCTTGGACTGAGAGAGAGATGCACTTGAACCAAATGCACACCTAAATTCTAGAATGTCTCTAGAAGGGGAAAAGTCTTATTATTTTAATGTTCACATGATAGTTTAAACTAGGCTGACAAAAGTTGAGTTGATATCAGCCCTTTGATACCCTGCTTTAATAATTTGATAGGGATAATTTTCATCACTAGGTTAATCTTTCAAATAAAAGGGACCTCTGGAAGGAAAGCATTTATGAAAATTGTCAGTTGAGTCTTAAAAGTTTTCTTGGATCTTGCCAAACCTAATTTATCCCTCTTTTCATTTTATTCACGCAGAACTTACTTTTTAAAATACTTTGCATGTGTGTGTTTGTGTTTGTATATGTGTGTGTGTGTGTGTGTTTGTGTGTGTGTGCGTGTGTGTTTGTGCGTGTGTGTGTGTACACGTGTGTGTGCACTTAGATTGCTTACTTCTAGGCTGGGCTGTGAACTCCCTTTGAAAGGGACAAATTCACTCGGTTCTTCAATTCAGCACCCAGTAAGTGCTTACAAACTGTTTATTGAATTGGACAGGATTATATGGATTAAAGATTCTTGTGGGAAATCTTGTTTACATTATTAATTTGCTTGGCATGTTCTTTCTTTCTAGATAGCAATAAGGCACACTTTATTTCCAGCTCTTGTCCAAATTTAAAATTCCACCTTAGTGAAGTTCTGTCATCTCTCAGTAAGCCTGTGGGTCTTTATTCTCCAACCAGGTCTTTACTTCTTCCCACAGTGTCCCAAGGAGGACCCCAGCCAGCAGCTGGCTCCATTGCCTGGAGTTTGCTGCCAATGTGGCCAGAATCATGCATTTGGCCTGCTGTGGTCCACCAAAGCCCACAGGCCCCATCCTGTGTACCTGGCCCAAGGCAGGCACTATGGTGCACTTGGTCTCAGAAGGTGGGGCGAAGTTAGAAAGGCTCACTGCAGAGGCAGTGTTTCTACATCGTGGGCTTTGGCACCACACTTCACCTGATTCAAATCCTGGCTCTAGCCCTTTCTAAGTGTGTGGCCTTGGTCAATTCCGTTAGTCTCTGATACCATCTCCTTTCCTGTAAAATGAAGAAAATAATACTTTACCTGTGAGAGTGCTGAAAAAAGTGGAAATACAGTATGCAAAATGGCTACCATAGTGCCTGGTAGCTGTTTATTTCTTTCTAGATAGCAATAAAGCACACTTTATTTCCAGCTCTTGTCCAAATTTAAAATTCCACCTTACTAAGTTTCTGTCATCTCTCTGTAAGCCTGTGTGTCTTTATTCTCCAACTAGGTCCTTATTTCTTCCCACAGTGTCCTAAGGAGGACCCCAGCCAGCAGCTGGATGAAAAGCTTTTCTCACCATGAATGAGTCACATCATCTTAACAAAAGATGAAACTTTGTTTCAGAGTCCTAGGCCAAGGGGAAGCTGAAGAATCAGAGGCCAGGTCTAGTGTGCCACAGGGAGTAGCCTGAGAAGTGGGAGAAGAATGGTAGTAATGGTAAATATGAATTGAGCACTCCCTAAGGACAAGCACTGTGCTCAGCACTTTATATGGAACATTTTATTTCCTCTTCACAACTTCCATGTTATAGATGAAAAAAGTAAGGCTCAGAGAAGCTAAGTCCACGTCCAAGTTCATGCAGCTAGCTGAAGTCAGGTCAGTTCCAGGAAAGAACCGAGCATCACACCAAGTTCAGGTTCCTGCAACATGCAGCCTCACTGCCTCAGTGGGACCCTCTTGCCTCCTGAAGTTGCCCCTCCCCGGGACCCACAGCTGGAGTCCAGCATAGAGGGGCAGACACACAAGCCAACTTTGCATGTGCCACACAGCAGAGATGGTGAGAAGTGACTGGGTCCACGCTACTAATAAGACCGAGGCCTGCGGAGGCGAAAGGAAAGCTTTGTCGCTTCATGTGACTGCTTAGGGCAGAGCTGGGACCAGCCCAGCCCTCCCAAACAAAAGGGAGGCAGCCGCCTACTTCCCTAAGTCCTCAGCATCCTTCGCCTGACTCATGCTAACGAGCTTTGGGGCAGGGGCGGGAGGAAGAAAACTGACAAAACCAGTGATCGAAAAAACCTGGATTGGAACATTTAGCTTCCTTCAAGACCAAGTATAAACCGCACCTCTGCCTGCCAAGCCCTAATCATCATCCCATGGCAGAGTCCCTTCTTAGTCACTGTCTGCCCCTCCAGAGGGGCTTGTCAGACAATTACAAGAATTCAGCGATAATCTCTCCCTATTTTACATCTTTCACTTTTTATTTCCCGGGTTTTCCTGAATTTGCCCTCATTAAGCATCCCAGCCCATGCTTCACTTAGCCCTGAGCCCAAGCCAGCCAAAAAGCCTTTCAGCATATGTTAGTGACTCCCTCTGCCTGATTCTATTACGCGGATCAAAGTCCCCTAGCAGAGTCCTGGGACTTCCTGTCAGCGTCAGCAAGATCAAACAGAAGAAAGACAAGGCCCTTAGAAGTGGGAGGATGACTGGCTCCATGATATTTGCATGTTGGAGGCATAGACGGAAGACCTAGTCCGAGAAGGGGCTGCTTGCCTGAGCAGAGGGTTCCACATCCCAGGGGGTATAACCCAGTGATGGGTGCACCCTGAGGCCCCGGGAAAGCCAGGTCTGGTGTGAGTGTCAGAGTCCATCATAACCAGATGACCGTCACAGCACCTAGAATGAAAAGTAGAGCCTGCCATCCAGATGGGAGCCCCGTTTGAACCCTCAACCTCAGCCCTCTCCATCCAGCCCCCACAGTGCACACACGTGCACACACACACACACAAACACACACACACACACTGGATGAAGAGGGAAGACTTGGAAGTTCTTGGTGCGAAAGGAATCCTTGGACATGAGAACTAAGGATGCTGCTTCTTTGAAACATGGCTCCTACCGTTGTGAGTTCAGAACTTGGTTGGGCCAAGGATGATCAGAGCTATGGGTTACAAAAGGCCAGTGAGCCCCGCTGGATGTCTTTCCTCAGCATCCCTGAGAACCACTCCTTCTGCTGGTGTCTTTCCATATCGGTCCCTTCTATACCTGACCCTAGACTCCTGAAAGGTTGGCTCCTAGGCAAGAGGGCTCTAATTTTCCCTCTTGGGTTCCACATACCATACTCTGACCTTGACCTTTTGTAATTTCAGCAAGGTGTGTATTTTACCCTCTGCAAAGGTGACTGTGACTGAGGAGTAAGCCCCAGACAGGTTTAGTATTTAGGATGTAGGGCTTTATGTAAGGCTGGACACGCTGCTTTAACAGAGACCGCAGTCACACTGAAGCATGGTTCTCTTCCCCGTGGCAGTCTGGAAATGAGTGGTTCAGGCCAGGAGGGAAGCTCTGCTCCACATAGTCGCTCGGCACCCAGGCCTCTTCCACCCTGTTACTCTGCCATCCTCTTGAGAGTTGTCCTCATCTGCAGGATCAAAGCTGGGTCACCACCTTGTCAGCATCTCTGTTCATAGGGAGCAAGGTGGAGCAGAAATGAAGGGCAATCTACTTGCATTTAAGCAAGCGATGCAGAAGCTACATATCTCGGTTCTGCTCATATTCCGTCAGTGAGAACTGAGTCACATGACTACCAACCCAGCTGCAAGAGAGGCTAGCTCTATCTATCTCTATACCTACCTACCTATAATCTATCTCTCTATTTTCACTGAGAATATGGTGGAAAGTTTGTCAGGAAGATATCTTCAAGATTAAAATATCAAGTAAACTGGCCATTTTTTTTATTCAGTCAACAAACATTTATCAAGTTCTTAACATTATCTAGGTGCTATGCTAGGCACCAGACAGACGCAGATGGGGGAATGCATGCCCCATGACTGAGTAATCTAGTCTGTGGTTTATAAATTTGCCAATCCACCTTTACTCCCGGAAAGAGAGAGAGAGAGAGAAAGAGAGGGAGAAGGTGAACTTGTTTTTAAGCAGATCACAAAGGATGCTTCTTAGCCACCTCTGTGTAATTGAAAGGTATCCTCAGATTCCAAGCCAACTAAAAATTTGCCATTGGAGCTCCTTATCTTCTTAATGATCTGCACAACAACAACAAATGCAAACATAAATTGAAAGCTTATATTGATATGATTATAACTGTAACACCTAATTCTGAATTTTCCATTTGGGGACCATCAAAACAGCATTACTATGCTCATATGTTGACTTTATAGTAAGCCTTTATACAAAATGCCACTTTTGTTGGTTTCCTATTCTTCAGCAAAACTACTGGAAAGATGTGAAGACAGTAGAATCAAGCTTCTCTCAATTATTCCAATACAGAAGCTCTGTGGCTCCCTGATTCTCCATGATGCCTTGTGAGGCTGGAGTGTGATGTGGGACCACTGAGGAGCCAAACAGCACTAAACAGGGGAAGAGGTTGAAGGGGGAATCAGAAGTTTCCCCCACTGCAACTTTGGTGCAGAAGCACATTGGGTAAGAGTCAAAAATCTGACAGGGCTTGGAAAACCTCAGAACCAGGGTTCCACATCTCCTGCAGCTGCCAGACTTTTGTTCAAGGAAAATTATTTTCCTCTCAAATATGTGCTTACAATCCCACAAGCTGCCTTGCACATGGGCTGTAGCAATGGCCCAAGCAGCCTCTGGCTCAACCCCCACCTGCCTGAGCACCCTCTGGGTAAACTGCCAAAAGTCTGGCCTAAAGAAGCCAGCTACTTCATTGTCAACAGATTGTCACTCTCCAAAACATCTAGAGCTGGAGCGAATTTGCTGAGTTTCAATGCCATGAATGTCTGCTCACAGGCACTAGAGTCTGTTCAGAGTCATCAGCCTTTAAATCCTGGAGGGCAGTGATATATTACCTCGCACAACCTCTGGGTTTACAGAATGGACAAGGAGATGCTCAGGATCTCACAACAAGTTAGTAGCTGTGTCCAGATTTAAACCTAAGATTCCAACATCCCATTCCTTATTCTTTCCAACAGAACATTTAACACAAATGTGCACGTGGTTTAATGAGAAACAAAAGTAACAGTTGACAGCCCCAGTTGCCAAAGCACTGTGAACTCTCCAAATCATTTTCATGGCACCTATATGGTGGCCCAGTTCTTGCTAACAACCTTACATAGTAGATGGAGCAGGGATGAGCCACACTTCAGAGGAGGCAGATGTGGACTGCCAAGAATGTCAAAGCCTTAGCCCCAGCACACATGCTGTTCATAGCATGTCCATGCTTTGAACCAGGTCTCCTGGCCTCACCCAGCATGCTCCCCACTCTGCAGCTCAGCTTCCCTATTGGCAAGTTTCTGTCCCCCAGGTCTTGATTTGCTCTTTTGCTAACAAGAGGGAGAGAGGATAAAAACAAAAACAAAATGAAAGAGTGACAGTGTCTCCAAAAGCAGCCATAAATCTCCTAACCAGGGCTTGGAGGCACAGTGAGAGTCCCCCAGCACAAGGCGTGTGATTCTTGTGTCCCAACTCTTCACCCGGAAATATCTAGAGTCCTTTACCCAACGTTTGTGGAGTGCTCACAGTGTGCTAGGTGCTGCAGGGTGTTTGGGGAAGCACAAGGCAAGGGCTCTATCCTACAGGAAGGGAAAGAGAACCGAGGAAGAGGTGTTAGAGTTGTTGCCCATGATGTTAAGCACCTTGTATTATCTCATTTAACTGTTACAACTGCATTCTAAGGTATGTATTTTTGTCCCCCTTTTAAGACATCTGACGCTCAGGGAGATTAGACAACACCTGAAGTCATAAAACTATTAAGTGGCCAAACTAGAATTCGAGTCTAGGTCTGTCTGAATTCGAGACCTTTCCAGCACTGGGTCTGGTACATAGTAGATGCTCAATAAATGTGTTGAGTAAATGAATGGGCAGGGTGAGGTTTGACCAGGCAGAGGAGAGAACCATAAATTGGAGGTACAGTGGATAAGCCACCCTATCTTAGTGATAAGCCACTATCACTAAGATAGTGGCTTACACTGTAGAAAAAGATGCTGAGGTCCCAGGAAGAATGTGCTGGTGATTTATCACAGCTACCCAGAGAAGACCAGCCTTCCTAGCTAGGGAGGATGCTGCTGGGGAAGGTGCTTGCTTTTCTCTGCTCCAGGCCTGTCCTCTCCATCCACCAAGCAAGGCACCACACTCATTTTTATGCTCATTACTCATTTGGGGAGGCAGCTGCCTGTCCTGTCCACACCTCCTTCCCTCCCCCGAGGCGAGAATCACACTCAGGCCCCTGCTGTTCCCACCTCCAAGGGGCAGGCCCTGTCCCTGCTGCCCATGCCTGTCTTTACTTCCACAGATGGCGTCAGAATCAGCAACCCTAGAAGAGGAGCCCAAGAGGCCCTGGTCCCACCCTCCGAAGTAGTTTGACGCTCTGAGTTGGGCGCCGACAGCTGGTTTAGCTGAGACACATCTCCAAACCGCGGGCTACAGCTGCCGCAGTGTGAACTGTCTCTGAGCCTCCTCTTGGGGCAGCCACGGCCTGACACTGTGGTTCCTAATGGCTGACAGATTATCCTGTGTGCTTGGAGGAGTCACAGGAGGATTATAACTGTCTGCCCCATCCTATTACCCCTCCAGCTGCCTCTCCCTCTGGAGTCCCTCTCTAGTATGTAAGAATGTTATCAGCACAGCTACATTAAAAAATTTGTAAATGACATTTTTCAAAGCTTGAGCATGACTGGTGTGTGTGTGTGTGTGTGTGTGTGTGTGTGTGTGTGTGACTCTAAGCCATGAATATATCAAAGATACCTCTGCTGCCTCCCTCGATGGGTTTTTGGGGGCGCGAGAGAGGGTTGAAGGAATGAATGAAAGCCCTTTAGAGTCCTGTCCACCTCTTGGTCTTGGCCATTGTGAGCATTTTCTTTCTCAAAATCGCCTATCCCCGATTCCCCAGCATGAAGGGAATGTGTGGTCCGAGAGCCTGCGCTAGGAAAGCACATCTGGAGGCCAGCCCTTCCCCGGCAGCTTTGCCCATTCTGCTACTGGCAGGGAGCACAGCTGGGCCAGCTGGCAGCAGTGCATGCACCTCCTGTCCCACACACCCCACATGCTGCTCTTCCTGCCCTTGCACCTCCCTCCTTAGCCCATGCCTCCCTGTGCTGGATGTGTCAGGAGTGTCCAAGTAGCAGAAGCCATCTCTGGCTCAAGAGCACCATTAGACCTGCCAGGTCTGGCTGAGCCTCATGTGTATTCGCTACAGCCTTCCCTCTGGATGCCACTGTCTCCAGCAAAGGTTTCGGCCAATTGATTTCCAGGTTGGTCTCACTTGGGGATTACATCCGGCTGGGCTGCCAACCAGAGCCCTGACAGCTGGAGCAGGACTCTTGTCTACAAGGAGTGGGCCCACACCCCTCGAGGTTGATGATACCCTCTCTCCATCCTCACACACATCCCTGCATCATTAGAGCTGAACTCTTTAGGAAGGGCCTGGACCCTCCCAGAGTTGTAACCTGGGTCTCTCAGGAGGAATGAGATAGTGAAGCAGATTGTCACCATTTGGGAGCCATTTTCCTCCCCAGAGACAAGGGAGTCCACTAGGAGTACTGTCAGTACTGTCCCAGGCCTCCCCCTGCCATGCCATGTTGCCTGTTGTCCTACAGCATGACACAGCACTCTGAGTTTGAAGGCAGGGATCTGTCTTCACTTACAACTGTGAGATGTGAAATCAGTTTGTACCTCCTCTGGCCTCTGCTGAGGGAAGGTAATAGACTGGAAAAAAAATCACAGACCCTGTTCCTCTGAACATTTGCGAAGTTTTATGAAAAACTGTGGTTATGATTCAACCCCAGACAATGACAAAGAAATTGGAATGTTGATTTGTAAAAGAAAGAAAAAAACCTGGATTGCATTATTTGTATTTAAATTTTCCCTTACTTAAATTGGTTTCTACCATCTATTGATCATAATTCATATTAGGAGAAGCCATTGTTATAGTACATGACATGGCCACTATTAAAAAATACAACCACTCATGTGGTAACAAATTGAAATATAAATCAATGTATAAACCACAAATTTAAAAACATATTGTCTTTTATTCCCAAATAAACTATACTGTAAATAACAGAACTATTTACCAAGTTATAGAAGTTGTGCTGCACCAGTTAGAATGGCAATCATTAAAAAGTCAGGAAACAACAGGTGCTGGAGAGGATGTGGAGAAATAGGAACACTTTTACACTGTTGGTGGGACTGTAAACTAGTTCAACCATTGTGGAAGTCAGTGTGGCGATTCCTCAGGGATCTAGAACTGGAAATACCATTTGACCCAGCCATCCCATTACTGGGTATATACCCAAAGGACTATAAATCATGCTGCTATAAAGACACATGCACACATATGTTTATTGCGGCATTATTCACAACAGCAAAGACTTGGAACCAACCCAGATGTCCAACAATGATAGACTGGATTAAGAAAATGTGGCACATATACACCATGGAATACTATGCAGCCATAAAAAATGATGAGTTCATGTCCTTTGTAGGGACATGGATGAAATTGGAAATCATCATTCTCAGTAAACTATCGCAAGAACAAAAAACCAAACACCGCATATTCTCACTCATAGGTGGGAATTGAACAATGAGATCACATGGACACAGGAAGGGGAATATCACACTCTGGGACTGTTGTGGGGTGGGGGGGAGAGGGGAGGGATAACATCGGGAGATATACCTAATGCTAGATGACGAGTTAGTGGGTGCAGCGCACCAGCATGGCACATGTATACATATGTAACTAACCTGCACATTGTGCACATGTACCCTAAAACTTAAAGTATAATTAAAAAAAAAAATAAAATAAATAAAAAAATGAAAAAAAAAAAAGAAGTTGTGCTGCAAATCAGTCATCAAACCAGACCAGTCGATAACTTCCAAATCACTGGTGGAGTTTTAGAAGTTGTTTTTCTATTCTTACTTTCCTCAGCTGTCACTACCCAAATGGTAAACATATCAAATAATTTTTGATGTCTAGAACAATATCAAACCCTTCCACAGACTCCCTTATAAATTAACAGTCATCAGGTGGCTTTCAGTTTCAGTAGACAGAGAATTTCTCTTAAGGTCATTGACACTGTTCATAGTACTGAGCCCCCACCCAGTTCCTGCCAAACTCATGGCAACAAGGTAAAGTTTTTCCCAACCCTTGTCATACTGTTTATGACGTTTTTGTCTTCTATGTCTCTATTTTTGAAGGAGTCACACAAAATTATTTATTGGAACGTCATACTTAATTGGCCTAAATGTATTAAGTTTGTTCACCTTCAAACCCAAATGTCACTTAGCCATGCTTCAAGATTTAACAAATTGAAAGAACATAAACATTCATTATATTTTTAATTTTTGTGTTATCAAACAATGTAACACATTTTCTTTCTTCTAAAAATAATCTCATGGTTTTTTGTTGTCTTGTTTGTTTGTTTGTTTGTTTGTTTGTTTTGGAGATGGAGTCTCTTCTGTCACCCAGGCTGGAGTGCAGTGGCATGATCTCGGCTCACTGCAACCTCCACCTCCCAGGTTCAAGCGATTCTCCAGCCTCAGCCTCCCAAGTAGCTGGGACTACAGGCATGCGCTATCGCATCCAGCTAATTCTTTTCTGTATTTTTAGTAGAGACAAGGTTTCACTATGTTGGCCAGGCTGGTCTTGAACTCCTGACCTCAGGTGATCCGCCCTCCTCAGCCTCCCAAAGTGCTGGGATTATAGGCATGAGCCACTGTGCCCAGCCATTGTTGTTTTTTGTTTTTGTTTTTTTCCTTAGAACAGATACTCTCTTTTGTTGTTTCAAATGACATAAATCAGTCAGCGTCCCAGTAGGAAACAGATGAACACTCAAATTCAGTAATTTGAAGAGGTTCATAAAGAGACTCTTTACTAAGGGGTGGGCCCAGCACAGGGAAAAGACAAAGGTCAGTGCAGTACCTCACAGCCAGTCATTACTAAACCCAGGCTTGAGGAGAAGATGGAGCTGTTACTAACATTTGGAGAGAGAACTGGGTGCACAGTGCGAGGAAGGCACTGGCTATCAGCAGGGAGGGAGCCTCACAGTGATCACTTTGACCTCAGACTTCTCCCTCTCTCCGACATTCTGTTGCTGCTCCAATTGGCCAAAGTCAGTTGGTAGGCAGAGCTCCCAGGAGCCCATTGGTGAGCCTTGATGGGCCATACAGGTGAGAGAACAGAGCAGAGAAGGAGAGAGAGAGGGCTAGGGGCAGGAGGAAACAGACAGAAGATGTACTGCTTTGTCTCTGTAACATCTTGTGTGTCTCTTTCATGGTTTCCCATATTTCGTTTTTTAGGCTCAGATACCATAATTGTCCTCAAATTAATTATCAAAGAAACTTTTCTTTCTTAAAAGGCAAAAGAATGGATGAATGTCATTGATTAAAGCCACATCTCTTAAAACAAATTTTGAAAATGTTCAACTATAGCCACTTTATAATTTCTGTTAAAATAAATATCTCAACCTTGACACAATGTCCAACCTGCCTTTGCAGCTCTTATGCCGCAGGCTGGCTCTTGAAGACTGAATATTTGTCCGGTTTTTGTCATTTAAATTCTAAGCTCTTCAAGTATATTATTTAATCTTTAATATCTTATTTGGAGAAAGGTGATAAATATAAAGTTAATGGAGGACAGATTTAAAATGATTTACTTATTTACATTTTTCATTGAATATTTCAAAGAGAACTGAATACAGTAACTTAGATGATATCAAATTAAAACACCTGGAAATTTTTTCTAAAATTTGTGCCGAAACCTCATATTTTATTCATCTCATTATATTGATACACTCTATAAAATTCAATGAGATTTTCGTGTAACTATTTCTCAGTGAAAAATTATTTTTCCCAAGCATTGATACACTTAGCAATATCATTTCAGATGTTACTACTTCCAGTTCTGTATGATCAACAAATTCCATTAAACTACCTTCAAAGTCTTAAATTCCACATTTAAGTACATTGTTAACAATGTTGAGACTTTATCAATAATGGTTGACATTTTATTGGTTAATGTGTATGTCTTCCAAAAAGCAATTTTTTATCCTAATAGATGTTTCGTAACAAACAAGATCATAAATAACAATATACCCATATTGAAATTAATGATTTTTGAAGTTTGTTAAATATTTTCTATCTGTAAATACTCACTTATTTTTAACTAGCTACCTTATAGTGTTACGAAGTCTAATAGTACTTTCAAAATATTTATCTCTTTATTAATAGTCATTGATAAACGCTCTGTCAGAAATGTTGATGATTACAAATGCTGTTTTATGGAAAACTGATTCATGATCAACTTCTGCTTTTTTCCTCACTGATGATTGCAAACTTAAAATTTGGACTATGAGCTTTATCAGAATGGGACTGCCATTCTGATAAAACATTTAAATGTTTAGTACTTTCCACTTTTAATATTTTTTTTTTTTTTGAGATGGAGTCTCGCTCTGTTGCCCAGGCTGGAGTGCAGTGGCGCGATCTCGGCTGACTGCAAGCTCTGCCTCCCGGGTTCACGCTATTCTCCTGCCTCAGCCTCCTGAGTAGCTGGGACTACAGGTGCCCGCCACCACGCCGGGCTAATTTTTTGCACTTTTAGTAGAGGCAGGGTTTCACCATGTTAGCCAGGATGGTCTCGATATCCTGACCTTGTGTTCCACCCGCCTTGGCCTCCCAAAGTGCTGGGATTACAGGCATGAGCCACCATGCCCGGCTAATGATACAATTTTTAGCACTATTTGCATCCCACATTTACATTATGAGCAAAATAAGCCAGCTATGTTTTGTTGAAAAAATAAAATTATGAATTGTTTTTTATGTCAGAAATACAAATTATTTGGTTTATTTTGTCCCAGCACTTCCATAGTCACAAGACATTCTGTTTGGGTTTGTTGCCTGGTGTTGGGAGATATTTCAGCTTACGGTTGATTGTTAGTATGATATCTTCTTTGTTTCCTACAGAGTCAGAAGATGAACATTTATGACATGTTAAAAGGAACATTAATAAATATCTCAACTTTCATGTTTCTTCATTCTGTGTGTTCAGGTTTCTGTTTTATTCTAAGCGAGTATGTATTCCTAATGGAACAAGCAAGATGGCAGACTGATTGGAGGGAGCAAACTATTCACAGTGACTGGAAGAAAGAATGCCTGAATATGATTGCTAATTTAGACACAAAACTGGCTAATATGCCATGGAGCAATAACACTATAACCTTTGGTGTCATCTTTTCTACCAGACAGAAATACTTGTGTCTCCACTGAACAAAATTCATTTACATTACTATTGGACAAAAGCCAATTGCATCGCTTTCAGTTTTCTGCAAGTCAATACCTATCTTTATAGATTTATAAAGTAGCCTAAATCAGTAGTAAGTAGCAAATCGAAGGAACACATTCCTAGAGAACTGGGTAATTTCCAGTGGGCCTGCTCAGCAGTGCTTAGCACTGAAAGAATGTGTAATAATCTCTTTGTCTATTTCCAACTTTTGGATAATTCTCCTGAATTATCTTCTTTGTGATTATAAATAATGTTCAGGTATTATTTTTAATCACACTGTGTTTTGGCCTGATTAATTTATATACATATAGCAAAAAGTAGATTAACATATGTAAACTTCCTTGTAGTCTGGTCAGCAAATCTACAGCCATATGGTGTGAGGCATTGCTATGGCCAGAAAATTAACTTCTGTCTGAAGACTGTGAAAGCAATTGCATCTTCAATAATATCTATTATCCCAGTATTTTTAAATTGCTCTTCTATTCCAAAGTTAAAAAACCAGGCCCAAGATAATAATTATCTCCATCAATTTTGCTTACCACATCTATAAATAAGAGTGAATTTCTTCTCGAGGTCCTTCAAACCTGCAGAGATTCCTGACTGCCAAGAAGTGATTTTTCTATAAGCCATAGAACAGATATCAGATCAATTTTCCTTTCTCTCTCTCTCTCTCTCTTTCTCCTTTCTCTCCTCCCTCCCTCCCTTCCTTTTTTATTTTTTTATTTTTTTATTTTTTTTTTGAGACAGAGTCTCACTCTGTTGCCCACACTGGAATGCAGTGTCGCAATCTCGGCTTACTGCAACCTCCATCTCCCAGGTTCAACTGATTCTCCTGCCTCAGCCTCCTGAGTAGCTGAGATTATAGGTGCCCACCACCACGGCCAGCTAATTTTTATAATTTTAGTAGAGATGGGGTTTCACCATGTTGGCCAGGCTGGTCTCGAACTCCTGACCTCAAGTGATCTACCTGCCTTGGCCTCCCAAAGTGTTGGGATTACAGGCATGAGTCACCATGCCCAGCCTTCAGATCAGTTTTCTAGGAGGGCTGTGGACATTGGTTTCACGTATGAAATGCAACTTTTGTTCTTTAACAGTGGGATTGTCATACCTGACAAAATGAAATTTATTCTCAAACATGGCACCTGAATTTGTCTTTGGTTGTACAATCAAATTGTCCAATTATATCCTGCTAAAAAACAAAAAGAGGACAAATTCTTACTGAATCTATAAATAAACTACACTTCCATTAAAAGCACAGAGATTCAGTAAATTATATTTGTTCCTAAATTTTGAGGTGTCAGTAAAAACAAGTTATTTAAATAATCCTTCCTTCCTTCCTTCCTTCCTTCCTTCCTTCCTTGCCTTCTTGCTTTCTTGCTTTCTTTTTCTTTCTTTCTTTGAGACAGGGTCTCACTCTGTCATCCAGGCTGGAGTGCAGTGGTACAATCATGGCTCACTGCAGCCTCAAACTTCTGGCCTCAAGCAATCCTGTCAGCTAAGATTCCCAAAGTGCTGGGATTACAGGCATGAGATACTGTACCCATCCAGAATGTTTTATTTCTACATACAAAAGCATAGACTACTAACTTAAAGGTTAGCAATAGATTAAGAAAAGGAAGGGCTTCATCACATAGCCATAATAAGATAAAACATTGAACATGAAAATGAAAACAAATAACCACAATTAGATCACCCTTACCAGTTAACTCAGTCCTGTGTAAGGTTCTGTTGGATCTTTGTTAGCAGTGGTTTACAAAAAGTCACTTGTTTCTGAAATAAAAAATGTCCTAGAAATCTTTTCTCTTAAACTCGTCTAAGTGATATCACCTCAGAAGCTTGTATCTATAAGTCTATTTCTTGAAGTAGTAATCATTAAACAGGATCTGTTGCAGTCATTTCCACTGGGTTTCTGAGACTGTTCTTTGTTGAAGACCCAATTTCTAGGCTATAGTTTATAAAAAAAAAAAAATCTTTCAGGCAAGCATGAAAAGAAATCAGAAATTACTTGCTAATAAGAATGGAGAAGACTGAAACCTATTAGGTTATAATATAAAACTATCACATATGGGTTAGATCAATGTTTCTCATAAGAGTATTCATCAGCCTCCTGAACCTTCTTGTAATGTATACAAATCTCTGAAAATCTAGGAAATGTTACTGCTTTGATTTGTCAACACCTCACATACAGCTTTCATGATAGTATTGGACTATCTAAGAAATATGGAGCATATGGCAGGGCGGGGTGGCCCACACCTGTAATCCCAGCACTTTGGGAGATCGGGGCAGTTGGATCACCTGAGGTCAGGAGTTCGAGACCAGCCTGACCAACATGGAGAAAGCCTGTCTCTACTACAAATACAAAATTGATAGACCATTAGCAAGATTAACCAAGAAAAGGACAGAATATCTAAATAAGCTCAATTAGAAGTGAAACGGAAGACATTACAACCAATACCACAGAAATACAAAAGACCATTCAAGGCTGCTGTGAACATCTTGAAATACACAAACTAGAAAACCTAGAGGTCATTGATAAATTCCTGGAAATATGCAATCCTCCTAGATTAAATCAGGAAGAAATAGAAACTCTGAACAGACAAATAACAAGTAGCAAGATGGAAACAGTAATTTAAAAACAGCCAATGATAAAAGTCCAGGACCAGATGACTTTATAGCTGAATTTTATCAAGTATTCAAATAATTGGTACCAATCTTACTGAAACTCCAAAAGATGGAGAAAGATGGAATTCTCCTTAAATCATTCTATGAAGCCAGTATCACTCTAATTCCAAAACCAAGAAAGGACATAACAAAAAAAGAAAACTACAGACCAATATTCATGATGAACATAGATGCAAAGGTCCTCAATAAAATACTGGCTAAATGAATTCAACAGCATATCAAAAAGATAATCCACCATGATCAACTGGGTTTTATACCAGGAATGCAGGGATAGTTTAACATATGCAAGTCAATAAATCTGATATACCACATAAACAGAATTAGAAACAAAACCATATGATCATCTCAATAGATGCAGAAAAAGCATTTGACAAAATCCAGCATCACTTTATGCATAAAACCCTCAGCAAAATTGGCATAGAAGGGACATACTTCAAGGAAATAAAAGCCATCAGTGACAAACCTACAGCCAACATTATACTGAATGGGGAAAAGTTGAAAGTATTCCCCCCTGAGAACTGGAACAAGACAAGGATTCCCACTTTCACCACTTCTATTCAACATAGTACTGGAAGTCCTAGCCAGAGCAATCAGACAAGAGAAAGAAATAAAGGGCATCCAAATCAGTAAAGAGGAAGTCAAACTGTCACTGATTGATGATGATGTGTTCATATACCTAGAAAACTCTAAAGACTCATTCAAAAAGCTGCTAGATCTGATAAATGAATTGAGTAAAGTTTCAGGATACAAAATCAATGTACCTGAATCAGTAGCACTGCTATACACCAACAATGACCAAGCTCAGAATAAAATCAAGAACTCAACCCCTTTTACAACAGCTGCAAAATAAATAAAATACTTAGAAATATACCTAACCAAGGAAGTGAAAAATATCTCTACAAGGACAACTATAAAACACTGCTGAAAGAAATCATGGATGACACAAACAAATAGAAACACATCCCATGCTCATGGATGGGTAAAATCAATATTATGAAAATGACCATACTGTCAAAAGCAATCTACAAATTCAATGAAATTCTCATCAAAATATCATTGCCATTCTTCACAGAACTAGGAAAAACAATCCTAAAATTCATATGGAACCAAATAAAGACCCTGCATAGCCAAAACAAGACTAAGCCACAAGAACAAATCTAGAGGCATCACATTACCTGACTTCAAACTATGCTACAAAGTTATAGTTACCAAAATAGCATGGTACTGATATAAAAATAGGCACATTGACCAATAGAACAGAATTGAGAACTCAGAAATAAAGCCAAATATTCATAGCCAACGGATCTTTGACAAAGCAAACAAAAATATAATGTGGGAAAAGGACACCCTATTCAACAAATGGTACTGGGATAATTGGCAAGCCACAAGTAGAAGAATGAAGCTGGATCTTCATCTTTCACCTTATACAAAAATCAACTCAAAATGGATCAAAGACTTAAATCTAAGACCTGAAATCATACAAATTTTAGAAAATAACACTGAAAAAACTCCTAGACATTGGCTTAGGCAGAGTTCATGACCAAGAATCCAAAAGCAAATGCAACAAAAACAAAGATAAATAGACGGAACTTAATTAAACTAAAAATCTTCTGCACAGCAAAAGAAATAATCAGCAGAGTAAACAGACAATCCACAGAATGGGAGAAAATTTTTGCAATGATGCATCTGACAAAGGACTAATATCCAAAATCTACAAGGAATTCAAACAAATCAGCAAGAAAAAAAAACTATCAAAAAGTGGGCAAAGGACATGAATAGACAATTCTCAAAAGAAGATATACGAATGGCCAAAAAACATATGAAAAAACACTCAGCACCACTAATTATCAGGGAAATGCAAATCAAAACCACCATGAGATACCACCTTACTCCTGCAAGAATGGCCATAATTTAAAAATAAAAAAATAACAGATGTTGGTGTGGATATGATGAAAAGAGAACACTTTTACACTGCTGGTGGGAATGTAAGCTAGTACAACCACTGTGGAAAACAGTATGGAGATTCCATAAAGAACTAAAAGTAGAACTACCATTTGATCCAGCAATCCCACTACTGGGTATCTACCAAGAAGAAAAGAAGTCATAATATGAAAAAGACACTTGCACACGCATGTTTGTAGTAGCACAATTCGCAATTGCAAAAATATGGAACCAGCCTAAATCCCCATTAACCGGGTGGATAAAGAAAATGTGGTGTATATATACCAAAGAATACTACTCAGCCATAAAAAAGGAACAAAATAATGGAATTTGCAGCAACCTGGACAGAGTTTGAGACCATTGTTCTAAGTGAGGTAACGCGGGAATGGAAAACCAAACATCCTATGTTCTCACTTATAAGTAGGAGCTAAGCTATGAGGATGCAGAGGCATAAGAATGATATAATGGACTTTGGGGACTCAGTGGGAAAGGAGGGAAGGGGGTAAGGGACAAAAGACTATACATTGGGTACAGTGTCACCACTAAAGAACTTTTCCATGCAACCAAACACCACCTTTTCCCCCAAAACTAGTGAAATAAAAATATAAACTATGTATGTATGTATAATTGACACTACAAATTTAGAAAAACAAATAATACAGTTTAAGTATATTTTGTAATTTTAAAAGATAACATTAAATTGTATTAATAAACCCATAAAAACTTAGGCAGCTTTGGCAAAATTTTAATAAATTTCAATGACTTATTTATGAGGCTCAATTATCTTCAGGTATTATAGTTCCAGACAAATAAAATTATCTTTTCATAAACCTTCTACTATTTCCTATATCAATTGGGGTTTTGTCCTTTACCATCCTCTTTCATGTTCAGGATCAAATTCTTTATTTCAAAATACAAATAATTTTTCTCTTTTTTTTTTTTTTTGAGACAGAGTCTTGTTCTGTCACCCAGGCTGGAGTGCAGTGGTGCCATCTAAGCTCACTGCAACTTTTACCTTCCGGGTTCAAGTGATCCTCCTACCTCAGCCTTCCAATTAGCTGGGAGTACAGGCACGTACCACCATGCCCAGCTAATTTTTTGTATTTTTAGTAGATACAGGGTTTCACCATGTTGGCCAGACTGGTCTCGAACTCCTGACCTCAAATAACCCACCCACCTTGGCCTCCCAAAGTGCTGGGATTACAGGTGTGAGCCCCTGCACGTGGCCTGATTTTCTGTTAATAAGCAGAAATACCTCTCACTGCATTGCAGAAACAGATGTACTTTTTCTATGCCCACTATTATTCCTAGTGTAGTATAGCCTCGAGAACTCATGTTAAATATAATTTTTTCCAAAGTAGGCCTGTTTTGTTCCACAGTGAAACCTGAAGATATCTTTAAAAAAAAAGATTTGAATGAATTTGTGATCCCAGTTTATATATAGCAGATTATTGTGAGTATTAGGAAGGCCTTATAGAAATGAGACACTTTATATTTTAGAGCTGAATTTAACAGGTTCTAGATAAAACCTATGCATACCTTCATGCAGGAAGGCTGGCCTAAGATGTCTCTACCCAGTGGATGCAGACATGCCTGGACGTGTTTGGGAACTGTGGAAGCAGCAAGGTAGGACTGATTCTCATACATCCTGGAGAGCCCAGGGAGCTTCTAGAAAGAATTCTCCATTCAGAAGAGGTTTGCAACTGCTTTTATATCTCAACACAACTGGATTAGTGTAGCTCATATGACAGTGCTCTCCAAAGAGGTAAGGGAGACGAACACCTCTACTAAGTCAACTAGGACTACTCTTGGCTATAAGTAATAGAAAACATGACTACACAGAAGCCGACATTATTCTTTTTTTTTGGAGATGGAATTTCACTCCGTCACCCAGGCTGGAGTGCAGTGGCACAATTTCAGCTCACTGCAACCTCCACCTCCCAGGTTCAAGCGATTCTTCTACCTCAACCTCCAAGTAGCTGGGATTCAGGCACCTGCCCTCATGCCCAGCTAATTTTTGTATTTTTAGTAGAGACGGGGTTTTACCATGTTGGCCAGGCTGGTCTTGAACTACTGACCACAGGTGATCCACCAGCCTCGGCCTCCCAAAGTGGCATGAGCCACTGCACCTGGCAAGCTCAGAGAATTTAAGGAAGATTTTTTTCCCTCACAAAGTAAGAAGTTCAGAAGAGGTAGTTCCTGGTATTAGTTTAGGGATTTGCAGACTTCAGGGCTGAGGTCTCTACATCTCCCTTGGACTTTTCCTCATGGTCAAAATATGGTTGCTGAACTTTCAGCCACTAAGTCCAAATTCCAGCCAGAAAGTAGAAAACAGGAATGGAGGAGAGAAAATGAGAACGAAGGGGCAATATTGTCATCAGAAAAGCAAAATGTTTCCCCCAAATGCCCAGTAGACTTTTGCTGATGGCTTATCAGTCAGGATGGGAACATTTGGACATTGTAGCTGAACAAATGGCTGCCCTGCTGAACTCAGGATTCTATTCATAAGGAAGAAGATGTGAATAAATATTGGAGATGTGTATCAGTCAGAAAACACCCCATTTCATGCAGTTCAAAGAGAAAGGGAGTTGATACAAAGAATCAAGTGCTTGTGCTTGCAAGATGGTTTAAAGGGCTAAAGGAAGGAAGGGAAGGGAAGGTCGGAGCAGGCTCTCGGGTTCACCGCCTGATTTCAGACACGGGAATGCCACGACCACAGAAAACCACCACTGATGACTAGAACTACCTGCAACACCAAGACAGGTGATTCACAGGGGAAAATCAGAGGCGGCTGCAAAACAAACCCAAATGTGTCTGCCCACCACTGCTGAAGGAACCCTTTGGCGTCTGTTCCCCTTCTATCTTCCAATTCTCAGTGAGTGCCTCTCATCGGGAAATTTAAACCAGAAGCCTGCTGGCAACAGATTCTGGGAAATATAGTTCCCAGTCTTCCAGCCCCTACATTACAGAGGAGTTGGTGAGTACCACAAACTTGTCTGGCACAGTGGGTAACTGGCAGTGTACTACATCAATGCAGGGTAGAGGCATCAAAATCTGTGTGTGTGTGTGTGTGTGTGTGTGTGTGTAAAGGTTGGGAATGCCCCCAGGTGCTCCCACTATGGGCCACCTTTGAGAGTCACTTCTTTAAGGAAAGAGAGGTACAAATGCATATGTTCAATGCAAGGACAATAGGTTATCTCCAGAGGGGTGTGGACATTCTGAAAATAATTTGCATGTGTGCAGTTTAGATCATTCTGTCCTTTTGCGTGTTCCTTTACCCCATGCTCTCCAACACAAGTTACCTGTACCTGTGCCAGAGGTCCCAAGAAAGGGGGCTGGGAGAGAAAAACGATTGTGTTACTAGGGCCAAAGCGGATCCTCCTGGGCTGTTGATTGGGAGAAGGATGCTTTGCTCACTTTAGGCCATCTGCACTCAGCAACAAGACGGCTGTGAGCAGCCTGTGAGCTACATGGCCAATATTAGAAGCAGAAGAAGGCCTCCACGAAAGAACCACTGAGTCACCACAGCCTCCATGTGGAGTGATGGCCTTGGAGTCAGAGACCTATGTGTCCGTGACACTAGAAGATGTCACAGAGTGGTCATATGACTGGTTGAGGAGCCTGGGAAGGGATCTGGGGAACAGTTGTTAAAATTCTGTGCTATGGAAATACTCTTTTATTACATTATTATGTATTATTACTGTGGCCCGCTCTCCAAAGATAAGGATCAAACCTCACCTTCCAGGAACCTGTCTGTATGAAACTTACTACGCAAACTGTGACGAGCTGCTCCTGGCAGAAAACTAGATTTTGTGGGAGGGTGAGGATGAGAGAGAGGGGAGAGATGGAAGTGGCGAGGGGTGAGTCCCTGGTTCCTCTCTTTCTGGTGTAGCCTGGGAGTAGCTGAGCCTCACCATTGCTTTCTGTGTTTTGAAAACACGAACTTATTTAAAGGGGATTTGAAAAATACTTGGTTAGTGGTTGCAGGGATTTCCGCAGAAGGGCTCCGAGGAGCCAAAAGCATCATGGGCTTCAGAACGTTGGAATGGTCGCTACATGTGCTGCAGTTGACCTCAGAGGCTGCAGAGGTTTGCAGAGCATAAGTAGCTCTTTTTAGGTAATATGGAGCAAGTAAGACCAGTGGCTTTGGAGCCAAACCTTAAAGTGGATGTGAACTCGTCAGCAGAGCCAAAGCAGAGGTTTCTAGAATGATGTGATGTCATGACTGAGAAGAGTTCAATTCAGTTACATGGTCATCTGGTCACAATTCTGAGTTATGGCTGGAGTACAGCCTTGGCTTTATGAGCCAGAGAGAGGAAAGGAGGGAAGGGAAGGAGCAACAAGAAAGAAAAGGAGGAAGTGGCACACGGGAGCCTGGACAGAGCCTGGGATTGGCGTCCTGGCTTCCATCCCTGGAGAGGACTGTTGAGGGGCTTAGGGGTGTGGCAGCTGCCTTGTGGGAGGGGAGCCCAGAGCCACAGGGAATGCTATGCTGTGGGTTAGGGGTCTCAGGCTTCTGGTTGAGGAAGTCATCTCCCCAAGGTGGATACAGCTGGCAGTAGCTGCCAAGGACGTCACCATGGAGTATATGAGGACAGGGCCCACCTCTGCCGACGGCTCCCCTTTTTTTTCTAGGAAACCAGGGGGTGTCGAGCCTGCTGTAACCCTTCCTGGAAAGGTCTGGGAACCTCAAGTGGAGCCAGGCCTGCTGGCCCAGAGGGCCTCTCTCAAGTCAAGATGCTGGCTAATAAATAGCTGAGTTGAAGCAGAAAAAATGAAAGGAGAAGGGGCCCCTTCAATGCTAGATGCCTCTTAGGTATTTGGGGGTGGGGGCAGGTCCCATTTAGAGGAAGGAGCCAGAACTCTGGGCAGGACCTACCACCCGGCACTCTCCACTGAGCCCCTCCAAGGGGCAGATTTAGATTCCACTTGAGAAAATTGGGAGTCCTCCAGAGTTGACCTTCAGCAAACCACAGGGTGACCCGGCAACCGCAAGACTGAGATTGGAGAGCAGGGACACGTTAGGTCAGAGAATCTGCACAGACTTAAAAGAGCAGCTGTCACAGCAGGGACGACGTGCGAAGGGTCAGACTGGGGGACAATAGGAAGGGGGCGTCCAGCGCAGCTGAGGATGCCATAGGCTGCCTGGGTAGCCAGGGGGCAAAGCAAAAGCCAGAGGCTGAATCATGGGACCCAGATGAATGCACTACTGCAGGCGGAGGAAGGGAGGTGGGGAAAAGCTGCTGGAAAAACCTCACTGTTCATGTCAAAATGACTGCTGTCAGATGACTGGATATTCCACAACTGGTGTCTCCATTCAACAAATAGTAAGCACACCTACTATGTGCAGAGGCTGGCGGGGAAACAAGGATAAATAAAACAGATGAATCCAGGGAGGGAGAGACGGTGCACACAAGGATAAACAATTCTCGCAGCGTCCTGTGGGGACAGGAGTCAGACCCTCTTCTTTCCCCTCTGCCAGGGGCACAGTCGCAGTCTCTGAGTGCTGTGGTGTGTGCTGCTACGTGCCACTCACGTGCACTGTTCTTTACCCACCATGCTCCACCCCTGAGCTTGGTTTTACTGTCCTATTGTGGGGATGAGAAAAGGGAGGCCTAGAGAAAGACAGAGAGGTAGAAGAGCCCAAGGCCCCATGGCTGGTCATTGGAGAGGGGGTAGAAGGCTCATGCTTGACCTTGGCTTAACAACTCCATCCCTAGGGCCTTGTCTCCCTTTGGACAAGGAGGTAAAAAACAGCCTCATGCTCTTCCTCCTCTGCTCACACTCCTCCTTTCCAGAACTCACTGTTACAACTTTATAATGGCTGACTACGCATTTGGGTCATGTCTCCAAGTGCCTACCTCATTTTTGCCTTTTTTAGGAGTTATAAATAATAATAATAGTAATATTAAGATGAACTTTCTGACCTTAAGGAGCATATACTCTAAGGGAAAGTCTGACTGCACACCTGTGAATTAACTTGAGAATAGTTTCAAAGCCACTAGCCCCCGTGGGGAAAATGAAAAGCACATCTACTAAGAGACACCAAACAAAATGAGGCATCAAGGTGGAGTTGGGGTAATCAGGGAAGGCTTCCTGAAGGAGGTGGGTTTAAAAGGGAAATGTAGAGGATGCACTGTACCCAGTTATGAGAGACTACATTCTGAGAAGGTGTGAGCTGGTCACAAAAGGACGGATCTGGGGAAGAGAGTGATCTGGAAGCCAGGAGTCAAGGAGGGAAGAAATTAGATTTGCTTTAATTTGAGCAGATGGTCTGCAGAGGAGAGTAACCAAGGATGGGCTTGGAGAGACCCTGTGATTGCACTTGAAGGAGAGCTGGGGGCACCAGGGAGACCTAGAATACCCTGTGGGTTAAAACAACAAACGAAAAACCCTTCTGATGGTTTGTTGCCATGGTCACACCTATCATGATGAAATGCTGGCTCACTCTTTCTCATGGGATCTTAATGCTCTCAGCCGCACAGCCCTAAGTGTGGGGAGATTCAGAACTATTGTTCAGTGATGCATCCGACAGGTGAGAATCTGTACCTTGTCTGCACAAGCCTGCAGAACTTTGTAGAGAAATGACTTTAAACAATGACTGTGGGCCTCCAGCTTCGCACATGCTCAGAAGTCACCCCTTGTCTCAGTGGCAGGCTGGTAAATATTCCTGGCTCTCCAGGGAAGAAAGCCCTGATTTGTAGTGGTTACCAATTTCTGTAGTACAAGTACACCCTCTGTGGCTTATTTCAAGCCACCAACACAAAGTTGCTGATAGCAGAGCTGGAATGTGATGTGCACAGTCAGCTCTGGAAAGCTGGTACCTGCCAGCTGCAGCCCACCACTGTCTGTGTTCATCTCACATTGGCCTGGCTAACTCCCACCCCCTCTTGATTCTGGCTTTTCCTTACTCTGCACACCCCCACCCAGACCACATCAGAGGCTCTCAGAGCCCACACCACCTCCATGTGTCCTTCAGAGCATATATCACAAAGCGTGACAATGCACTTATTTTTGTGACTCTCTGATATTGTCCCTCTCCCCACTAGATTATGAGTTTCATGAAGACAGGGCCATGAGTCTTTGTTCCCATGCACAGTGCCTGGCATTCGTACAAGATGAGTGTGAAATTGTTAAATGAAGGAAGGGAAGGAATCACAAACATTCTTTCTAGATTTAGTGGATTTAGTCATTTGACAGAGTCACTTTGACCCCCACCTCTGGGACTGCAGATCCATTACATGACATTATTTCACTCTTGGGGGTGCCACACAGACATACGGGTAGAAAGAGATCATGGAAAAAGGAATAGGACAGGCAGAGGGCATGGGTGTGGCTGGTGAGAACTCGCAGGAAGAGAACACTGAGCCTCCTTGGTAAATGAGTTGGGCTTAATCAAATCTTGGCTCTGAGCTTCTTTCCATGGGAACAAAGGAGACTACGGAAAGAAAACATTAAGCTGTGATGTTCCCCTTCCTGTGTCCAAGTGTTCTCATTGTTCAATTCCCACCTATGAGTGAGAACATGCGGTGTTTGGTTTTTTGTCCTTGAGATAGTTTGCTGAGAAAGATGGTTTCCAGCTTCATCCACGTCCCTACAAAGGACATGAACTCATCAACATGGCGTATGTGTACATATGTAACAAACCTGCACGCTGCGCACATGTACCCTAGAACTTAAAGTATAATAATAATTTTTTTAAAAAAAAGAAAGAAACTTTAAGCTGTGAACTGTCGCAATCACTCCTGATTGTCTTGGCTTGACAGGAGTTCTGAAACCACCTCATACTTGGAATAGAAGCCATGTGAAAACAAAGCCCCTGCATCACTCCTATCTGCCTGGAATGCTGTTGTGTGAAGGTGTAATGTTTGAAGCTGTGGCTGCCATCTTGTGACAAAGGGGCACTCCGTGTTGTCAGGATGAGGACGGCAGAGGAAGATGCTGGGGAAAGCCTGGATCTGCGGACATCTCTGAACCACTACGTCCTGGGACCAGCTATCTGGGCTTCCTGTTTTGTGAGATAATTTCACGTATTTATGATAAAATTATTAAAATTTGGGTATCCTGTTATACACAGCCAGAACTGTTCCTAACTGATACATCCCATTAAGTGGAATCAAACGCCTGTGTCACAATTGGGAACCTCCCTCATGACGCCTGGGTTGCATCATGGGGCCACTCTGGACAGGCAGGGGCTGGAGTTAGATGGAGCCTCCACCTCTGGATAAGATAGAGAGACAAGAGGAGAAGCAAGGGGGAGGCCGGGCGGGGCAGCTCCCCCAGCTCACAGGAGGCTTCTGTCTCACCCCTTCTCTCTGAAGCAGTGGAGTCATGTGGGTGCCAAACAGGTGTGCCTGGACCACCAAGGCCCTCCGTGGCCCAGTGAGGGATGGACAGAGGAGGAGACAGAGAGGGGATAAGGGATCTTGGCACTAAGCCCTGGAGTGTGTGTGCACACGTGCGTGCATGAGTGTGTATGTGTGTGTGCATGACTCTAGAATAGATCACACACAGACACACTGAGACACACACCCTGGAGCAGGGACAGTCAGCTGACAGGCAGGCATGACCCTGAGCAGCTCTGCCATGCCAGCCCTGGGTTTCTTGCAGGGGTGACGTGTCATCCATCCCTTTTGGAAGTGGAGTCATGGGGGCAGGGAGATCATGCCTCCAGATAAGGGTCCAAGCTGGTGGATACCTTCACTCCAGGAGAATGAAGGCAGGGAAAAGTGTTCATGGAGCGGAAACTGGGATGTTCCCTCAGCTCTTCGGACTAGGGCTTGTACACTTTCTTTTGACTCCTATCATGCCCCTCCTGACACTATGTTCTAGGGGTAACTCATCCTTCTCTACAGCTAAACTGTGAGGCAGGGACAGAGACAGGGCCTAGCACTCCTGGCAGTGGTGCACACAGTTGATGCACGAGTGAAGAGATACTATTTTGTCACTGTTATGTGGGGGCTGTGATACCCCTAGGCTGCGGTGGCTTGTGATGTTACTCATGACATCTACTTAGTGTGTGTTATATTCCAGGAATAGTGCAATGCAGGCACCCAGCATGTGCGTATGTGCGGGTCTGTGTGTGTGTGCATGTATGCGTGTGCACATGTGCATGTGTGTGCATAGGGTAGGGAATGATGCTGTCACCAGTTACCACCTCTTCTCTATCCTTTGTCTTTTGAGATCTTTTTTTTTAAGCCCATACATGGAATTCCAGCTGTAGGTCAACACATGCTACAAGAAAATTTTTTTTAATAAAAGCTTGCCACAAGTTACATGAAAACATGGCCCATTCTAATCACAGAGGGGCTTAAAAGCAGAAAACTTTCTCTGGCTGGAGTCAGAGAGATGAGGCAGGGGAGAAAGGCAGAAGAGATATGGCTGAGGGAAGTCAGAGAGATTGGAAGTGTGAGAAGAACTTGACCCACTTTTGCTGTTTGAAGATGGAGGGAGCAGTGGCGAGAGTGGCTTTACAGAGCAGAGAGAGGCTCTTGGATGACATCAGAAAGGGGCTAGATCCTGAATTCTCTTCCACAGCCTCTGGATCAGGGCCCAGGCTAGTGGATACCTTGATTTTGGACCGTGAGACCCTAAGCTGAGCCATGCTGTACCAGACTTCCGCCCTACAGAACTGTGATATAATAAGTGGGTGTTGTTTTAAGCCACAGAGTTCGTGGTTCCACAGCAATGGGAGATAATCCATCCTCCCATCTGGCTTTGCAGAGGCCCCTGGGTGCCAGTCTGTCTTGGGCGGTTCCTTAGCCTCTCTTGGGTGCTTCTTAGTCCTTGGCCTGGGAACCAAGAAACTAATTCCTGCTAATACGTAAGTAGCAGTGACATGGATGTCTTTTAGCTGAGGCTTTGGAGGGGATTTAACAGGAGACTCACAGGCATTCACATGGGTTGGAGGTGACAGTGCAAACCAAGCCAACAGAGCCGACTCTTCTCCCAGCTCAGCCTCTGCTCACAAATCTCATTTCTGATATTACTTCTGAGGGATCCAGTCACAGGAAGCAGCCTACAGGCTAAGCAGCTCTTTGAGGCTGACTCAGCCAGCGGCCTTATGGGATTTAAAGCCCAGGCTCCAGAGTGTCTAGGACTGGGACAGGAGACCACAAAACCAGCATCCCCACTGCGTCCAGCCAGGTCCTACCTGCCAATAAATGCCTCCTTCTGCTAAGCGGTGACTGCTTTTGTTTGCCAGAAGTCATCTCATTGAAGCTTGTAATCGTCTTCTCTCCTCCTCCAGGGAGACCACCAGCTTGGGAGACAGAGGTCTATATGGCCTGCACCGGCTCTCCCTCCTGCCTCTGCAGACTCAGTAGGCACAGCCTCACCCCTGAGTATCCGAGTCACTGACGAACATGCTCAGTGGGCCAAGGCTGAGGGCATCTTTGTTGGAATGTTTGGTTCCAATGTTCTAGGTGGCAAACTCCATGCCCTGTGGCCCTCCTCAAGGACGTGCCCCTCCAGGGTAACACCAACCCAGTCACTGCTTCCCCTTGAAGACAGTCATTCAACCAGTCACTGTCCCAACCACACAGTATAGTTCTCTGGTCTTGTCCAGAAACCCCGTATCTACTGTCTTTTACTGATATGCTAATCCTGGCACCCTGCCAGGAGGGCAACATGGATGCATGGACACACTCTCTCCCAGTGCATTCATGCTTCTCTCCAGGGGGCACTCCCAGGAGAAGCAGTGTGGCGCAGCAGTTAGGGCACAGCCCTGGAGCCAGGTGCCTCGGTGTGGATCCTGGCTCTGCTACTTGCTACCTGCGTGGCACTGGGCAAAGCTGTTAACCACATTCTCTGTCTCAATATCCTCATCTGCAGAGTCCAAGTAATCATCATAGCCAATTAAATACTATTTGGCCATAAAAAAGAATGAGATCCTGTCATTTGCTGAGCATACATGGGTGAAACTGGAGGTCATTATGGTAAGCGAAATGAGCCAGATATGGAAAGACAAACATCGCATGTTCTCACTCATGTGTGGGAGCTTTTTAAAAAGTTGATCTTGTGGACGTGAAGAGTAGAATGATAGAATGCCAGAGGCCAGGAAGGTTGTGGGTATGGGGTGTGGAGGACGAAGAGAGGTTGGTTAATGGATACAAACATACAGTTAGAGAGAAGGAATAAGTTCTAATGCTCAGTAGTAGAGTAGGGTGACTGTAGTTAAAAACAATGTATTGTACATTTCAAAATAGCTAAAAGTGAGGACTTGAAATGTTCTCAACCCATACAAATGGTAAATACTTGAGTCAGTAGTTACCCTAAATACCCTGACTCAATAATTACACATTCTATGCATGTAACAAAGTATCATTTGTACAAATGTTATTTGTCAATAAAAATCATCATACCAATTTCGTAAGGTGGTTATGAGCACTGAATTAGTAATAGCACATGTAAAGCTCAAATGTTAGCTAGTTTTATTACTATTTATTTCTCTAGGTATTGGCAAGCCCTACTTAATAATCTGTTCTACATCCTGTCCACAAGGGGTTGAGCTCATGGTTGTTATCCGCTTTGGCTGAATACTCCAGGAGTATCCTGGTTTCTGCTGGGCAGGTCTCGTTACAATCAGGAGGTGCACCGGTTATTTTTTTTAATGCACCTCCTCTCAGGTTTGAGAAGAATGATAGGGACACATCTAGACAATGAGCAGAAGCTTTCAGACCTCAGGCAAAGGGAGACTGTTAGGTCCCAACACACTAGAATGCAAACTCCCAACAGGTGGCAACCCTGCCCCTCTCAGTGTCTGAATTCTTCCTAGGATCTAGCACGTTGCCAAACACAAAGTGCTCCATTCACATTTTCTGAATGAATGAATGAACAGGGGGATAGCACACACTAAAAGACAACGTGCTTTGGACTCTTTTGATGGGAAGTCTGCATCTCACAGTTACACTCTTTGAAAGACTGAATTTTTGGTAAAGTTTGACCCTAACCTGCTTCGCAAGCCATTTTGTAAATATCCACTGAGTTATCTGGCACCCTGCCGGTCCCTCACCCTGTGACCCACTCTGAGGCTTGGGTCTGCAGCTGAGCTTCGGAGAGAAAGGTACTCAGAGGTCCAGCTGTCCTCCAGGGAGGAGGTGGCCTGTTTGCCAGGGCAGTGGCCCATTGTCACCCTTTGTGGTGGAGAATCAGGGCAGTTGATCTTTGTGGGACCTTTGCCCTCAGAGGTGCCCACTCTGCCCTAGGTAATCTCTCCAGAGCGGAACTAGATTTGGAAGCTGGGGAGACATTGGTGACTAATGAATGACTTAAGGGTGGAAAGGAGATTTGCATACAGGTAGGATGTGCCTCTGTGGGCTAGATTGAGGCAGTTTAGAAGTCTAATAATAGGCTTTCCAACAGGTAGACTTCTGAGGTCTCGCATGCTTCCGGTGCCTGGGGTTGACTCATCTTTCCAGTGCCTCAGGCAGGTTCCCATAAAGGTGCAATCCCATAGGGAATTCAAACACTGGATTTGCTGTCACTTATGGATGAGGATTGCAGCTCTGTGTCGAGGCTTTCAGCATAGCTCCTGACTTAGACATGACCTTGACCTGGTTGAGATTATAGCATCTTCCTGAGCCAGGGCTTTGAGCTGGAGTTCTGTCCCCGAGCCTGCCCCACCACCCACTTCCCTGCTTGCCCTTTATAGCTTGACTCTTGCAGCTGCTGAGGAAATGTTAAGTGTCTCAAGGCACGGAAACAGAAGGTGCACCATAAAGCCCTTCACAGAAGATTTTGTTAGGAAGTCTGGAGCAAACGTGGTCTTCCTTCTGGCTCCCCTCTCAGAAAAAATGCCCAGCCTCCATCTACTCCTTCTTCTCCCCACCCCCAGCCCATGTAAACCCCTGAATTTCTTCCTCTTTTCATTTTTTCCTGCCACCCAGTCCAAGATGTGACCATTTTTCTCCTGGAAAAGCCTCATGGAGGACACCTTGCTTTCCACACTTGTCCCTGTAATCCATTCTCTACATAGCAGCCAGAGGATATTTTAAAAATGCAAATTGGATTGTGTTGCTCCCCCTTAGAAATCCTCCAATGGCTTCCCATTGCTCCAAGGATAAAAATCCAAGTCTTTAACCCAGCCAATGAGGTTCTACATGGTTTGGACCTCACTCCAGCCCTCCTTTGCCTATTCCTCATTACACACATCTGAGTTTTGAATTATATATTGGTGGAATGATTTGAGTAGAGAGTAGGCAGGGCACCTCGTATGTCCAGACAGTTTGTGCACTGCACAGTTCCAGAGCATGGGGGGCATTTACACAGATTAGGATGTGACTAGGCACATGAAATTGTGCAGTGCACAACCTGCATGACCATACCTGGCTGCCTAGTTGTGTTTTCAGCTCCTGGCAGAGTACCTGGCACTTGGTAGGTGCTCAGTAAATATCAGTTGAATGAATTGATGTTGATGCAAGTTGAACTGGCATAATATGAGCATCCTGTAAATTTTCTTGAACCCCAGATATAATCAACAAATCCTAGAATGTTACAGACGCAATGCAGAGAGATTCTTGAAATATTTTTATTGGCAGTTGATCATGATAGCATTAACCTTTATCAATCATTAATTTCTGACACAGTCCTAGGTTCCTTGCATGGTTTATTGCAGTCAGTCCTCAAAACAAACCCATGAAATGAGCCTGATTATTATTTTCTTATTACAAAGGAGGAAATCATTTCCCAAGGGGTAAACTACACAGGTCCTAAGTGGCAACACCAGGATTGGAACCAGTGCTGTCTGACTCCAAAGCCCACGCTCCTGCCTTCAAGCCCGACACCAATGTTCAGGGTCAAGACTATTCCTTTATTTACTCCCAGAATCTTGCTTAGTACTTTGTTAGCGAACTAAAAGCTTTTCATAGCCGTGTGCCTGCCAGCTCTGAGTGTGTTACCTGGAACAAGCTCTCCTAGGATGCCCGGGGGCAGATGAGGGGATCAGCCACATGCCCATGGGCCCTGACTCACCAGCAACTTGAGAACAAGAAGAAGCTCAGCAGGTCACCTGAAACCTTTGTACTGGCCTCTGGCTCAAATGCAACACAAAGAGCTTTTTGCTTCTAGCAGACAGCAGTGGTAGGGTGGTTGGGGAACAGACAGCCTACTCCTGAGATCTGTGGCTTAAAAATTCTCATAATTATTGTTACCACATATCAGTTGTCCAGGCATCTGGACAGATGTGGGGTCCAGGCACCATGCAGACTCTCCTGCATATGTTAATTCCCTGAAAGGCAGGAAGAATTATGCCTAGTTTACAGCTGGGAAAACTGAGGCTCATTGAGATTAAGCAACTTGTTAAAGCTTCCTTAACCTGAGAGTGGCAGATCTGATATCCAAATAGGGTCTGTCAGTATCTAAATGCCATGCTTTCACTAGGACGCCCTGAGGCTCAGATTGTACCTAAGACCAAAGACCAGGTCACTGGGAGGCAGACAATGTGATGGCTCCCAGCCCACCCCTACCCCATCCCCCATCCTCTCCCACAGTAGGGCAGCATGCTGCTTTGGTGGAAATCATCCCTCTCCTAGCTCCATAAGCCAGTCCATGTAGTTTCATCCCCCTTGCCACAGTGATTTATTTGTTCCGGGATGGGAAGGAACTTAGGCTCAAGCCCATCAGTGCTTGACACTCTCCTGGCCATAATGTCTGTCTGAGGCTGGCTAAATCAGAGTGAAGCACAGGACTCGTGTTAAATATTTGGGGGTGGGGTGGGAGAGCTCTCTCTCTCTCACACTCCACAGTGTGGTATGCGGATGTGAGGCCCAGAACAATTGCAGCTGTTTTGCCACCATCTGAGAAATCAGGATGAAATGAAGCCAAATCATCAAAAAGGACAGAACTGGGCAGATCACAGAGAAATGGAGACATAGCCCTGATCAAACCATTCCTGCAAGTTGAACCACTCCTGGCCTTTCCATTGCATTTTCTAATATGTTATTCCCTTACTGTTCAAGTCGGTTTTTGAGCTAAGTTTTCTATTCATTGCAATAGAAATGATCATATCCAGAATCTACAGAAAATTGGCCTGGGTTGGTTTTCATCAGACCAGCCTCTACTAAAAGGAACTGGTTGCGGATGAGGTGAAGCAGCTGTGTGCAGGGCCGAAGGTGCAGGGATGCAAAGGGAGCAGGGTATGGTGGGGAAGTGTAAGGGAGGGGAGGGGTGGGGGGCTGAGGGAGAGGAGGGGGAGAGAAGAACTGAGGGGCTGGGGATTGAGAGTGTAAGAGACATTAGAGGAATTAGGGGTGTAAGGGGGCTAGGAGAATTTGGGAGGAGTGGAGGGTGGGGTAAAGAGATAAGTAAGGTGAGGGGTGAGAGAGCAAGGGGGTGAAGGAGGTGAGGATGCTGAAGGAGATGAGGGGGTAAGGGAGTGAAGGGGGTGAGGAAATTAAGGAGGGGAGGAGTTGGGAGGGGGCCTCCTAGGGGCCGTCCCAGGCCAGAGCTGCCAGGAGCACTCCTCTGGCTGCTGGGGACCCTGTTCCCACTGGGCAGGGGAGGCATCCTGCCTCGAGCCGTGGGGGGAACCAGAAGTCATGGAGGGAACCTGAAGTGGGAAGGCTGAACACATTGATGTAAATCGTTGCCCTCCATGTTTTCAGTTCCTTGTTGCTGAGAAATGGAGACTAGCCCTGATCAAACCATTTCTCTGCAACAAGAAAGGATTGAGCCCTGGGCTTTCAACCCTTGTTCCAAAGAACTAAGCATAGAAAGAATTCACCTGCTTCAAAGAGAGGGGATATTTTTGGAACTAAAACACTCCCCTTCCTCTTGCCTTAACCTTTTGCCCGGAGAGCACTGGGAAGCCTTGGTGAGGCTGCAGAGAAGGAAGGTGGACCCCACTGTGCACTGACTCCATCTGTGAAAATCTTGAATTACAAAGGAAAGCAGAGAAGACAGTATGATCACAAAAGGCTTCTTCCCATGATAAAAGGAGGTTCTGCAGTAGTCTTGTGAATAGTGAGCTGTCGAAGTGTCTTTAAAATCATATCTCAATTTACAGGAATCTGGCCTCATTTTACAGAATCCATCACCATTAGTAAGCAAGGCACACCCAAAGATAGGGTGCACCTAATGAGGACAAGGGCCCAAATTAGCCTTCTCTCTGGTCCTTGCCTCAGTTTCTCATTATCAAATCTGTCCTGAGGTTGTGCAGTCAGGGCCTCTCAAAACGCTCTGGCCCGCTGGACCTCCTGTCTTTAAAAAGACACACACACCTTTGTTCCTTCACCAGTGCATCCTTTTCTCAGACCTTTAGGTCATGGGAAAATGGTAGACAACTTGAAAATCTGCCCAAATCTGGCTCTGCAGCTTGAGTTATGTTTCTTAACCTCTCTGAGCTTCAGTGTACTCCTCTCTTAGTAGGTACTATGTCACAAGGCAGTTGTTGTATTAAACAAGAAAAATGCAAGTCAAAACACAAAACTTGATACTAGTAGATGTTGAATAAATTGTTTAAAGAAAAGAATACATCTGTGCAATGTACGGAAGGATGGATTGAACAAAGTGCTTAATTGCAGACAACAGAGTCTACTCTAGCTATTGACATGAAAATGAGTTTATTACAGAGTATGTGGGAGTTTGCAAAGTTTCTTGGGAGGCCCAGGAACCAAGCCAGGATGCTGCCCAACCAAAAACAATGCAGACTAGACAAATACCCAACCACACCACAGGACAATTTCAGCAGAAACTCTACACCCATGATGTTGGGAACCAGTCAGGATGGTTCCAGAAAAAACAAACATGTCCCCAGGGGATCCAATGTACCCACACTTGGCCACCACTCATGTTGCTCGCTGCCATCTTTCCTGCCACATGTGAGGCTGCCATTTGCTATACCTGCGCCATTAGCAGGTAACTCTGGCTGCAGAGAACCAACCCCTCATATTTGGGAAAGTCAGAGAGGCTGGTTTAGGCAGATGTTTAGTGAAGCAGCCTGCAGTGTTCACCATGTTGGGGCATCTCAGAACCCCTTGTTGTCCAGGTCTGGAAAGAGCCAACAATGTTGGGGGGTCCCATGCTGTCCCCACCACTGGTCTGTGCCCAGGAGCTACAGCATTCAATCTCTGTCATGCTCTTTAACCTGGCACCAACAGCTTCCCAGAATCCAGCCCAAACTACCACCTTGGCCTTGCCTTCCTCCTCTTGTTTACAGGACTCCTCTCTTTCAGGCAGCCCAGCCTACTCACTGGCTTCTGCCTCCTGAGATCCTGCAGGACATTGGGGGAAGGTGGACACTATGCATGCAGGCACACAAAGCCTTGATTTCAAGTTCCAGCCCTGTTATTTGTCTTCTAGCTATGGGACTGGGATGAATGATTTCCCTCTGGCCTTTAAATCCCTCACCTACCATTGCGTGATCATCACAACACCTCCCACTGCTGCGAGACTCCAAAGAAGGGCTAGGTGGAAAAAGCACTTGGTACATTGAAGAGCGCTCATATGGTCACTCAGAGCTTTCTCATCCTTCAAGGTTCAGCTCAAAACTGACTTCGCCGCCAACGCTGCCTGGATCCTGACTCTGTTGGGATTGTTCTCAGAGCCTGCTCAGTGTACTTGGAAATGTCCTTCAAAGCCTGCTAACTCTCATCATTTCAGGGTTGATCTGATATTTAGAAGCAACTGAAAATCATTTGAAGCCAATCCCAGTGAATTAGGTGAGTAATCAAACTGGGTAATGAAATTTTTTGGTCAATAACGAGGTGGGACGGAGTGGTTTATTTTTTTTTCCATGTGGCCCACACAAATGGACTCTGAAGGCAATTCCAAAAGAGATGCCACAAGGAACTTGAGCGATGGCAACTCCACTGGAATTGGATGGAGCCTTCCAGTGGAATGTCTTTGGAGTCCTACTCTGTTTGCTGAAAAAACACAGTCATTATTTTATAATCACATCTTACATAAACATCAGCTTTTCTCTACTGGCTTTGAAACTGGCATGTATAAACAATGTTCCCTCAATTTATTTTGAGTAAATGACCATAGTCAACAAGCAAGAATCTATAAAGATGGAATATATGTATTTGGAATTTTAGTGTTGTAATTAAATCAAACGTACAGCGAAGGTTATCTGATGCATAATTAATCATTTGCATAGTTGTTGCTATGTGGCTTGGTAATAAGGTATAAATGTTCTTTGCCTAATTTTGGCACAACAAACTCAGGCATTTTGGACGTTGGCTGGGATGGGGAGAGAGGGGGAAATGCGGGTACGGGGGATGGGGCAGGCTTAGCTCTCCAGCCCTCTCTGCCACTCCCTCCCCAGCAGGTCTCATCTGGGCACAGGAGACCGCTTGGCCTCAAGCTAAGATGTAGTTTCAAGACTGAGCCCGTGGGCCAGGACTCTGAGAGCAGTGGGCCGTGGATGCTGCCAGTTCTGTCTTCCGGAAGAAGAAAAATGAGTTAGAGGTTGGGAAGATGTTTCTGGGGCCCAGGAGGCAGTCAGCTCCTGCTTGGAAGGTTGATGAATCCAGAAGTGAATCTGGCTTGCCCCCTCTCTGGGTAGGTGACCTTGGGCTGCTTAGTAACCTCCCTGAACCTCAGCGGTTTCCTGATTCAATGGCAGGGTTCCTGGGGCATAATGAAAAACTCTAGGTGCATAGTAGGCACTCCATGAAAGAAGTCTTGGTCTCTTTCCCCAGGGACGCTGGAGGCAGGGTGAGGGTGGTGGCGGCACAGCAAGTCAAGGATGTCACTTAGCCATCTGTCGGCAGGGGTAGGAACTGCAAAGGGCTTTGGGAAGGCTGGCAGAGCTCTTCAGATGAGATGCTCCCTCTTCTCTCTTTCTCGTCCCTTTTATTATCACATATCACATTCCTAACGCCAGCATTCAGGAACAGCTGGTTTTATGGAGGCAGAGGAAAGAAGGACTCCCTCAAGAGATAATCATGGGGCATGGCTGGCTTGTGAAAGTCCCAGGGGCTCAGCGCTGTGTGGGGCCAGAGCAGGCTTAGCAGGGCAGGGCCAAGGAGGCTGAACAGTGGGCCCTGGAGGAGCGGAGTCCTTGAAGTGCAAGAGAAGGGAGGGGCCCACCTGCAGGGAGAAAAGAGGGAAGGCACCTCGGCAAAATGGGGCTCTGCTGTACCTTGTTCTTTAACCCTGTGATGGTTGACAAGCTATTTCTGTGCACTCTGAAGGGGTGCCCTTGGTTTGGGGAACTGACAAAAGGCAGACACTGGGGGATGAATCAAAGGTGTGTGGGGCAAAGGAAGGGCTTCAACTAGATGGGAACTGGCCTCCCAGATTCTGCACCATGCAGAGATCCAGGGGAACCTGGCCTGCAAATCCTGTAACTTGGCTGGGTTTTATTCAAGGTGGGCGGTCTAGTCCTGGTGGTAGGAGGAGGGAGGAGAAACACATTCAAGTTGTGTTGCTTATTAATGGGAAAGATCCTTTCTCTGGAGACACATAGAAAGAGGAAGAGGAAAACAGCCACAGGTCTGAACAGTCCAAAAAGCCGGAGCAAATGCGACTGTCAGATCCCAGCTCCCCCAACACCCCCTGTGGAGGCATTTCACAGGCCTAAAGACGACCATGACTCATCCATTAATTTGAAGAGAAAACAGAGGATGAAAACAACAGAATAGTCCAGACACAAGCATTCTTCTAATGCTTTCCATTCCCCAAACACACATTTTAAACCAGATTCCCTTGGCTTCCCAGAATGTCTTGATTTTATGCTTTCATGAGTCACTAGAGAGAATGCTGAACCCTATAGAGGGGGCAACTGTCAATGAAGTTATTGATGCTTAAGGATGGAGGTGCTGAGACAGCCTGGGGCTCCCAAGCTCTGCCAGCCTCGTCCTTCATACAGGTGAGGGGCCTGAGACCCCAGAGTTAGAAACTTGTGCTCACGCCTGCTTTCCTTCATCCTCTCCCTCTTCTCCTTCTCTTCCCTTCTTCTCCTCTTTCTCTCCTTCCTCCATTCCTTCCAATGCTTCCCTCACACCTTTTCTTGCCGTTCCCTCCTTCTCCTCCTCTGGGTTTCCCTTAAGAAGTGGGTCATCTCAGGTCACCAGGACACAGCCCCTGCCCTTGTCTTGTAAAGCTCTGGTTTACAAAAATCCCACCTGTGCCAGGAAGACCAGGCTCTGCCCAGTCTTCTTTGCAATGCAGAATAGACTTACCTGGTTTTATGAACAGCTTAACCAATTATTTTAAAAACAAATACCCATCGTGGAACACTATGTGAAGGAACATTTCTCTTTCCCAATTTAAAAGCCAGCATATTCTCCTACCGTCCGCAGCCCCTTCTGTGCCTCTCCTTCCCCAAATGCTTGCTTTGGCTTGGGGGAGAGGTTTTCGATATCTGACACCTCTTGAAAGTGTAGTTTGGCAAATGAGAATTGAAATCCACTCCAGACAGCCAGGCCTGCTCTGGGGGCTGCCTAAAAACACCTGGGTCCCTCCTCACACCCGACAAAAGCCAGGCCTCCTGTCTGAAAAAAAAGCAACACCCTGGTCTCTCCACCGTTCCCTGCCCTGCTCCATACTCAGCTGCCCCTGCTCTATGAACACTGAACTAAATTTAAAACCTTGGTACTAAAACAGGTGGTAGAAGCAGGCAGGAGTGGGCCTGGCTGGATTGGGGGCATCTTCCAAGAGTTAAGACAGAGGACTTTTAAGGCTGGACATCTGGGCTTCTTCCCTCCTCCAGCCTCCCCACCAGGCCCTGACTTGACCATCCTCAAAGCCTTGCAGATGTTCAAACTGATTTAAGATGTTCCTGGAAATGACAAGGGAAAGTGTCCAGGTGTCTTTAGCAGGTCTTACCTGAAAAGCCCCCTCTCCCCACAACCTCTGGGAAAGCTGCCTCAGTTGGTACACTTCCCTCTCCCTGGGAATCAAAACTACTTTCCAAGGCCTACATGTGGGCTGGTTTCAATAGCCCCATATAAAACAGCAAACACCCTGTCTAAAGAAAACAGTTTTTAAGGTGCAGCAGAACACATCATAATGCAGAAAACTGTAGCCCAGCAAGCACACGGTGGAATGGAGAAATGGGTAAACTGTTAAGCCAGCACAATGGTTCAGAGATCATAGTGCTGGGCCCGCTGTGGGACGGCCACTCACACAGACACACACAGACCCACACACAGAGCCGTCCCCGATCATGCTCCTGTTTGTACTCAAGCAAACATACCCCCATGGCAACGAAGGGATTTTGCATCACCCAATGCACACTTTGTTGTGCGCATTACGTAATTCATATTTGTAAAAGTTTCCTCTAGGGGTAAATTATTAGGGAGACAAAGGGAAAAAAAGAAAACAAATTCCAGCTTCTTCTAGATTGTGCTCTCAGAGAGGAGCTGTGCCGCCCAGAACAGTTTTCCACTCCCCAGCCATGTTCTTCCTTGGAGGGCGGTGCTGGCCCCAAAAAGAGTCCTGTGCTGTGGAGGGGACACCTGGGTTCTTTCTGCTTTGACTTCCTCATGGGCCAGAACATGAGGCTCCTCTCTGCACCTCAGTGTCTTTCTCTGCTGTGCAGCTCAAGTGTGGGGGCTGATGAGCACAGGAGTTCTTTGAGCATTGGTTGATGGCTTTGAATCCTAAAATGCACAAAGCTTCCATTGCTTTTGTCCCCACTTGCCCTTAGCCCAGCCCATGGCCTTTGTGAATTAGGCTTGCAGCAATTTCTTTTGGGCTGGGCTGTGAGCATTTCTCTAGGTGGTCTGCTCTTGCTGTCTGGGAAGGAAGGGGAGGAGGGTGGCCAGGCAGCCCCCGGAGACCGCAGTCTGTGTGAGGGCCACTCTGGGCCAACCCAGCGAAGCCCCTCAGTGTACCCTGGGTCACTGGGCAGGCACATACCCCAAATGGCAATAGTCTGGGAGCACAGTCTCTTCCTCCTTCTGTCAAACTGCTCATCTGGATCTAGCCTGTACCTGGGATTTCTTATTTATCTAAGTCAAGTATCTCCACATGCAGGTCTGAGGGGGAAAAAAACTGTGAGCTCAGTCGCTCTCTGGCTAAGCACTTAACTTTTCTTTGGCTCCAGACGCATGTTCCAAATACGAGGGTTTACATATAGACATATCTATTTGCAGATAATTTGTCTGAGCCCTTATTATCCTGTAATTGGGTTAAATGCTGCTGTGTAGGCAGCAGCATACCAAAGCCATTGCCGAATCCCTGCAAGGCCTCAGGCCTCCCCTCCCTCCCTCTTTCCTCCTGCAGGCCTATTGGAAGAAAAAGGTAGAAACATAAATTAAGGCAGGGAGAACATATTTCTTTCTTGGAATGAGCTATTTAAAGAACAAGCCAGATGTGCAAATAGACATTTTCCCCTTGCTCTTTACATTTAAAAAGACTGTGTATGTGTATGCATGTGTGTGTGTGTGGGGCGGGGGGTGGTGGTGAGAGAGAGAGAGAGAGAGAGAGAAAGCCTGAAACATACCATTCTCCTCTTCCTGTGGAGACCACCGCACTTTTCAATAAGAGCCATTGGTGGTGGGTCCGATGTCACCGTGTAAACACAGCGAGCCCCTTCCCATGGCAGCAGGGCCCGGCTCTGCCCTTTCTAAAAAGCTGCCCACACTGTCCTTCTCTCTCAAAGCCTTTCATCTTTCACCTCCCCGTTGGTCTCTAGGTCAGACACAGCCCTTCTAAAGGACCACCACCCCGCCCTGCCACCCCCTAGACCTTGAATGATGGGGCCTCTCTTGGAGCCCATGTTCCCAGTGGCTGGAACACATACTTTTACAGTCACCACTTGGCATCGGGACACCAGCTTCATGACTTACCAGGTTCTCTCCAGAGAAAGCACTCTTTGATATTTTAATTGTTTTATAGAAATCTTCCTAAAGCATATTATGCTTTCCTACCTTAAAAAAATTACATATCACATTGGGCATAATTTCATCAAAGACATAAAATGCAGGACAGCCCTGCCAGCCTGGAACTGGTTTGGTGTTGGGAGTCAGAGCTGGGTTGGGATCCAGAGAGCATCGCTCCCTATCTGTGACCTTAATAGCACCAGGAGTCTGTCTCCTCCCGGAGAGATGGCTTTGACCCTGTAGGGGATAGCATTCTGGGGGATGCCTTGCAATAATCCCATTGTCCCTTGCCCCTTCCTCTTTACCTCCACTGCCTTCAGGCCCTTCCCTTGCTTGCCTGGGTTACTGTCAACCACTAAGGGAGCCCTGCTTTTGCTCCCCCTCCTGTCCTGATCCTTTCAGCCAGATTAACCTTTTCCAAAATGTAAATCACATCATGTCCCTCCCCTACTTAAAACCTTCAAAACTCCCTTCAGCTCAGAGAACAAACTTCGAGTGCTTGGTTTGCTGCACAGAACATTCTCATGGACACTCTCCTGCCCCACCTGCCAGCCAGGCCATGCCCCTTGCAGGTCTGAACTGTAGAGTCCTGTTGTCACCCTTCTACCTGGCTAACTTCTGTTCCTCTTGGGCGCAACCCAGCTGTCGGCTTCTCCTGGAAGTTTTCTCAAGCTGCATTAGGTCTACCTTACTGTGCTCCCTCATTTATGGAATTTCACCCCACAGAAATCCTTCCTGTTCGCCCACATAAACTTCTTGAAGGCTGGGCTTGTGTCTTTTCCCCTTGTACTCCCAGCGCCCAGAGCAGTGGGCAATAAACAGTTCTCCCTCCATCATTTCAGCACCAACTTTCCTTCGGTCTTGCTCTTGATGACTTAGACACGTGTCCTGGACACTGATGATGGTGATTATAATTACAGCCCTAGGGGCTACAGAGCTGAGTAGGCTATTTATCTCTGCCCTAAATAGGCGCAGACCACTGGGGCTTTGAAATGGTCCCTCCACTCTTTCTGCTGTGAATTCTCACCTCTTGCTGCTGACTGTGTGTCTTACTTTATGCCCAATTATTGGGTGAGGGCCTCGCCTGTCTTAAAAATTAAATTGCAGGGCTCTGAGCTGTTTTCCTTGACAAGCAGGAGTCTTGTTCTCTACCTTTGTCTCTGTGGTTTTTGTCCTCAACCGTTGGAATGGCAGGAATTTGGCTTTTGGACAAGCCATGGGGGCCGCTGCAAGGGCTGTGTGTGAATTGCCCCCTGTAGATCTGGGGAGTGTGGATGGACAGCACGCCAGCTGCAGACTCAAGAGCTTCCGGATTGTTTCAAGGGCTAATTTGATTAAGAATAACTTTAATTCCTGGAACCTGCTTTGAAAACTTGCATCTGTGTAAATGTCAAGTTTCTTAGTGTCAAATTGAAAACCACAAAAGGACAGATGTTTTGCTTAAGCTGGAGGACGACTAGCCCAGTTGGAAGAAGGACACACAGGGAGGCCAAATGGGGCCACCAGGACAGAGCCCGGGCCCGGGGAAGTGCTTCTCCTCTGATGCGTGACGTTTCCCGCAGGTGTGCCCTGTCTACAAGGCAGGTCAACACGAGGACCCAGCTGAAGGCAGTAGCGCACCCACTAGGAAAATACCTGTATTTGTGAGTGGCACGGGCACAGGAGCCACCTTGAGAAAAATGTGAACATTCCAACCACCCAGTTACAGGAAATACAGAGCTCACAGGAACATGTTAGATTGCACCACTGGCACACAAGGAGCAAAATCCAGCATAGGGGAACTCTGTGGGACTGCACAAACTCTATTTTCCTCAACTAATAAATTGCAAGGAAAAGAGAGAGGGGGTGGAACCTCTAGGTCAGGGTTCTCAACCTCAACACCCTTGTCATTGGGGCTGGATAATTTTTTGTTGTTAGGGGTCTCGGGGGCTGTCCTGAGCATGATAGGATGCTTAACAGCATCCCTGGCTTCTACCCACTAGATACACTCCCCACCAACCCAGTTTTGACAACCAAAATTGTCCCCAGACATTGTCAAGTTACCCCTTTAGGAGCAAAACTGCCCCTAGTTAAAAGCTCCTGCTGTAAATTCAAAGAGGCTTAGGAAACATACTGACCAATCACAATGTATGGACCTTATCTGGATACTGAAACAAATAGATAAACTGTTTAAAAATAAAAAAAGAAATATTTATGGGACAATTACAGAACTGTATACTTGATACTATTAAAGGGTTCATTGCTAATATTTTAGATATATAGTGGCATCATGAATATCTTTTTTAAATTCCCATTTAGAGACACATATTGAAACATATAAGCGAAATGATATCTGACATCTGCGCTTTGCTTCAAAATAACCCAGGGCAGGGGCAGGGAGTAAAACAAAGAAGAAACAAGATTGGTCATGAGTTAAAGATAATTGATGGGTCGTGGAGCTTGTTATACTAGTTTCTCTACTTTTGTATATATATTTTTTCACAAAAAATATGTTAAATGAAAGAAAAAGAATAAAAGAAGGGAAGGACTAGTTAGGACTCTGAAGCTGAAGATATTGTTTCTCCTCAAAGAATCGCTGTCACCTTCTCATCAGCTTTTCCCAATCTTCCCTTTAATCAGATCCCTCTGGAAGCCTGTGTCAGTGGTGTTCACCACTCTAAAAAGCTCAAGCTGTGCAAAGGAAAGTCACATTGGGCTGAATCCTTGTTGCATGAGAATTTTAATAGTTGATGTTATCTGCATGACCCATCTTGCCCAAGCAGTTCTCTCCCTAATGAGTTCTGGCAGTACAAGGTAGGCATTCCACAAATGGCTTTTGCATGCAGCCATCTGTGAGTGAATGAACTGGTGAATGGGCAGAGTTCAAGGTAGTCTGCTGGGCTGTGGGAGAGATGTGACTTAATAAGTAAGTCACGGTCCCTGCCCTAGAGGAGTTCACTGTCTACTGGGGGCTAGTTTAAACAATCAATGCGAAAATAATTCAGAACGAAGGAAATGCTAAGTAGACTCTAAGCAATGTGACATGGTGTGGCCAATTCCAAGCAACAAGGAGAGCCAAGTCTCAGCTCAAACCTTGGGGCCTGATCTCAGAAGGAGCAGCACCAATTCTTATGACATCCAGTTGCTTTTTACGATTCTTTCAGTTGTGAAGTCATAAAAGTTGTCCTACTCTAACAAATTCACCGGGGAGACTTGGCTGGCTACAAAGGAGAAAGTCTGTTTACATTAAAAAGGAAAAAAAAAAAAAAAGAAAAGAAAAACAGATGAACTACTGCAAGAAAACCAAAAATCAGAAAAAGCTGTCGGTGGCTTAATATGCTCTTTAGCGGCTTCAGAAGATCTGACTCATGCCTTTTCCTAATATGTCTTCCCATGTCAAAATCCACCACCTCAAAGGGAAGCAGAAGATGGTCTTACGGAGACCATGCTCTAGGCAGCTGCTTCTGAATGGTGCCAATGTGTTAGCTCACCGCCCGAAGTGCAAAGTCCTTTTAGGAAATTGATTTTCCTTGGATAAAGTCACTTCCCTCTCTGCACCTCAGTCTCTTCCACTGTAAGATGAAGCAGTTGGATGAGATCAAGCATGGCAAATTTGTGGCACACTTGCCACTCCTTACCACTCTGTGCTCAAGAAGACAGGCGTTGCTAATTGAGCTAAGCACCTTTCCACACCGAGCCCAGACATACCGGGCCTACTCAGTGGAGGATTCCAGTCACACGCAATCCATCAGAGGGAAATGATGCTTGCCTCAAACGTACTTGTCATCTCTGGCCTTCAATGTCCCAGAATTTTAAGTGAGTTTAAAAATCCCTGACCAAGAACACATCCACAGAGAGAAAACCCAAGCACACAATTACTTCACATCCAAAGGTTATGGAGAACTTCTACTTGCTGAGTGTCATGATGGGATTCAGGCAGAAGACAGAGAAGACAGGGCCCACTCACCCAGCTTCTTCCACAACTTAAGGGGCTTATGATTTGATTAGGGAGAGGAGACTTACAGGAAAACACAAGCCACAGCCTGACACCAGGGCCAGATCACGGACAGTCAGACCACAGCAAATGGAGGTGGAGGTGGCATGGAGTGGGCAGAGAATAGGAGACTTGAGCTGAGCCTTGACGGATGAGCAGAGTAGACAAAACAGCCAGAAAAGCCAAGGTCATTCGGAGCCAGGCCCCTGCCCTAAGCTCTCCCGCTGCTCTCCTGAGTGATAAGCGAGCCCCTTCTCCTTCTGGGCTGTGTTTTCTTTGCAATGGGCTCCATTCCTAACCCATTTTGCAGGTGATGCAATATCCATGGGGATGTTGGGTGGTGAGGCTGTCCTAACAGCATCCAATAATAGGAAAGGAAATTAAGCTTGAGAAATCCACACTCAAAGGCATCTTTTCTTCCCACAAAGGAAGTATCTGGAAGAAGTTTGCTGGTGTGTGAGCATTTTATCCATTTCCCCACACAGACTGAATTTAGCACAGAGGGTGGAAATGAAAGGATCGGGGAGTCCCTGATCTTAGCTGCATAAACTGTAAGAATTCTGTTTTCAAAGTGGCTACCCCAAAACTTTACGCCAGAAATAGAGCTGACCAAGGCAGAATCTGCAGGTGAAGAAGTCTGTTTTAGCTGTGTGTGTAGTGAGATAATGTAAGACCGTATAATGGTAAAAGGCACTGTTCAATATGTGTACAGGGAAATATACTTTTATCTGTTATTGATTTCTAAAGAGGAGTAATTTGAGAATGTGCCTCAGCCTAACTGTAGAGGGATGGATTGGAAGCCTATTTCATGTCTCTCCTGGGTCTGACCACAGGTCAGTCGGACAACAGACTGAAGGCATGTCCTCTCTCCACAGTGGCCAGGCTTTGGCTCAAGGTGGAATACAGTCCCTGGACTGGGAGCCCAAGACCAATTACCCAATCGGTCAGACCTTGCCGCCACTGTGTGCCCAGTTTTCTGTCCCTTTGCATGATACAGATTACAAAGGATGGCAGTCAGGTGGGATTTGAGGTGTGCCCTTGTGGCAGAGGAAGCAGCTATTTGTCTGTTTAGGGTCCAAAATGGGGGCTGGGGGAGCTGGAGGGGGGCAGATGACTCTGAAGCTTAGAAACTCATCTGGTCTTTTCTGACTCTGTTACTTTTTATCCATAAATGTCCCCTAAGAGAACACAGAAAGGAGATTTGATTCTATTCTGCTTGCCCTCACCATGCTTCAAATCACAGTAGTCCGAACCAATGAAACTCCCAGAAGACATCTAGCCCAACACCGCCCCATGTCCCCATTTCTTCTATTTTGATGTTTTTAATCAGCAATTGTCTGAGAAGTCCACTTGACAGGTTTGTTGGAATTGTGTCAATTAAAAATAAACAGCTTGGAAGTGGAAACTACCCAAAATATCTATGAACAGTCCAATGGATATATAAATTGTGGTGTCATCAGATGTTGGAATACTATACAGCAATGGAAAATGAGCAAACTGCAATCAGACATAATGGTAGGAAAGAAGGTAAAAGTAATCCATGATACAGAAGTTAGGAGAGTGGTTCTCTGGGGGAAATAGGGCTAGGAGGTAGTATGGTGGAGTTTCTGGGTGCATGTAATGCTCTATTTCTTGATTTAGGCAGTAGTTACTTGGATGTGTTCTGTTTACAGAAATTTGTCCAACTGTAGTGTTTGTGTACTTTATACATATTATATACCAATAAAAGAGTTAAAAATCTATATTTTACTTATGTCTTGTATGATTCCATTTGTATGAAATATCCAGAAGAGGTAAATTCATAGAGACAGAAATAGACTGGCAGTTGCCAGGGGCTGGGTGGACAGGAGAAAGGAGAGTGACTGCTTAAGGAGTACAAGGTTTCCTTTTGGGTAGAACTAGGTAGAGGTGATGGTTACATGACATTATGAGTGCACTAAATGCCATTGAATTGTTCACTTTAAATTAGTTAATGGTCAATTTTATGCTATGTGAATTGTACCTCAAAAAAAAATTCTATCTAGGATGGTCACCTTTTAAGGGCCATCTTTTTTTTTTTTTTTTTTTTTTTTTTTTTTTGCTTTTTGAGACAGAATCTTACTCTGTCACCCAGGCTGGAGTGCAGTGGCACAATCACAGCTCACTGCAACTTCCACCTCCCAGGCTCAAGTGATCCTCCCACCTAAACCTCCCGAGTAGCTGGGACTGTAGGCACACACCACCATGTCCAGCTAATTTTTGTATTTTTTGTAGAGATGGGGTTTTGCCATGTTGCCCAGGCTGGTCTCAAACCCCTGAGCTCAAGCAATCACCTGCCTTGGCCTCCCAGAGTGCCGGGATCACAGGCATGAGCCACTGTGCCCAGCCTAAGAGCCATCTTTGTTGCTGTGATTCCTGTAGCTCAACAGCTTTGCCCTCCCTCACTCTTGCCATGGCTGCAGACAGCTGAGGTTGAGGGGCTCTGGTCTGAGTCCAGATAACTGGGGAGTTCCAGGATAATGCCCAGGGAGCTGTTACAGGGAAGTAGACTTAGACTTTTAAGCAGCCCACAACACCTCCTAGAGGTCCTTGGGCGACGGAGCCTGGGCTTGTGGAGTGCCAAGCTTTATCCGACTGCCATGTCAACACCACTCCAGAGTCAAAGACTTCCCAGGCCTTCAGCCCCATCCTCATCCCTGCCCTAGGCAAAGTTGGGTCTGGAACGTTTCCCCTCAGCCTTGGGAGGAAACTCACATTCGAAGCAGTGTGTGAGCCCTGGCTGGCGAGCGATGGCCACTCACACTGTTATCCCTTTCTCAGCAATAATGTTTAGGTTCAGGAAAGAGTTCCAAGATATATATAATTCCTCATGCTGAGTAAGGGCTTCAGCCTGACTCCACAGCTGCCCCGGCTACTGCTCTCTCCAGGAATGTTATTACACCAGCACTGGCCCGGTGCTAGAGATGGGGTCTCTCAATGTTCTCATTATGTGCTCCGTATTTTTCAGGTCATGTAATTCAGCTGTAAAAATTTGCCCCTGGCTGCACCTGGCATAGGAGTGGCACAGAGGGGTGAGTTTATTTTTTTAAGGTACTGTTAAAAATAAATTTAATAAGGGAAAGAGAGAGGAAAAGAGAGAGCAAGAGACTAAGACTGTGTTTAATTTGAACTATGAAGGAGAAGATATGAACCGAAGGTCTGAGATCCTGGTGCTTTGGCTGTATGTGTGTCTGTGTGTGTGTGTGTGTGTGTGTGTACGCACGGGAGACTACATGTTTCTCCTGTGTAACTTAAAGCCAGCTTTGTTTATTTAACTGAGATTTTCCAGATCGTTAGTTTGTGATGTGGCTTAGTTTATACTGTGCAATATCCCATTTTAAATACACTCAGGTACATAAGTGAAATGCAACGGAGCTACTTCAATTAGCAAGAGCATGGGCAGCAATTAAGTTTAAATGAACATTTTCATGAGTCTTTTCTTCCCCTTCCTTCTCTTAGCCATGTAATTAATGAGCCTCTGAATGAACCTACTCTCTGTCTATGGGCGTAGAAGATTTTGGCTCTGGAATCCAGGACATATAAATGGAGAGGAACGCAAAGGCCTCCAGGCTGCAAGCTGAGGGGGCAGGTGGCTGCCTTTCCATGTTGCTCTGCGTGGGTAGAAGGAGCCTCTCCCCTTCCAACAGCCTCACCTTAGGAATATAGGATAGGCCATGGGTGACCTTAGTATGTAAACCAAACCCCAGCACTTTTAGAGTTCTGTCCCACTTCTGGCTGAGAGAAGCTGTTTGGGAGATGCCACATTGAATATTGGGCTTTCCAGACTATTTTCAATGACTTATAAGAAAAACTGGGATGTATGAAATTGGCAAGTCCTGGAAAGACTGAGATGGTCCCGGTAATTAGGAGGTGGGGCAGACAAAGGTAGGAGACTGCTACATCAAGTCGTCCCTTTTTCTGCTTGAGCTATGTCACCAGGGTTTTGGGCATGTCTGTGTCACCTGGAATCCAAGTGTGATTGTTTTCATCCAGACATTCTACCAAGTGGAAACCAAGAGTGGAGGCTCAGTCCACAGTAAGAGAAGGCACAGGGCCCTGGACAGAAGGGCCTGGCTTCCAGGGGGATGGGGATCCCCAACGCGGGAGACTCCTTTCCCCTGTGACCAGAAGCTGGGGTCTAAGGACTCCTCCTGCTCAACCACATCCACTGGTCGGGGTCCACCCAGGCCAAGCACAGAGCTGCGGAGGGGCTGAGGTGGCCTCTGCCGGGGAATGGAAAACGGCTCTCTTGGAGGAACTGAAGGAACCCCCACTTCCGTCTTCTGTCCCTGGTGCCTGCATGGCAGGACCCTGGGACCATGAGCTCACAACTCCTCCCCGGGTCACTGTGGTGGACATCAGGATCACCCCTCGGTGCTCAGTGTTTGGATAGGGCACCCTCACGTAGCATCTCCCCCACAGGCCACCCAACCATAGCTAGGACACCTCTCTTTGGCTGGCCATCACCTCCACCCACTCTATTTGACAGTCGGTGGACGCTGTGCCCCCTCAGAAATCAGACCGAGGGGAGCTCAGCGTTCGGCCAGACTCGGGCGCCACCTGGTGTCTGCGGGCGTCCCTGCGGGTAGACTCGAGCCCCAGTTGTTTGCTTCTTTGTTGTTCCTGCTTCTTTTAGACCCAGAAAGGCTCTGTCGCAAGAGGTGGGGTCTGTCTCAATTACAGCGGCTGAGCAGGCACGGGTTGCCTGGGGACATTCCTTGATATTCATGTCACAGGACATGCTGTGCTCTGCACGGGTTTTCACACCTCACCATGAGGTTCTCAGGCCCTCAGTCAGGATTTCAGGGGTTTGTTTTGTTTTTTTAGGTAGGTAGGTAGGTAGATAAGGTAGATAAGAGTTTTGGGGGAAATGGGTTGTTTAGGAGTGAGGCTGGGTTTCTGTCTTATCTCAGCCACTTACCAGCTGTGGGATCATGGGAAAATTACTTTAATCTCTCTGAATTTCAGTTTCTTTATCTGTAAAATAGGAATAACAACACCCACTTCAGAGGGTTATATGAGACTTAAAATAAGTCCTGCCAAGTTCTTGACAACTGAAGGTGTTCAATAAATGTTAGTTCCTTCTTTCCTTAGCAAAGACAGTCATAGATAATAATATAGGTAGTAATTAAAGTTAGTGACACAATGAGAGTAATACTAATTTTTTCTTCCTTCCTCTTCCTTTGTTTTTCTTTCTTCCTTCCTTCCTTCCATCCCTCCCTCCCTTCCTTCCTTCCCTTACTTTCTTTCTTTTTTCTTCTTCTTCTTTTTCTTTCTTTCTTTTTTTTTTTTTTTTTTTTTTTTTTTTTTTTTTTTTTGAGGCAGGATCTTGCTGTGTCACCCAGGCTGGAGTGCAGTGGTGCAGTCTCGGCTCACGACAACCTCTGCCTCCCAGGCTCAAGTGCTTCTCCTGCGTCATCCTCCCACAGGTGCATGCCACCAGGGGTTCACCATGTTGCCCAGGCTGGTCTCGAACTCCTGCGCTCAAGTAATCCTGTCCGCCTCGGCCTCTGAAAGTGCTAGGATTATAGGTGTGAGCCACCGCACCTGGCCAGAGTGATACCAATTTTCTTCGTGTGTGCAGTGACAGGCAGAGCAGCGGCAGGGAGGAGCTCTTCATTCATACTTTCCTCCAGGCCCCTCCAGCGTTTTTCATGGCTGAGAAAGGGAGTCTGGGCTCTGTGTGGGGAGCCTGACTATAACTTCATTGAAGAGGCTAGTGGCACATTTCCATTCCAAACTGTATACAAAACTGGCTAATAAATAATCACTGTTGATCAAGCTTTGGAAAGTCCTCATCATCATTTACTGAGCACCTACTATGGGGAAGCCACATTTAAGTATTTTACCAATAGGGCCCCATTAACTCTTGTAGCTGCCACTCAGGGTCAGTTTTATTATCCCTATTACCTAGATGAGGAAACTGGGGCTCAGGGTGTCTCAAGTCACATATCTAGGAAGCAGTGAGGTTCACACAGTTCCAAATCCAGTTTGCCCTCTTCCTGCTTCTTGCAACTGCCCCTCAGAGCTGAGGCATTCTCTTAGGGGTCTTCTTCTGAAAGAACAGCCTGTCCCCGAACCAACCAGAAACAGCTTTCTCCACCAGCCACAGCCCCGGCATAAATCAAGTCTAGGTTCCTGCCCATGGGTCATTGGTCGGGCTCCCAGCTGTCTTCCGGATAGTTCCTGGCGTGTGGCTATATTAAGAATGTGAACCGTAACATTAACACTTAAAAAAAAAATTCAAAGAGAGAAAGAAAGAAAGGAAGAAATACCCCTAAAGAGACTCACATCAGGTCTAGCCAAGAGTCATAAATCAATGTCGGTAAATTTATAAACAGTTCATAAATGTAAGTGCTTTTCACAGGGCTGTTTGTTATTGTGTCGGGCTGAGCTGGGGGTGGGGCTGGGGGTGCAGAGAGGCACTGCATCCATTCTGTCTCCGGGTGAGGAGCAGCTCAGATGGCCCCGGTAGCAGAAGGAACAGGGATGGGACCAGTCCTGGTTGAATACTCACATCCAGGTGGCCACAGCATGACATAGGCTTGAGTGAACTGAGAGAACCAGCCTGGATGGCAGGTGAGCTGAGCCCTGAACCTGAACTGAGATTTTGAAGACATTTACAAAAAAAAAACCCCATCATAACAACTGTGTGGGTTTTTTGTTGTTGTTGTTTGTTTCCCAGATTCCCTTTTTTGCTTTTCTAAGTATTCTGCTCCTTGAAGCTCTGGAGGGTGCAGGACTGAGATGAGTAGCCAAAGGGGAATCCTATAGAATAGAGAAAAGAATTTTACACACACAGTCCCCACCCCACCTGCACACTTAATGGCACCCCCACCTCATCTCCACTCAGCCAGTTCCAGGACCCAAAGTCCAGTGACACCAACACCCAGTGACACATACTCTAAAACTGAGGACAGTGACAAGACAGAGAGCCTGGGTTTTGTCAGCAAGAAGGGAAAGTAGCTGGCCCCCGCTGCCATCCTGTCACTGGGTTGCAAAGCAGCAGTATTTGGACCCTGGAAGCTCAGAGGGCAGCTCGTGAAAAGAACTTCTCTCTATTTCTCCATTGAGACTAGGGAACACACACTATCCTCTGCATTATCTTTATGTTTCTCTCTTCTTTAGGTACCCCTTGACTCACACACGTACCACTTCTCCATTAGCCCCAAACCAAGGACGCTGTGCATAGAAACTCTTGCAAATGGATCCTTAGGGTAGAAGACAGGGTGTGGGGTTGCCCCAAGCTTCACCCCAGAAGCTCCAGCTTCTGGAGTTCCAGCTCTGGCCCAGTTCAGATGCCCTGTGGCATGTTCACCTCGACATGTCCCACCAGGTAGCTGGTTGGTAAGGGTGGAGTGAGAGTAGGTATCACCCCCTAGCCTTGGCTGCCCCCTTCCAAGCCCCAGCCCCCTTTGCTGTTGTTTGAGAGGATGTGGAGGCTAAGTGAAAGCTAGGCCAAGTTGTGACTTTGCTATTATACTTCACAGAGTCAAGGTCCATTCATCCCTCTGGAATGGCACATAATGAAAGCAGATTCTTAGAACTGATGCCTTCTGAGAGCTTCTCCTTCCCCAATTCTGAGACACACACATTTTTATGTGTGATTATAATTCTGCACACAAAGCAGCTCTTAAGACTTTTTTAAAAAAATGCATTTGCCCATTTATTGTAACAGCTGTTCCATTATTCTATAACCTTGTCCCCCCATTTCTGAGAGACCCCGGTCACTGCACCCTCTTCAAGAGGCTGCCGGGTTTGACAGAGTCGCCTTGCGCAGGCCCATGAAAAATTCCTTAACCAACTGCACCTTTCCAGGCCGGCACTAAACAGGGATTTCATTTATTTGAAAAGTAGGTATTAAATATGTCAGATATAGGAAGTTAAATGTAATGGGCCCAATTCCACACTCGGTTCCATATGCGTAAATCCCACTGATGGAGAACAGAGTGCGGCTCAAGCAGCAAAAATGAGGTCCCAAGTCTGTGGGAGGAAATTGCAGCCTTGATGGATCTTAGCTGACATTCTAATGGACATCAAACCAAGACTGTTAAAACTGGAAGGCGCCCTGAAGTTCTGGGGTTTTATCTTTTTATTTCTAAGTTTTAGGAGTTGTCGCATTCCTCTGCTTCTTTCTTTGTTTTGTTTGTTTGTTTGTTTTTTCCTAACTCCCAGTAAACATTTACCATTTCTCTTCAGAGCTTTTGTTTCAGCTCACCTGCACTGAAGCTGTTTCCCAAGAGGATGACCCGGGTGCCTGCCTGGCTAAGTAACAAGCAAACATTTCGGAGCCTAAGTTTGGGAAAGAGCCTGAAGGCCCCTACACCCTGAAGCAACATTCCAAGCCTTGCTGCTCACAATGCGGTCCCGGGACCAGCGGCAGCAGCAGCAGCCCAGGACGCTTGTTAGAAATGCGGCACCTCCGGCCCCACTTCAGACGTTCTGAACCCAAATCTGCATTTTATCACGATCCCAGGTGATTCATGTGCCCGTTAGAGTGAGCGAAGCCCTGGATTAGAGAACAGAAATTAGACGTGACCCTTCCTTTGACAGGAATTTATCACCAGGCTCTATCTCAAGAACTGTGAGAATTCGGTTCAGATGTTTGTGATAACTCTGCAGCAGTAACTGACTAGCGTGGTGGTTCTCTTCCCTGACTGGGCGTTGGAATCAGCGAGGGAAGTTTTAAAAGATGTTGATGTGCAGAATTTACCCAAGAGGTTGTGATTCAATGGGTGTCTGGGAAGGGGCTGGGACATCTGTGTTTACTTAGAGTTCCCCAGGTGATTCTACTGTGCAGCCAGGGCTAAGAGGCCCTGGGGTACAAATATCATCTTGAATGGTTAGACTTCTTTCTGAATGGGAGTGATGTAATTTCCGATTTGCCCACCGAGCACAGCATGCTGGGCCCTGAGGATGTTACAGAAGTGGATACCATTATTGCTCTCCAGGGACAATTCATCGAGGAACAATATGGCATCTGCAAGGTGAAAAAAGAGCGATAACAGGAGATGCCGCAAAGTGTGGCTTCCAGACACAAGAGTGTGCTGGGAGGAGAGCTGAGGAGGTGAGTGCATGGCAGGAAGGGATGAAAACGGACTGAGCATAGAGAGCTGGGAGGGAGAGGGAAAGGCCCTGCGTGACACATCCTTGTGGCATGTGAGAACTAGAAGGTGCTTAGGAATCTTCTAGTTTTGCCACAGGATACCATGCTGCACCATTGACATTTTGAATCAGATCATTCTTTGTTAGGGGCTGCCCTGTGCATTGTAGGATGTTCAACAGCATCCCTGACCTCCACCTACCAGATGCCAGTAGCATCCCCTGTCCCATCTGTGACAAACAAAAATGTCTGCAGACTTTGTCAGCTGTTCCCTGGGGTCAAAAGCACCCCTGGCTGAGAGGCACTGGCATAGAACAATTAAGAACAATGGTGGTAGGCCCTAGATACTGACATGAAAGGTGCATTGAGATGTGTTAAGAATGAAAAGTAAGTTGCACAACAACATGGATGTTAGTCCCAATAAAACGGATGTGTGTGTGTGTGTGTGTGTGTGTGCGCGCAAGGATTGTGCCCAAAAGCGGAAGTGGTGCCTCCTCTCTTGGTGGTTAAAGCATGAATACTGGCACTCACTCACCTGGGCCTTTTTTTTTTTTTTTTTTTTTGACACCGAGTCTTGCTTGCCCTGTTGCCTAGACTGGAGTGCAATGGTGCAATCTTGGCTCACTGCAACCTTCACCGCCCAGGTTCAATCACATCTCCTGCCTCAGCTTCCCGAGTAGCTGGGATTATAGGTGCCCGCCACCATGCCCGGCTAATTTCTGTATATTCAGTAGAGACAGGGTTTCACCATGTTGGCCAGGCTGGTCTCAAACTCCTGACCTCAAGTGATCCACCTGCCTCGACCTCCCAAAGTGCTAGGATTACTGTGCCTGGCCTGTCCTGGGCTTTTTATCCCAGCTCTGCCACCTACTACCTTCCCTGGCCAGTTTCCATAATCTCCATGTGCCTCAGTTTCTCCATCTGTAAAATGAGTCTAGCAGTGTCTATCCCAATAGGTTGTTATGAAGATTAAGTTCAGTCACTCGGTTTTGGCAAAGCATTTCTAGCAAAACCTGGCACATAGTAAGCAGTTTCCCGGTTTGAGCCATAATGAACATTATTAGCTCTGAGGAGGTAAATGGAAGGCAGGGGTAGAGGAGAGATGGAGACTTCCTGGTTTTGTTCTGTAAACTTCTGTTTGTCTGAATCCTGCACAATGTATTTATATGTCAATTGCATAATAACACATGCACACAAAAGAAAGAAATATTCTAGTTTAGCCTACCTCATCTTTTAAAATGAACTCTTTATTTTGGAACAATTTTAGATTCACCAAAAGTCTGCAACGATGTGCAGAGTGTTCCTGTATGCCTGTCACCCAGTTTCAGTTTCCCCTGGTGTTATCATTTTACGTTTCCCCGGTACAATTGTCAAAACTAAGAAACATGGGTCCATTACTATTAACTAAACTCCAGACTCCATTTGGATTTCACACAATTTTTTTTAACTAATATCCTTTTTCTGTTCCAGGATCCCATCCAGAATATCATGTTACATTTAGTCATCATGTCTCCCTGAGCTCTTCTTGGCTGACCATTTCTCAGTCTTTCTTTGTTTTTCACGACCTTGAAGAGTACTGGCCAGGTGTTTTGCAATACACCCCTCAATTTGGGTGTGACATATTCTCTTGATTAGACTAGAGTTATGGGTTTAGGTGACAACCACAGAGGTGAAGCACCCTTCTCTTTGTACCATACCAGGGAGTACATGCTATGAACAGGACTTATCACTGCTGATGTCACTTGATCACCTGGCCAAGGTAGTGTTTGCCAGGTGACTTGTAATTCTCTGCTGTAAAGCAATTCCCTGCATCCCTTACCCTCACCACACTCTATTCTTTGGAAGCGAGTGGCTATGTGCAGTCTCCACTCAAGGAAGAGGGAGCTCCTTGTCCTCGTGGAGGAAGTATCTACACAGGATTTGGAATTCCTCTGCAGAAGATGGGTCTCTTCTCCACAGTTATTTGTTTATTCTGTCATGTATTTATATCAGTACGGACTCGTGGATATTTATATTAGACTTTGGCTTATAATCCAATACTGTGCTATTTATTTTGTTGTCCAAATACTTATCTCCTTTCAGATTTTCACTTTCATCAGTGGGAAGGCCCTGGACTGGGAGGGTGGAAGGCTCATTTGTGGAGCAGGGACTCCAACCCAGAGACAGAGTGTGAGCGGGGGTCTTTTGGTTTCTGTTGGCCTCTGTAGAAGGCTTTGGCCAGTGGGAAGCAGGAAGAACAGAGGCTGTGTGACTCGTGGTAAAGGTGCAGAGAAGAGGAATGTGTATGAGTGGGGTCCAGGCACAAGGCAGGGTGAAACTCAAGTTGTAAGAATCATGGTATATCAGTCAGGAGTTTCCAAAGTAACAGAAGCAACAGTGTGTGCATGTGCATGTGTAAAGGAGCAGGGGAGAGACAGAGAGAGATTATAAGGAATTGCTCATATGATTATGGAGGCTAAGTCCCAAGATCTACAGTGAGCATGCTGGAGACTCAGGAGAGCTGATGGTGTAAGTTCCAGTCCAAAAGCCAGCAGGCTTGACACTGGAGAAGAGTTGATGTTTCAGTTCGAGTTCCAAGGGCCAAAAGAGACTGACTTCCCAGCTCAAAGCTGTCAGGCAGGAGGAGTTCCCTCTCACTTGGCCTTTTTGTTCTATTCAGGCCTTTAGCTGATTGGATGAGGCCCACGGACATTAGGCAAGGCCATCTGCTTTACTCAGTCTACTGATTCAAAACATAATCTCATGCAGAAATGCCCTCACAGACACACTCAGAATAGTATTTGACTAAATGTCTGACACTCCACGGCCCAGGAAAATTGACACATAAAATTCACCATCACACACAGGGTTAGCAACTTCTCCAGCAGCAAGCCCACTCAGAGCCTGGGAGCCACGGAGCTGGGGTTCCTTGGAAGACCACTGCCAGTGTTGTGGAAGGGAGAGCTTCAAGAGTGAGGGATGCAGGAGAAGGATCTAGATGTGCTTCTCATCTGTACAATTCTGGGGAAATCAAGGCCATGATGTGGTTGAGCAGTTGACATTGGAAACGTAGGACTTTCTCAAGGATCATAGAACAAAGACTGTCAGAGTTGCTGGATTTTTGTGTGATTTGTGGGGAGGGAGGAACAGGCATGTTGAAACCACCAGTATTTGGGGTGAGGAATAAAACATGGTGTGAAAAACATGTAATCATAGGCTATGACATTACAAGGGATATATCAGCCCTGCTGTGGTTACTCAGTCACTCTTATACAGGGAGTCTTAAACCAAATGCACCAGTTTTCACTTCGAAGTTGTGTCTTAGCATCTGTCCTGAACACAGTCCACAGGAGTGTGGAAGACACTCACCCTCCCTCCTTGGCTTCACGGTGCCTTTAGCTCTTTGTTCCTTCCCCCACAGTCCAGCCTCTTCATTTTCTTAACCCCCCATGAGGAGTCTTGGGCTCCCTCTGCTCCTTCTGGCCCCCCTGGGGAGGGGTGGAGAAGGAAGGAGTGGGGAAAGGAGGTGTATAGGCCTTGGATTCTGTGAGAAGACCTCTTTTGAGAGGGCCAGGCCTTTCCCTGGCCAAGCTGGCTGTGCCCAGCACAGCTTCTGGGATCATAAGGCTCTGGGCTCTTCTCTGCCTGTCACATGACCCAGGGCCTCCTCCATTCCTCTGGCTTCCTTATGTGTATTTCTCTAGGAAGAGGGGGCACGGGGTGAGGGAAGAACACCTGTCCCTTCCAGTAACACTCATTAAACATCCTAATATTACTTCCTATTGGAAAATAAAAGGGTCCCTCCCTATTAGTTTTATAAATTAAGAGGCAGAAAGGACAGCTCTACAAAATCTTCTTGGCTGGGGGTCATGTGCCTAGAGTCTGTCTATAGGGTTAAATGAGGCCAGGTAGGCCAGGAGCAGTGGCTCATGCCCATAATCCCAGCACTTTGGGAGGCTGAGGCGGGCGGATAGCTTAAGCCCGGGAGTTTGAGCCTGGGCAACATGGTGAAACCCCTTGCCTACCCCAAGAAAACACAAAAATTAGCCAGGTGTGGTGGCATAAGCCTGGAGTCCCAGCTACTCAGGAGGCTAAGGTGGGAGGACTGCTTGAACCTGGGAGGCAGAGGTTGCAGTAGGCCAAGATCATGCCACTGCACTCCAGCCTGGGCAACAGAGTGAGAGCCTGTCTTTGAAAAAAAAAAAAAAAAAAAAAAGCAAAAAATGAGGCCAGGTATATAAATAATTGTAATTCTTCATTGGAGTTGTTCAGATTATCTTCGGGTGGCAGAAGAAGGAGTCGTGGAATTTTTATATTTATCAGAAGGTGAAATGGGTTACAAATCAGTGTGGAAGCTCAGACCCAGCTCAACCTTTGGGTTTGGGCAGGTGCAGGAACAGGGCTGGTATTGAGGGGATCTTGGTCGAGGTCACACCTAAGGTCCTCTCGAGGTGTCCTTCCAGCTAACTTGAAGCTGTGGGCTTCTCCAAGACTTCTCCCCACATGGTCTGGCTGGTCAAGGCAAGAATAACTCATAGTGGAAGAAGAGGTGAGTCAAAGACAAATAGTGTCCAGGAGTGGAGAGAGCAGACAGCCTGACCACAAGAAGGCCCCCCCGGGGCAGCTTCAGACTCCCACGCTCTGCCGGGAGAGCCTTCCTGGAAGCTGAAATCCTCTGGCCAGGAAATTTTTTGAAAAATAACTAAATGAACCACATGTGGACCTGGAACTCAGACTATCAAAGAGGAAGAGGAGGAGGGGTGAGAAAGATGGAGAAGAGGCTGGGATACACATACACTATCCACAGAGCAGCTCCTAGAAACCACAGTGGTGGACATGTCAATGGGAGCACACTCTCAAGCACAGGAGGGAACCCAGCCTGGCTACCTCCAACTAAGGGGGTCTTCCTCTGCCCAGCAGTCCTGTTGGGAGAAGGAGCAGGGAGACCCTTGGGTTTCTATGCCAGGCGAGAGAGGCTGAAGCCACCATGAACAGGCATGAGGAAAATCCTCGTGAGCTGACTGTTTCCAACAGCAGGCTATGCCAGGGGCTACAGGGGACATGGCAGACACAGTCCCTACCCTCAAGGAGCAACTGTCTTTTTTTTTTTTTTTTTTTTTTTTTTGAGACGGAGTCTCGCTCTGTCGCCCAGGCTGGAGTGCAGTGGCGGGATCTCGGCTCACTGCAAGCTCCGCCTCCCGGGTTCACGCCATTCTCCCGCCTCAGCCTCCCAAGTAGCTGGGACTACAGGCGCCCGCCACTACGCCCGGCTAATTTTTTGTATTTTTAGTAGAGACGGGGTTTCACCGTTTTAGCTGGGATGGTCTCGATCTCCTGACCTCGTGATCCGCCCGCCTCGGCCTCCCAAAGTGCTGGGATTACAGGCGTGAGCCACCGCGCCCGGCCGCAACTGTCTTTTTGAGGAGACAAGCCTGGTTTTGGAAGTAGCACAGTCTGGGGACCCAAAGCATGGACTGAAGCTCAGCTCAGCCATTTATGGGTTGTGTTAAGCACCTGCAAAGGTGTTATCATCATTATCCTCACATTGCAGATGAAGAAAAAGACCAGGAGAGATCCAAGAAACATTTCCAAAGAATAACTGGGGGTCGTGAAGAGTTGTCAGGACACAAGGAATGGAAAGAGGACAAAGAGGACCGTATGAGTAATTTTCTAAATGGACTGCAGAGGGCCCGCTCACCGTTGACACAAATCTGGTTGTGAAGGGAAAGACTCCTCTGCAAAAGAAGCAGCCCTCAGTCTCTTGGGACACTCTGAATGTCCTATCCAGCATCTTGGCGTTTGCACTCACCTTTACTTTTCAGACCAAGACCACCCAGAGGACACCCCCTGTTGGCGCCTGGGTGGGATGCTTGAGTGTCTGGGAAACCTGCCTGCTATCCCTATACCATCATTCCTTGGGAAGTTGCCCCAAGGCTGAATCTGCTGCGGAACCTGCAGCTTCAGCAGGGCTGTGTCCCCTTCCTCTGCTCCTGTCTCAGGAAGGAGGACCCAGATCTGTTCAGGATCTGAAGATTGTGCCCATCTTCTCATCCATCCTCTCTTCATCCCAGGAAGCCCAGCTTTGAAGACCCAAGATGACCCCAGGATACCACAGCCTCCAGGCTCATGCTAGAAAAGAAAATAACCCTCCATGTCTGTCAATCAGGAACATGCAGGAAGCCCTGGAGGCCCCAGGAAGTGCCAGGAGCAGCAGGTCTTGACAGAAATATCTGCACAAATAGCTCCCAGTGGGTTTGATCTGATGTTGCTGCTACAATTCCAGATCCTACAAAGGCCCTAAAGAGAGATGCAAGGTACAATGTCTCTCATGGGACAATTTTTAATTGGCAGAGCTGAGGGGAATAATTCCTTGTGTCTTTGCCCAATGCCATCTTTTTCTCTTTTGTTCTTAATTTTTTATCTCTGGCCCTGGTGAACATTTGTGGTAGAAGTTTCTAACAATAGCAACCACATCGGTGATCATGGCTACTAATTATTAAACACCTCCCTCTACAAACCAACTTCTGGGCTGGCTGCTTTACGGGTATTATTTCTAATCCAGACAATAACCATGCAAAGTGGGTGATATTCTTCCCATTTTACAGATGTGGAAATTCAGCAGAAACAACAGAATTCACATACAAAGACTTCTGATTCTGGAATTATCAAACACCGAATATAACTGTTTTCGATAAATGAAAGAGCATCTTTAAAATATGAGTAAAGGGTAAGCATATTTGTGAAAGAACAGAATGGAACTTCTAGAAAGTGAAAGTCTAGACATAAAATAAAATAAAAATTTAAAACTCAGGAGAGACAGCCCAGCACGGTGGCTCACGCCTGTAATCCCAGAACTTTGGGAGCCTGAGGCAGGTGGATCACCTGAGGTCAGAAGTTTGAGACCAGCCTTGTTAACATGGTAAAACCCATTTCTACTAAAAATACAAAAAATTAGCCAGGCGTGGTGGCAGGCACCTGTAATCCCAGCTATTCGAGAGGCTGAGGTAGGAGAATGGTGCGACCTGGGAGGCGGAGGTTGCAGTGAGCCAAGATCGCACCATTGCACCCCAGCCTGGGCAACGAGAGCAAAACTCCATCTCAAAAACAACAACAACAACAGCAACTCAGGAGAGACTTTGCGAACTGGAGGACAGAACTGGAGAAGTGATCTAGAATGTAGCCCAGAGAGATAAATAGATGGAAAATGTAAAAGAGATTAAAAGCCATGGAGAATAAAGTAAGATGGTCTGGTGTATAATCAGAGTTTCAAAAAGTGAGGGAAGAGGGAAAGGGCCTAAGGCAGTTTGAAGGCCTAATGGCTGAGAATTTCCTAGAACTGATGACTGCCACTAGTCCACAGATTAAGAATTTGAGCTGAGTCCTGAAGATGGAAAGCGTGGACTTTGGATGCTCACAATGTGGTATGTGAGAAGCAGTTTGTCTGCAGAGGGTGTTGGGAGGGCGGCACGCTAGGAACTGGCCTTCTGGGACAGAGAGCAGATCCAGAGCCTCCAGGGGGCTTTGGGGGAATGTGCACAGCACAAAGCTGAGCCCTGCCTCCCAGGGGAGGAACATCAGGAAAATTTGCCCTACCCCTGGATGACACAGCAAGAATAGCAGGTGGTTCTGTGGCGTCATTTGGAGACATTTCTGGGAAAGGGAGAGAAGGGATGTTAATATACCCATTGTATGGATTAGGGAATTGAAGCACAAACAACAGAGTTCCATAAAGAAAGTGACAGCAGCCCTGGGATCAGAGCTCTTTCCTCTGGTCCCCAGGGCAGGCCCCTCTGGGTAACTAACAGATTCTCCAGTTCACCTGTTTGGCAGTCAGCCAAAGCATGGATGGAGCCACTGGCATCATTTCCAGCCCTGATGGGATTTTCAGAAGCAAAAGCGAACAAAGGACATTGCCGTGTCGCACTCTCTCCCAGACCCAGGTCTGCATCCCTTCCCCACAGGCAAAGTCCTAATGACCTCCGGCTGTGTCAACCTGATGACTTAGACTCCACTGGGGCAGTGTTGTCACATCTGTGTGACGTGCACATGAGTCAATTTAGGAGCAGCAGAGCTATCACTGAAAACTGAAAACAAGTCTGACACATACTGTCCTACGCGCAATGTGGTGAAACAGCAGACCAAGCCCCACAGCGCCAAACTGTCTGCCTGGTCCCCACCTCCGCCTCCCCTCTACCTTCACCTTGGTCGTTCCAGGAGAGCAGGAGACAGTGTTGGTTGTGGTTCAGCTTTCCAGCTCATCCAAACTCAAATTCCAGGCCTCTGACTTTCACAAGGTATCTAACACCGCTAAGCCTCAGTGTTCTCACCTGTACGATGGAGTCTGTACTAGCTCTTGGAATTAAACAAGACTATGTGTTTTGGTACGTTTATCAATAAGTGACGAATGTAGTTATCAGGCTTATTTCTAGTAATCTCATATTATGATTGAGTTAAATAGCCAAAGAATTAAAGTTGTCTGTAATTATACATGTTTCTTTTGGCTTAAGGTTTTAAAAGAGGACTCAGAGAATTGTCACAGCATTTCAAAATGAAGTAGCAAGAATGACGTAAGAAAGAATAAAAATGCCAAACTGGGTAGGGAGTGGGGAGTAAATTAGTTAGAGGTTTCACTTCCTTTAGATCTATATATGACAGTGATTCTCAACTGGGGGCAGGCCACCCTTTTTCTGGGTTCCAAAGACTTTCTTTTTTTTTTTTTTTTTTTTGAGACAGTCTTGCTCTGTTGCTCAGGCTGGAGCACAGTGACATGATCTTGGCTCACTGCAACCTCCATCTCCTGGGTTTAAGCAATTTTCCTGCTTCAGCCTCCTGAGTAGCTGGGATGACAGGCTCCCGCCACCACATCCAGCTCATTTTTTTGTATTTTTAGTAGAGACAGGGTTTCACCATGTTGGCCAGGCTGGTCTTGAACTCCTGACCTCAGGTGATCCACCCGCTTTGGCCTCCCAAAATGCTGGGATTACAGGCGTGAGCCACTGTGCCTGGCCCCAAAGACTTTCTTACTAGTTTGCCACATTCTGGATTTCCTCACTCTGCCGTGCTAGATTTGGCTTAGGGGATTGAGAGTAGAGATGGCAGGGCCCTAGCAGAGGGAGATATGATGGTGTTTAGATGCGTGTGTAATACAGAACAAAGGTGTGGTTAGACAGATGGCCCGACCCAGAGCCTGTCTGGATCTAAGGGCTGAGACCCCACTGTGCCCTGTTCCACCTTCTGCACCACCACAGCTGTGACTGCTGAAATTCAAAAGTGTATCACAGACACAATACATTGAGAAATCTTGGTCTACACATTTGAAGAGCAGGCACCACGGGTGGTCCAAAGGGATCCAGCAGAAACATGACAGTGGGAAAAGAAGGAAAGGGAAAATTAGACTCAATCAAAGGCATACAACTCCAAATGGTGAGTTCGTTCTAGTTGGCTGCAGTATAACCCCTCTAGGGAAGACGGTGGAGCTTGAGTCATTTAAACTCTGGCTGGGAAAAGTCACAGAGGATGTACAATAGACAAAGCTGGAGTTTGGATCAGTCTGGTGGTAGGACCAGAAGACCCAATAGGCGACTTGACTCGACATGGCTCTGCTTCTCCAGACATTTCCCCCCTGCTGTCAGATTCTGCTGAGGGGCTGACTCAGGCCCAGCTGATGAACAGGGCCTGGACACACGTGCATGGATGTGTGTGTAAAGGGAGGTGTTTTCCAAGTCGTCATTGCCTCGTTTCCTCAGACTGACTGGGATGTTTGAAAAGTTAGCATGTTCAGTCTCGTAAGAAATTTCACATTTCTTGCAGAGAGTTTGTTTTATGGGGGAAAAAAATAGAAGCAGGGGAAGAATATTCCATTTGGCTTTGCAGGAAATGATCTTTTTAATTAGAAGCCTGCCGCACATTTCAGATTTTCCAGCAGTGCTTAAGTTCACTGCCGTCATATGTATGTGTGTTTTTTATAAAAGCACACTGCTATTAATCATTTGTTTTTCCTAGAAAGTACTGGTTAAGGTGTGATTTCTGTGAAATTAGGTTATTTTGTGTCATCCATGTGATCAAGATTTGGTTAAATGTTATATTCTGTGTGGTTTGGTTCATAAAGGTACTTGAAGCCAGGAACCATCATATAAACTTGGTATAAATTCAGTTTTTACATTCAATATCATCCATACCTAGCACCATGCTGGGTAAATAGAGAGTGCTCAATAATTGCATATTGATTGATTGATTTGGGAAGTTACCCAAAGTAATAATCCTTCCAGGGTCTGTGCAGGGAGCAATGGGTGATTAAATTCAAGCCATTTTTTCAAAACCAGTTTGTTTTTCATTTCAGAAAAACACAGGAATCTGACATGAAGGGAAGAAACAAACTAGATTTTTACATAAAAAGACCTTGATTCAAAGGCCACCCTTCTCATGGCTCATCAAAGGACCTATGCAACATCCTGCCAGCCTGCCCTGCCTTGGTTTCTAGATCTATGAAATGGGGGAGCTGCACCCGATCACTGCTATGGCTCCTCCTAACCGTGCAAAACATTGCCATGCCCAGCAACAGCCAGAGCCAAGTTGCCTGCTTATATTGTCCTGCCACTGCCCAGAAGTAATAATGGGTAACACCACTGCTATTTGAAAGATGAAATGAGACTATTCTCATAAAGAAGCAGACAAGTTATCCAGGGAGGTGTGCCAGCACAGCAGAGCAAAGATGAGTCAGGAATAAGGACACCTGGGGTCTGGTTCTAATTCTGTTTCTGACCTGATTTTCTATATGATCTTTGACAAGTTGTTCAGTGTGTTTCTGGACCAAATGTTATACAAACATAAAGGGACACTCTGCCCATTATTATCAGCAGTAATTAATTGAGGTTACGTTTGTCTGTCTGCTTCTTTTTGTTTAGCTATCCTCAGCCATCTTGTTCCCCCAAGGATTAAGGACAGCTTAAAAATGAGGTAACACTCTAGAGAAAATCCCCCAAATCAGACCCCCTTATCTGACTCCCTCAATATTTTAATGCTGGCCATGAAGAAGACAATGAGCCTTGAGTCTCCTGTTCCAGTCCTGGTCCTGCTAACACATTAGCCATGTAACCTGGGGAAAATCACTTCACTCCTCTGGAACTTGGGGTCTGTGGTGGTTTAAAAACATGTCCACAGGCTGGGCGCGGTGGCTCACCCCTGTAATCCCAGCACTTTGGGAGACCAAGGTGGGTGAATCACTTGAGGTTCAGAGTTCAAGACCAGCCTGGCCAACATGGTGAAACCCTGTCTCTACTAAAAAATACAAAAATTAGCCGGGCATGGTGGCGGGCATCTGTAATCCCAGCTACTCGGGAGGCTGAGGCAGGGAGAATTGCTTGAACCTGGGAGGCAGAGGTTGCAGTGAACCGAGATCATGCCACTGCACCCCAGCCTGGGCGACACAGCGAGACTCCATCTTGGAAAAAACAAACAAAAAAAAAAAACAACAAAAAAAACACATGTCTACAAATTCTTTAAACTCTTCTCATAAAGACAGGATGCCTAATTCCCCCTCTCTTTGAATACAGCTTCCTCAAGGACTCACTTCTAACTAATTGAAATACACAGTGTGGCAGAAGTGGCCTTGCGTGTCGTCTAAGGCTAGGCCTGGTGCCCTCTCTCGGAACACACATCTTTGGAGCCCCGAGCCATGTGGAGGACTCAGGCGACTCTGAAGCCACCCTGCTGGAGAGACCACTGAGAGATAGAGCGAGATACCCGAGGGGCCCCAGCCATTCAAGTTTCCCCTCCCGGCTGCCAAACACAGCCTTCAGGATGACCCTGGCCACAGGCATGTCTAGCTGTAAGCTATAAAGAGGTGCCGACCAGCTGAGCTGCTCCAAAATTCCTGGCACACAGAAACTGTGAGAGATGACAAATGAATGGTGTCGTTTTAAGCCACTGAGTCTTGGGGTAATTTGTTGAGCAGCAATAGATACCTGAAATGGAAAATTTCCATCATCTCCTCCAGAAGGAACGCCTGAACTCAGTGTTACTCGGGAGGCCTCCAGCGGCCCCACGTGCATCCCGGGAGGTGTTTCTATTACCAGAACTCATATCCCATTATCTTCCTGAAACAGACACAGAAGTGCAAGGAGCTGGAGATTCCTAACTTTGACACTGCAAATAGACGAGCCTTTCTCCTGTCCTTGTACTTCCCAAGAGTGTAAATTACACAACCTGGAACTCTCAAGTTGATGAAGCATTTTGAACTCCTCAGAAGGCCCTGTTTAAATTCAAGTCATAACACGATGCATCTTCCATACAAAAGCCCTACATGGCTTCAGCACTCTCCCAAGAGGCAACAGTCAGAAAAGGCCAAGTTCCTGTTCTCCAGCTCATGCTCCCCTTCCTCCTGCTTAGACCAGTCACCTCACTGGTCACTGCTCCGAGTCCCACCTTGCCTATAAAATGGGTGGCTTGGTCAGCATACTCTCGGTCCCGTTCCAACTGTAGGATGCTGCAAACCTATGAGGCTAGGGTGTGAAAAAGACAAAAAGAAGAAAAGATAGGATCTCTGCCTCCAGAGTTTCTAACCCAGCGAAGAGGCAGTCCCGAGCACTGCAGAAATTTGAAGACAACAGGCAATTTAATTTTTAATTGGCTGGTGGGGCAGATTTTAAGACAGGCACAGCTGCAGAATCTGAAGGCCTCAGAGAGAGTAGCAGAAAATTCACTTTCTCCAGCTACTCTTTTTTTTTTTTCAGCTTTTACTTTAGAATCAGGAGGTACACATGCAGGTTTGTTACAAAGGTGTATTGTGTGATGCTGAGGTTTGGAGTACGAACGAATGAATCCGTCACCCAGGTGGTAAGCATAGTAACCAGTAGGTAGTTTTTCAGCCCTTCCCCCTGTCCCTTTCTCCCCACAGTAGTCCCCAGTGTCTGTTATTCCCATCTTTATGTCCATGTGTAGCCAGTGTTCAGCTCCCCCTTATAAATGAGAATGGGTGGTATTTGGTTTTCTGTTCCTGTGTTAGTTTGCTTAGGATAATGGCCTCCAGCTGCATCCATGTTGCTGCAAAGGACAAGATTTTGTTCTTTTTTATGGCTGTGTAGTATTCTATGATGTATACGTACCACATTTTCTTTATCTAGTCCACCATTGGAGAGAACCTGGGTGGATTCCATGTCTTTGCTATCATAAATAGCATCTTCAGCTACTCTTGAAGGATGGTGCTATTGGTTGGATGTTTGTGAACTCTTAAAATTTACATGTTGATGCCTAATTTCCAATGTGGTAGCCTTTGGGAGGTAATTAGATCATGAGGGTGGAGCCCTCCTGAACGAGATTGGTGCCCTTATAAGCAGAGATACAAAAAAGATGATACCTTTCTTCACCATATGAAGATGGAAGGGAAAGTCAGCTGTCTGTAAACTGGGACAATAACTCTCACCAGACTCTGACTCTGTCAGCACCTGGGTATGGACTTCCCAACCTCCAAACTGTGAGAAATAAATTTTTGTTGTTTAAACCACCCCAGTCTATGGTACCTGTTACAGCAGGATGAACTAAGACAAATGGTGTAATAGTAAAATTCTTAGTTGCAAACAACAGAATCCATTGGGTTCTTTAAGGGAAAAGATAAGTTTAATCAAGACTCTTGGAGAGCTCACAAAATTTCCAGGAGAACCAGATGCTGAAGTTATTAGCCATAAGCAGTGCCCAACCAAACAAAGGAGTTTCTTAAAGATCTCCCCATCCCCCACCACCACCACTTGGGAGCTAGGAACCCCTGCCCTGCAAACCAGAAGCTGGATCCCTTCTATGTCCTCAGGAACCAAGTATCTCTGCTAGCCCCTTGCCACCCAAACCGAATTCTGTTGTGGACATGTCACAATGCAATACATGGCAACGGGGTCTAGAGATGTGAGTTTTCTAGCTTCTCCCTTCATAATGTGGGGTTCATAATGTGGGGGATATCTGAAATGCAGGGAGGGTATGCAGAGATGGGTCCCAGCAGGTGACAAATGTCCCCCAAAGATGGGTAGAGTTAGAATAAACACAGGATGGAGGCGAAGCTGAGGGGGAAGGGGACAAACGTGAAGGAGGGTCTGGGGCAAGGAATCTGGGACAGGAGATTGACTCCCCTAAGTGGTGCAGAGAGGCAGGCGGAGTGGCTGCAGGCACAGAGGATGGCAGGCAGACTGATGGGCCACGAGCCCCCATCTCAAGATGCCTGTCGCCTGGCTGTCTGCGCCCCTTCCTCCTGGCTCACCCCAGCCCCACTCGGTCGTTTGGAAGCAGCCTTCCTTCACAGAGCTGGCGGTTCGCAGTTGGCAGGGAGCACTCTGCCTTCTCTCAACAGCCGTCCGTCTTCTTGTCTTCCCCTTTCCAACAGGGTGAATACATTTCTCTTCTGCTGTGCATGCCAACATACCTCGAATTTGCTGGCAGCAAGTACTTCTCATGTGTTGGTTTTGGAACCCTTTAGGAGCTTGTCCTATTTCTCTTCCATCTGGGCTAGAAACATGCCAACCAGGATTTCTCTAGATGTTTTCTTCTTAACCCTGGGCTGTAACCCAAGGGAGCATGCATCTAGACCCCTTGGGTCTCAAGCTCCATCTCTGCCTCTGGCGCACTCCCCCTCCACACCTCTCTCCGGGCAGCCAGGCAGTCAAGCCTTGTAGGTGAAGCCTCGACTTGTGACCCCCTTGAACTTAGTGCTCAGAGGCCGGGTGATTACAAATGGACATTTGAGCTTCCACTGGAAATTGGTAATATATATTCTTGGCAGCAATAAGGACAGGCTGTGAAAATTCTTTTCGTGTTGGACTTCTTTTAAGGAGTGAAGTTTTGTTTTAGCCTACTCGCAGGCAGTAGAAGTTGGTGGGGGTTGTGTAATGGGAAAACCAGGCTAGAACTGGAGATGTTCAAGGGTGGCAGGTGGAACCCATTGCCGTGTGTCCCACGAACATCAGTGCCTGCCACCTTGGAGGTGACCAACAATTATTTGCTGCATAGAAGACTGGATAATGTAGAGGAGAAAGCAATGCATGGTAGCACTTCAATCTCGCTGTATTAGACCCATTCCTCAGCAAGTGAAAAGAAAGACTCTGGGGATGCAGAGACAGTTGGTCATGCTGAATCCTCAAACGGCTCCTCATCAGGTGAGTATAAAGTCCAGATTTCTTGGGCTGGCTGAATAAGCTCTTCCATGGTCTGTGCCCAGCCTGTACCACTAGCCACAGAGCTCTGCCATCCCCCCACCCCTCACCAACTACCTTGGGCTCCGCTAAGCAACCTCCAGTCTGCGCCTTCACTCACGTTGTTTCTCTGCCTGGAGAGTCTTCTCTGTCCTCTCATCCCCACCAGTCAATAAACACAGAGTTCCTGTTTTAAGGACAGCTCAGGTTTTATCTTCTCTACAAAAGGTTTCTCCATGCCAGTGAGTTGAAAACTTATTTCCACACATACATAAAAACCAGCATACTGATGTTGACAGCAACTTAATTCATAATTGCCCAAACTTGGAAGCCACAAGATGTTCCAAGCGGTGAATGGATAAATAAACTATGGTGCATCCAGACAATAGAATTCAACATCAACAAGAAATGAGCTATCTAGTCATGAAAGGCATGGAGGAAACTTGAATGCATGTTACTAAGAGAACGACGCCAATCTGAAAAAGCTATAAACTGTATGATTTCAACTAGATGGCATTCTGGAAAAGGCAAAACTGTGGAGACAGTAAAAAGATCAGTAGTTGCCAGGGGTTAAGGGGATGGGGGGTGGGGGGAATTGGCAGAACACTGAGGATTTTTAGGGAAGTGAAAATACTCCGTAGGATACTATAATGATGGATATATGTCATTGTACATTTGTCAAAGCCCATTAAATGTACAACGCCAGGAGTGAATCTTAATATAAATCCTGGACTTTGGGTGATAGTGATGTATCCATGTAGGTTCATCCATTGTAACAAATGTAGCACTCCAGTGGGGGCTGTTGACAGTGGGGGAGGCTGTGTGTGTGAGGGGCTAGGGGGCATGTGGGAACTTTGTACCTTCAGCTCAGTAACTATGTGAATTTAGAACTGCTCTAAAAAACAAAGTCTATATAAAGCAAACAAACACATCAAAAAACCTATCTTTCTCCAGGCAGTTGCCCCACTCCCCTCCCTGCAACTGGCCCTGCCCTTTTTTGGTTCCTCCACCCCTGCCCTGTTATGGTCAGAGCCTTTGCAGCAATGCATTAAACCTCTCGGTGTCAGAGCCTGTTTGCTTCCACTCCACTGGGAACCAGAGAGTGGGAGCACGGCATATTCATTCCAGCCTTCCCAGAGCCTGGAGTGCTTTTTGGCTCCTGGTAGTTTAATGTTTGTTGAATGAATGATCCAGTGTTGTTGATTATCTACTAGGTGCCAAATACCCCTTCTCCTTGCTCCTGACCGTTCATGTTCCCCTTCTCTGCTGGTTTGCTTCCTTCAGCCTGTACAGAAGTTAAAAGAAATCTTCTCTCGCCCTGCTGTCCTACGTAGTTCTTGCCATATTTTTGTCCTAACACAGGTGAATTTCTCATAAGGAAGCCCTGTCCACACTATCGATATTTCCTGTTGGCCCACTCATGATTCCCTGCCACCTGGCTTGAGTTCAGCTGCAGCCCTGCTGGGCATGGCTTATGCTGCTCGCCTGGGTTGACGGCCTCCGTCCTGAATCCCTGAATTGCTCATCACAACCCCCCACTTTAGTCCCCATCTGCCTCTGCCTCACTCACCCGGCTGTCTTCCCGTTTGTGGCCTCAGCTTACCCTTGGTCCAGCAGCTGGGCATGAATTATTAGTCTTTGACTTTGCTCCTTGTGCTTCCCTGAGGCAAACATCCAGCCCACGGGAGGCCAGTCTGTTTGGTGTGACCCCATAAACAGGCTCCTCTAAGCTGCCCAACCCTGAAAACAGGACACTGGAGCTCTTTCCTAAGGCTATGCTCCCCAAGAGCTCCTCTGGTTCCTACTTCAACAAAGTAAGGCCCATTTCCAGGACACTCTTACTCAATATCTCTGCAGGATTGGATGCTATTAGCCTCTCTCTCCTGACCAACCCTATAATAAGGGCAGCCATGGAGCAATATTAATAAAATAAACATGAGTTTATTTTATTTTTGAGAATGGAGTCTCGTTCTGTCACCCACACTGGAGTGCAGTGGCGTGACCTTGACTCACTGCAACCTCCATCTCCTAGGTTCAAGGGATTCTCCTGCCTCAGCCTCCCAAATAGCTGGGACTACAGGAGAGCACCACCACACCCAGCTAAGTTTTTTGGTATTTTTTTAGTAGAGACAGAGTTTCACCATCTTGGCCAGGCTTGTCTCGAACTCCTGACCTCAAGTGATCCACCCGCCTCAGCCTCCCAAAGTGCTGGGATTACAGGCATGAGCCACGGCACCCCTGTGACATGAGTTTATTTAGACAGGTCTTAGGTGCAGTACTCCGTTCTGGGACAGAGCAAGAGAGTATGGACCACTTACTTCTCACAAGAAGCCCAGCTCTATGGATGGATAATAAATCTAGAAAAAAAAAATTTCTGGCCTACTCCAGAATGTATTCATTCTGTCTTCACAGAATGTATCAACTTTCAAAGTGTACGTACCTTTTAACCCTTTCACCCAGCAATTCCAATTCTAGAATTCTACTCCATAGAAATACACATATCCATAAAGGTATGCGCACAAAGATACTCTGTTAAGTGAAATGTTTGGAATAACCTACTTGTCCATTGATAAGGAAAAGGTTATATAAATTGAGCTAAATGCATGCAATGGAATACTGGGCAGCCATTAAAACAATGAGGTAGATCTACATGTCATAACGGGGAGAGATTTCCAAGATACCATGTAAATCAGGGGTTATCAAACTAAGCCCCATAAGCTGAATCCAGCCTGCCACCTGTTTTTAAATAGCCTATAAGCTAAGAATGGCTTCCCCATTTTCAAATGGTTGAAATAAAATGAAAAGAAGAACAATATTTCATGACCCATGAAAATTACATGAAATCTACATTTCAATGCCCACAGATAAAGTTTTATCGGAACACAGCCATGTCCATTCATTCCCATATAGTCTACGGCTGCTTTTGCACTGCAACAGCAGAGTTCAACGCATGTGACAGAGACCATGGGGTTCACAAAGCCAGCAATATTCACTTTCCAGCCCTTCACAGAAAGAGTTTGCCAGTCTCTCTGCTCTCCAGTCTTGGTGAGAAGATACGACAAGAAGTTGGCCATCTGCAACCAGTAAGAAGACCTTCACCAGAACCTGACCGTGCTGGTACCTGACCTCAGCCTTCCAGCCTCCAGAGCTGGGAGAGATACCTTTCTGTTGTTTATAAGCCAAAAAAATACAGAAAGAAAAAGAAAAAGTTTGCCAACCCCTAATCTAAGTGATAAAAGGTGAACTATATATATATATAGTTTATATATATATAATTCCTTTCATAGAATACTCCCATAAAAATTATGCATGTTATGTAATATATATTAATTTTTATGTATGTAAATTAATAGAAGAGATGTCAGAGGCTGCACCCTAAACTGTTAACAATGTTTCCCTACGAAAGAGGAGCAGAGCTGGAGAGTGGTAGATAGGAGATGTTTTATTATTTATGCCTATATTTGTTTCATTCGGATACTGAATATATATATTTATGTTCTTGTTATTTGTGGTAGCAATATTCTATAAAATCAGCACAAGCACTGGAATAGCAAATACTGAACCATTGCTTCCAGGGGAAATACAAGGTAGGCCCCTGTGAGTCTCTGGTCACAACGTTTTGTCAACGGATCAATACATAACCTTGTTTCAGTGTGTTTCTGTTTAAAGACGTCTTACTTTCTGTAAGACACATCACAGCCTTCTCTGGCGCAGGAACACAGACAGCTCATCAGTGCTATGTTTAGGGGCCATTTTAAACAGTGAAGTCACCAACGAAAAGCACAAAAATGTGAAAAATGTGGCACTAAATAGACCACAGAAAGAACTCTTATTTACAGTTTGAGAGCTGGAACAGAAAGCAGAGCTTCACCTTGTTTGTCCCCAGCTGGAAATGCACCCACCGGTTAGGTGACTCAAATGTTTCGCTACTCTGCCCATGTCCGAGAATGACTGCAAAAGCACCACATGTGCTGATTTGGGGGTTACAAATACATTTTTGTGAGTAGCCAAATTTGCAAGTACAGAATTATCAAATAATGAGGATCAACTGTACATTTATGCATGTGAGACATATATATATATATACACACACACAGTTTCTATACTTAATAAAAATATGTATAATGTTTGCCCTTGACCATGCACGGAGCTGCCTCCAAAGTTGTCTTTTGGGCAGCATGCAGAGGGTCTCTAACCAATGCCTCTGACAGGCAGACATGGTCGAAATGTTCATTTTTACATGAGTGAGTCAACTTTTCAACAGGACCTCCATAGGGCAGAGACAGCAGCAAAGCAGAGAACATGTTAAGCCTTCCTCACACAGCGTCCTATCATCCAATGGCTGACTTCTTGGGTGTCTATGAACACTTTCTGCAAAGCCACATGGCCATCTGTGAGGCACGAAAATGCTGGCAACACACACAGGCCAGCCAGAGGCATATGATGAAGAGCTTGCCTCTCCTCACTACGGCGTCCTTTTCTTCATTTATACCACTCATTAATTCACACCATTCATTCGCGCAGCCAATGCATTCATTCTCCTCCCGCATTCTCTCCATCAATCCTTAACCAGGGCAGGTTTGAGAGGCACGGTGGCTTCTCTGCTTTGTTCTTCCCTTCCCTGGCACCACAGCCTTCCAAGGCTGAGTTGGAGCCATGACCATTATTTGAACAGCTTGATGGGAATTAGTTCCTGAATGGATACCCGACTGGCCACGTCACAGGAGTCCGCTGGCATGGAGTGAGCAATTTGAGTGGGATCCTGGCCAGTGGATGGTATGAACCCCCAACTCTCCACTCCCCTTCCCAACCTTCTCCCAGAGCTGCCAGCCCCACCCAGGGGCCAGGCATGGCTGGACGGGAAAGAGCACCAGACAGGGTGGGGTGAAGGGAGCCTGCAAGGCTGCCGGAGAGAGGGTTTTGTGCTCCAGGCAATATTGTTTCCAGGTTGAAATGCCACTTTTAGCTCTTCTTCTAAAATGAAAAATATAAATTCAGCACCACACATAGCACCAAATTATGCACATTCATCTATACTGTCTAACAGGTTTTTAATATCTTAGGCTTACCTCCACCTAGCTTCTCAAGAGTGCTGTGAGTTGAATGGCATCTTCCTACCACCCCCACCCTCCTATGGAGCTTATAGAATAGGTAAAAGGGACAGAGGAAAGATCAGAACCGCTCATCAGGTACAGTTGGAACTGAGCTCAAGGCAATAAAACAGGAAAAGAGACACACCCAGACCCACATTAAATTAACTCTCATCCTGATCTGAAGGCATCAGAAGAATACTCAGACCATGGAGGTAAGGATGTGGGTCCGTTCCTCCCAGCAAGCTGGACCCGCCCCGGCCCCCGCCCGAGCTTGGGGCTCATACAAAGCTCTGTTGCCATCTTGTGGTCAGCAGGGGTGAGCTTCTGAGCTCTGGCAACTTCAGGCTTTTCTCAGCGGGCTCCTGAGGGCTCTGGGGAACACAGCCCTTCCCTAGGCTGCTAGACATGTCTCCTGGGAGGCTGGGCCCTGTGTAGCTGCAGCAGAGTCTTCTCTGGGCCCCTGTCCCTCTGTCAAACTTCAGGTTTGTCCTGGCCTCACCATCCAACCCCCTATGATCCCTTCCAGCTCTTACATGCTATGTATGTAGTCACTATTTTGTTTAAGGCACTGTAGGGGACCAGGAGCAGCTTCTCCCCGCAGGGCACTGGGCATGGAATGTGCTCTGAACGGGCCTGAGTGGGGAGGAACCCCATGGCCCTTCCTCAGGGCATTTCCCAGTTCCTCCATCTTAGTGAGCAAGAGGGCCCGCAGAGGAAAATGGCTTTTTGTGCCTTGCCTCCATTACATTAAGACAGAATACAGCCTTTCCACATGTGGCCAGAGGGCCCAGGCACAGAAGGCCTGGAAGAGGGGAGAGAAAGAGAGAGAGAGAGAGAGAGGGAGGGAGGGAGGGAGGGAGAGAGAGAGAGAGGGAGGGAGGGAGGGAGAGAGAAAGAGATGCATGTGCTGCATGTGTGTTTCTGGGCTTGCATGTTTCTCTGTCTTTTTCCATACTAGAAGAGACAGGCTGCAGACAAGACCTGTAGAAGGAGGGAGGGGGACAGAGGAGCTCCTGGGCTGCCGGCCTCAGAGGAAGCTGAAGTGCTGCCTTATCTTCGTGAAAAGTGAGGCCAGGCCTTGGGAAATGATCAGTTCCGCTTCCCAAGGGCTCCCTCCGGACTGAAATCGGCAGCCTCAAGGCCGAGGTTTCAGCTCCAGGTGAAACTTGCATTGTCTGTGACAGCAGAGTACAGAAACCCACCGTGTCTCCCCAGCACCCCAGCAGACCCTGTTCCTTCTAGAATACCCCTGCTCACCCACCCCTCTGGTCTGCCCCTGGCCTGGAGGACAGGCTCCAACCCCATCCTCTCCCTTCCTGTCTCAGGCTCCAGCCAGGCAGGCTTCACCCCTCTGACTGTCCCTGACCAGCTGCCCCAGGGCTCCTGGAGAGACCTGGCACACAAGCTCAGGTGGGCTTCGATATGTGCTCCCTTTCAGATCTAGGAAGCCCAGCCCCAATGTGTCAAGCGGGGCAGTGATTGATAACCCCGGGAAAATTTGTTTTTCTTATTTTCCAGAGGAAATGTTGCCAAGACCAACCTAGAACAGGGTGAGATGGGAGGAGAGGGAGAGGGTACCAAGGGGCTGGAGTTGTCATCATTCCTCTCTGGGGGAAAACAAGCCCAATCTGGCTAGCCTAGCTGGTCTCTAGGAGCACTGAAAATAGTACATGAAATTTCTCCTTGTGAAGGATAAGGCAGGATTGCTATGTCCATTTTACAGAGGAGAAAACTGAGGCACGAGATATTTATAGGCATATATTTTATACATACATATATATGTCTATTTTGCCTTGCTACCGTTCCATCATCTTCCATGATCCCCAACAGCTCTGAGAGGCAGAAAGGCCAGGCTGACAGTGTCTCAGCCCACAAAAGAGGCTCTGCTACAACAGGGCTCCCTTGTTTCTGGCTGGAAAAGCTGTTAGTTGCTTGACTGCTTTCATTTCCAACCCACCTTCCCCCACTTTCCTAGCAGAGTCCAGTCTGGGCCTGGGCCTGACCCTCCTATGTGACACCTGTGCCTCGTGGGAATCCAATCCCAGCAGTTAGAGTCACTCAAACCTCCTTGCTTGGGTGGGGTTCAGAACTCTGGGCAAGCCAAGGGCAGAAGATGTTAGCCTAGTGGCTCCAATTGTCCAGTTCGTGGCTTCAGTTGACCCATTCAGACCAAAAGGAAAATGTTTTCCTCTCTTTCTCCCTGGACGTGACCAAAGAAGCAACTGCCTGAGTTGCTGCCAGCAGCTATCTTGCAGCCATGAGGGAAGTCAGCCTAAGGACAAAGAACTAGAAGGGGGCAGAGCAGACAAGGTCACAGGAAAACAGAATTGGCACCCTGATCAAACCCTACCTGAAGCCCTAACTCTGGGCTACTTTGAGATGATCTAATGCACTCCTTACGATTTTAGTCAGTTAGTATTGACTTTTCTCTTTCTTGTATCTAAAAGCATCCTAATGGGCACATTTGGATGGATGCACCTTTCCCCACTTCTGCTGTAAGAATTCCCTTTGCCTTCCTCCAGCCCCTGTCAGAGCCAAGTCAGCACACATTAAACGGGCCAGGGCAGACTAAATGTGTCCTCTGGACAATGCAAATGTCTCTTGTGGTATCTTAAGACTTTAAAAACTGTACAGGGAGCTGTGGCTTAGCTCAGTCCTGCTTCCCATTAGGATAAACACACCCCTCAGTGTAGGGACCCACGTACAGCTCCAGAAATAGCCTGCCCACCAGAGAAAATGCACTTTATTTGACAGGCTTCCCACAGCCATGTCATTATCATATAATCTCTTTTATCCACCCCTTTTCCCTGCCTGGAACTCAAATTGCATCTTTAAAATGTCTAAGTAGCAGTTTGGTGATCTTCAGCGATGCTATACTTGATTCTGAGCTGGGAAAATCAGCGTCAAAGGAGAAGTCTGGGTGAGGGGCGAGAGGAGCGTTTTACATCCAATTATTTTTCTTTGAAGAAAGAAGAGTTGAAAATACATCACAATGTACATTTCAATGTCCACGGTTCCGCTTTCATCCTTGAAATCCGCCCTCACAGACCTGGCCTGAGCACCTACTGGGCGCAATGTTTTGCCCTTAGCACTAGGTGGTGATTCTTACTTCTGGCTTCCTTCTCACAGGGCTGGCACAGCCCTGCAGGAGCGTAGATCCCCCGGGGCTCCAGGGGAAATCAGGCAAGAGGCAAAGAGGCAGACCCAGGAAAAGAGTGAAGGAATCTGAAAAAGCTACCTGCTAAGGGGCAGCATCAGAACCACTGGGGAGGGGGAGGGGGAGCGGCTCAGGGCGGTCAAAGACAGTGTCAGAGTGAAACAAGGAAAGAGCTCTAGAGGAAGCAGGAAGTACACCACACACACACACACACACACGCCACACACACGGGCACACACATGCACACATACACACATGCACATGCGCACACACGGGCACACACGTGCACACATGCATATGGACACGCACGCATGCGCACGCACACACGTGCACACACACACACGGGGATGTTGAGGGCTGAAGACTTCTGGGTTCACTGTGTGGGAGGCTGGTGAGCTCCACTTAGCCAAGGCTAACTCTCGGAGCAAAACTGGGAAGCAGGCGGGGTTTGTCTCCTGTGCCCGGCCCACCACCTCCTGCTTCATGCCCTGCTTGGGTGGAGCCTCCCCGCAAGGGGAGTTCTTCCTCTTTCCAGTACTGAAGACCTGCTCTAGGTCCCTCCTGGGCTGAGTGACAAGCCCCAGCTCCACGTGCTGAGGGGAGGATCGGAGAGGCAGCCTGGGAGTGGGGCACTGGGGTGGCTTTCTAAAAGGAAACAAAGCCTTGCTTGTGCCAAGTCCATTTCCAACAGCACACAGGAGGCCTTGGTGGGAGGCCAGAGCACGGGCCCTCTCCTCCCCTGAGCACCCGCCCGTACCAGCCTCTGTGCTCACACTGCCTCCTTGCAGCCTCACAAGGACTGCACATCAAGGAGGTCATTGGCCCCGATTTAAAGATGAGAAAACTCAGGCTGAGAGAGGTCAGCAGGATTCTAGTTCAGGCCTTTCTCTCCCTCAAGGCCTGCTTTGTTCCTCTACCTGCCCTGCTTGCCTGCTGAGGTGAGGTGGAGTGGACTCTGACCTCACGCAAGCTTTGCCTTCCTTACCGCCTCTTAAACCAACCCGAAGAAGCAAATAACAACGTAAATCTCACAATAGGCGAAATTACGCAGAGGTGGGTATTTGCAGGCCTAAAAATCAACCTTTTCTCTTCCTGCAAGTTGCTCCTGACCAATGCTGGGCAGCATTGGCCATCCCAGGAGAAAAGGCAATATAGAACTTTCTGGAAACCCACTAAATTCCTGAGTTCACAGGGGATTGTTGGAGTACCCCAAACCACACTTCATCTCCTGTCATTGTTTCTCTTCTAAGGTGGCAACTACTGTTTCCTCGTGCCTGCTATCAGACCCACTGTGTTTCTCCTCATCTCATCAGAGCCTCCTTGTTATTTCCTTCCCAGAATCCCTACCCTCCACACACCCACACCCACCCACATGCACACACATGAACACACAAGCACACTGACACACACACAGCACATGCATGCACATACTAGCATGCTCATACACATGCACATACTTGAGCACTCATGCACACACATGCATACACAAGCACACTCACACACCCACATGCACACACATGCACACAAAGCAGACTCACACACCCACATGCACACACATGCACACACAAGCACACACACCCACATGCACACACCAGCACACACATGCACACTCACCCACATGCACACATACAAGCACGCTCACTCACCCACAAACACACGCACACACACAGAGCAATCAGTTCCTTTCAAAACCAAAATATATGAACTTATATAATCATATTTTCTTCTACAATTCTGAAGTCTTAAGAAAAAGGTCATTATGCCTACACTTTTGGTTGAGGAAAATTTCAATCATCAAAATAAAGTAACAGAGAAGCAGAGCAGATCTGTTTCTAATGAAGAAAGTTTGGGGAAAGGCAGCTTGCACAGGCACGTGTGTGTCCTGGGTGGTTTACACTGGTGTGCGTGCAGCGGCGGGCTGTTCCTCCCACCCAAGTGTGTGTCCTCGTGCAGGTTGGTGTGTCTGAGCTTGTGTGCCGGGGGACCCAGCAGCACTGAAGCCCCTTGTCCAGTCAGAATCTGGCAGCAGAAAATCTGCATTTAATTGCAAATGTTGTAAAAATAATCACACAGAAGACCAAGCTAGCATTGAAACTATGCGTCCTTGACTTAGTGCCTGAGTGTGGGACATCTTTCTACTGAAATGCTTATAAAGCTGCAAGCCATAAGTCAAAATTTCTTCAAGAACATGTCTTCTCTCGTTAGGATGATTTTACTTCTCAGGGTGTTCCCAGCCTTTTCTGGGAAAAGGAGATGGGGGAAGGGCACGGAGATGGGGGATTTATAGGGTGAGGGCATGGGATGGGAGGCCTCCTTAGATCTGTCTTAAAGATGTCTTTGTTTTTAATTATCCATGTCTTGAACTACAGTGAAATCGGCCTCACTCTTGCGTTTTAAACTCAGATAAAATGCTCTGCGTTGCAGCCTTCTCTCTACCTCCCAGACAGTGGCCTCTCCCCCATTTGAAGATTATTTATTGCTTCTCAACCACCTTTCATCCTGCTAAATGATTCTCCATGCTTGGTGCACAAAACAGCCCAGAGGGATTTTATTTCTCTGAGTGCTGGGCTCTGTCCTCTTACCTCTTCCCAGGGAACACTTTGGGCTCAAAAACCCGCATTGCATTCACTGTCCCAGGCCTGCTCTGTGTCGTTGGCTTCTCCCGACAAAGGCCCAGAGAGTCCCCTGGTCATAGGGCTGCCTCTGGGCCTGCATGACTATACTTTCAAAAGGGGGGAAAATAAACTGCTTTTAGAAGCTTGCTGAGAAGGAGCTCAGCCTGCAATACCTCCCTTCCCAACTCCCCACCCTCCAGGGCATCCAGTAGGTGGTCACCCTTGTGGACTTTAAAATGCAGATTTAGCCTAAGTGGGCTGATGCCAACCTCTCTTGGCTCCCCACCCAGGTCCAAAATAAATTCACACCTCCTCATTTCTGTCCTATTAATCAGTCCCTCCCAGGGAAAAACAAGCCAGTCAATGCTGGCCAGGTGGATGGAACCACAGAATACATGTTTTTAGATATTTTAAAATTAATTTATTTCCTGCTCATATTTTTAATTTTGCTTCCGTTACCAGAACGCAACTGCGCTGTACCTCTTGTTAAGGAAAACTGTAAATTCTAAAGTTAGACTTTCTTTTTCCCCTCAGGAACTGAAGGTTCTATTTGCGGACTCCATGGCCCTACCCCTGAGGCTGGGATCTGGGGAGAGAGGTGACCCCACCCCCCGCCAGCCCCCTCCTCCTTCAGGTTCTCATTTGCAGCTCCACACCACCCCCACTCTGGACTTTCTCTCTCATTTCCTGTCCCACTCCTGGCCCAGCTAGGCTGTGCCTGGGGGGCCCTGCCGGCTCTCCCTGGCCTTGGGGGTGGAGGCGGTGCCTGGGCACCTGGTGTCAGCCTTGCTCTCAGCTGTGCCACTCCCTTGCTGTCCCTTCCAGCCCTAGCCGTCTCCTTCTGCTCCTGAGCCTCTGTAAAAGACAAAAATTCTGAAAGAGTAGGTCAAAAATGTTTCAAAGAAACTTTAAAATGCCCTCATAACATAATTAGAACATAAAAATAGCAAATACTCACTAGAGCTTACCAAGGGCCAGACACAGTCCTAAGTGTTTTCCAGACATTCATTCATTTCATACGCACAGCGGTCTTGTGAGGTGGACACTATGATGATTCCATTTTGCAAGGGGACTGAGGCACAGAGACTGAAACTTGCCTGATGGCTCCCAACTAGAAAGAGGGAGAACTGGGATTTGAACGCAGGCAGCTCTGAACAATGACACCATTCTACCTTGCTGGTAGAAAAGTAGATTTTATCATTTTTACTAGTGCAGTCATATCTCACTTATCAAGAAGTCCATGAATTGATAATCTCAACTATTCAGACCTCGATCAAGAACCGAAAACACAAGTAAAAGGATCCTTTGAGAGAGTAAAGTATAAGAGGCGTCAAAAAAATTCATATCCAAAGGCTCCTGAGGAAAACCTCTCCAGCCTTCCCACAAGATTCTGAGACTGATTAACTCTTCCTGAGAACGTACAGTTCTAACACACTTGGTGAGTGGTCTCCCTGCCACACCCTCTTAGAAACAACAAACTAGAAAGAAATTCATGCCAATCTTTTCATATCAATCTTAAAGAAATGCGTAAGTTAAACCACGGGACCATGACCAGCCATATTTGCAGCCAATATAGATGTTGTTGGTGATGAATTGAAAATTAGCATGGGGAAGTGCTTATGTTATCATTATAACTAAAAAGAAGCAGGGTGCAAAATTATATCTATGGTGTAACTTCAACATGTGCAATAAACAAACAACACTCAAAACTGAAAAATGAGATAAAATGGAAATATATCAAAACGTAGTTTTCTCAAGGTGTCATAGGTGATTTTGTTTTCTTTCTGTTTTTTTGTTTTCTTTTTTTCAAATTTTCTGTAATGAGCATTTTATAGAGAAAAGTTCCCAATAAACTTTAAAAAGAGAAATAAGGAAAGAGGAAGAGAGAAAGAAGAAAAAGGAGGAAGGGAGGGAGAAAGGAAGGGAGGGTCACTAAGTCAGGTGCAAGCCAGCCATGCAACTGGTGACAAGGGAGAGGAAGAGAAACTATTTAATTCATGCCCAAGAAATCGAAATGCCTAACAGTCCAGGGGCCATTTCCTGGAAAGGCAAATTGCTCTTCATAAATCAATCTTCTCTGAATATATCACCATGTAATCAACTGACAATTAAAATAATAATCGCTATTAACTAAGCATGTCCTTCTTTCCAGGCTAGCCCTTTGTTTACATAATCACACGGACCTTGTGAGGGAGATATGCTTTTCCTCAGTTTACCCATGAAAACCTGAGGCAGGACAATTGATACTCGTTAGGATGAAGATTTGACTCTGTTCATGATACCCAGCTGAGAGGGCTGAGAAGCAAGAAACAAAAAGTATCTATTCCCATCTAAAATGGTGAAAATGGGCCAGGTGCGGTGGCTCATGCGTGTAATCCCAGCACTGTGGGAGGCCAAAGCAGGCGAATCACTTGAGGTCAGGAGTTCAAGACCGGCCTGGACAGCATGGTGAAACCCTGACTATACTAAAAATACAAAAATTAGCTTGACGTGGTGGCACATGCCTGTAAATCTCAGCTACTCGGGAGGCTGAGGCATGACAATCACTTGAACCCAGGAGGCAGAGGTTGCAGTGAGTTGAGATCATGACACTGCACTCCAGCCTGGGTGACAGAGTGAGACTTTGTCTCAAAAATAAATAAATAAAATTGTTCAAATGATTAAAACTATTTTATTATTTAAAGGGTAAAATTCAGGTGTGTGGAAAAACTACTTAGCTAGCACACCTTATAGGGGTAGGCGGTGAATAAGTGAGGAAAGTCCATGTTAATTAAGTTCCTTAGAACCTCAGCAGACACACCCCACGGGGATCCTGAGGGGCTGGGATGGCCTCTGCCTTACCCTGCTGGCTGGATAGGCCCTGCCTGCAGGCACCTTAAAGAGGTACATTCCCTTCTGGAGCCTAAAGCCTTAGAAGTGTGGATATGGTCTAATACTGTCCTCTTTTGTCCCCTTCCTTCCCTCTAAGGAAAAAAGGAGGGAAGGAAGGGGAGAGAAGGTTCTGTGACCCCATGGGCCCACCATGCTACTACACAGCCTGGTTGCTGAGGGAGCCCCAGGCAGGCAGCCAAGGCCTCCATTGAAGTATGTACGTTCTCCAGGAGGGCTGGATGCTCTCATGTTTGTTCTTGAGCAATGACCAGGGAGTGGAACGTGGGAGAGATACAGTTCAATGAATGAAAGAGCCTTTGAATCCTTTCCTTAGAGGCACAGTTAATTTAAAATAAAGTTGTTGTGTTCACAGCATCATAACATTTAAGCTCTGAAAGTCACCTTCACCATCACCTAGTTTCTCGTCCAATTTCCTTTGTTTGTTTGTTTACACATAAGGAAACTGAGTCCCAGAGAGGGGAACTGATTTACCCAGGGTCACGTTGCAAGTCTGTGGCTAAGCCTGAACCACTTGTCACTTTCCTAAATTCTTGCTGGATCAAGCTCATTTTGACAGTGAACCTACAACCATACAGCGTAGAATGATGCTCAGTGTGTCTTCCAGAGACTGCTTGATGCTGCTGCCAGGGAGAGAACACACTGTGTTCCTCTCAGATCATTTATTGAAAATTCTTTATGATGTGGATTCCCAGGCCACATTTCCCTGCCCCTTCCACCTGGGAAGGGTTGAGATAGCATTTACGAAATGACCACCCTGCAAAACCCAAACCACAGCAGATCTCAACCCTAGGCTAAACCTAATCTGTACCCAACCCCAAATACCAAACTTTTCACTGAACCACAAAAGGAACTGAAGTCTTTCAGAAAAATTGATAGTGAAGAATTATGAACCAGAACCAAATGGATATGCATTCAACACAGCTGAAGCAGAACAGGATCCAGCAGATCACAACGTTGTCTGACCCCGGGAAGGCTGAGCTCTTGGCTATTAGTGATGTGGATAGAGAGGAGTGGGGTGAAGAAGCACCTCCCCTGGAAGAAAGAAAGTAGAAGATAGTGGTTAACTACTCCCAGATGTGCACCTCCCATTCCATCCTCCACAGCTGGGTGGAGGACTGGGATCCCTAGAGGGTCAGAGACACCAAAGATTCCTTCATAACAAAGGTAAGGACTGAAGACAGGCAGAATGTCAATGTCTTCTTGTTTCATGTAAATGAATGAACTGTGCTTTGTGTTATAGAAGTGATACAATTGGAAGCCCATATTTGAAGAAAAGAACACGAACTGGCTTCTTATCAGAGGTGCAGCGTTTTAGGAATCTAGCAGCTAAGTTACATTCAGGTGAAGGCAAACACCAGCAGACAGATATTCGTGCACTTGTGTCAACTGTCGGGATGGGTACCTTGGGAATACCAATATGTCCTTTAAGAACAAAATTTAACTCACCTGTTATTTTCCAACTCAAATATCCTTCCTTCCACTGAACCTGCCTGATTATTTCACACCCTCCATGGTAGAAATAATGTCCTCCTCTGAACTGGGACAAAAAAAATATAGCCATATGTCTGCTATAATATTGAATCATTTCTACTTTTCATTATGGTTTTTGCTGCCTGTGAGCAGTTTGGGGAAAGGTCTCCTATCTGACTTTTCCGTGACATCCTGGTCCCCCACAAAGCACCCGGCATGTGACAGTCACACAAGAAATGTTTACTGGATGAGCAAATGAATTTCTCAGGTTGTTGTCTCTGAAGTGGAAACTTTAGCCTCCGTGGGTGGTCTCAAGTGGAGACGCAAACCTGCCACAATCACACGCAAGCTTCTGAGGACACTCCATGCACAGGTGCTATTTGGGGAGGAGTCCACAGATTGTATTAGATTTCCAGAGGGATCCAGTTCCCCAAAAGATTAAGAACCACAGCTCTGGAACTGGGGAGACAGTCCAGATGAGGCAGTCTCTGTGACAGCTTTGGACTTGCGCCCCCAGGAGTGCCTGGTGGTGAGCTTCTGGAAGCTGGAAGATAGGCCATGCCTCCACTCTGTCCCTCTCTCCTTGGCTCACTCAACAATAATAACGTCAATAAATGCCACCATTTTTCAGGGACCTATAGGGTCTGCTCTAGTATTTGCTATATTGCAAATGAAGAACCAAGCCTCAAAGAGGAAGGTGTCACTGATGTCACAGAGCCAGTAAGTGCAGGGCTGGATTCTGAACCCAGGCCTTACTTCAGAGTCCTTATAGCTCTTCCTCTGAGGCAGCTCATCAAATCCATGCAAGTAAGACATCAAGTAGTGTCCCTGGATGACAGGGGCTTCCAGTAAGGAACCCCTAGAGTCTCACCTATATAAAGTGTGTGTGTGTGTGTGCACGTGTGTGATAACGGATGGATGGATGGATGGATCACTGGGTAGAAAAGGAGAAAAGGGACTCCTGCCTTTAGCTTCTTCTAGATGTTTATTATCCAATCCATAGGTATGGCACAGACTGAATTCTATGGATAAACCCTGATTTGGAGAACAATAAATTCAAATAAGAAGGCTGTTGCACTGTGTTAAATATGCTCACCCACCACCACTAAATTAATGTTGAAATCCTAACCCCTAGTACCACCAGAATATGATCTTACTTGGAAATAGGGTCATCGCACATGTGATCAGTTAAGATGAGGCCATACTACAGAGTATGATGATCCCGTAATCCAATATGATCAATGTCCTTATAAAAGAGGAAATTTAGACACAGACAGACACACAGACACACACAGGGAGATGACCATGTGAAGACGAAGGCAGAGGTCCGCAAGCGAAGGGACACCAAAGGTCGTAGCAAGCCACCAGAAGCGAGGAACAGGCTTCCCTCACAGCCCTCAGAAGGAGCCAACCCTGCCCACAACTTGATCTTGGCCATCTGGCCTCCAGAACTGTGAGAGAATAAACTTCTGTTGTTGAAGCGACCCAGTTTGTGGTACCTTGCTATGGCAGCCCAACCAAACAAATACACTGTTTCTCCAAAAGTGTGAAGGTGTGAAAAGGTGCATGTGATCTGAACTCTAGTTCTATCTCATGTGCCAAATTCTAACCTTTGACTCTTTTAGCCTCCCACAAGCTGTAGACAAACAATTCAGGCAGTATTGGCATGGCAGGAGTGACAGAAAGCTATTATGGATTGATTCGATTTTGCCCAGCACATGGCTTTGTCTTCATCAGACTTTTCTTAAATTTTGTACACTCCTTAACTCAAACCACTGCTCTTCAGATGTTTGCATTGCTTATTTGTTTATTTCCAAGGAATACTTAACCAAATCAGAAGCCAAGGCTCTGGAAATCTGGTTGGAACATAACCTCCTCCAGTTCCTAGCTTTACAACGGAGCAACCCTCAGTCCTTAACTGTGACCCATGAGTATTGGACCCTGGGCAAGTCTCACGGAGGGGAAAGGAAAGAGGCCTGAGGACAGCCCCTGCCCAGAAGGTGTCTCCAGCCCAGCCCAGGAGATAAGACTGAAAGGCAGAGTATAAGGTCTGTGTGATGATAACAGAAAACAACGCAAGAGAAGTCACAGCAACAGCCACGTGAGAAACACAACCAGAGTGATGAGTTCCAAAAAGGGAGAGCGAAATTTGGGGAAGTTAAAAAGATGAGAACGGATAAATTAAAATGTGCAGTAGATTGAAATTCAGGCTTTGCCCAAGTCAAGGGGAACTTGAAACTCAAGTTCCCAGATCACATCTAAATTTGGAGCTGTAGTTTTAAGTGGGTTTGAAACCCTGCCAAATTGCCCATCTTTTGGGTTCAAATCTCTTGATTTATTTGAAGCCACAAACATGGCATTTCTAAACAGAGGAACCAAAAACCAGAGAACTCAGCTGGGTTGGAACCCTTCATTATCGTTAATGCCTCTGAGTCCTCAAGGAGCAAGTCCTTACCCCACTGTGGGTGAAAGACAGGGCCTGTTGTGCTTCAGGTGCGTTTTCCGTTCTGTTTTCACTCACATTAAGAAGCTTAAGCCCCTGAGCTGGAGTTACTGAGCCCTTGCTGTGTGCCAGGAACTGGGCTGCATTCATGAGAGCTGCCTGTGGGGCCTGTACCACAACCTGCCCTGGCCTCACACTTGGGACTTAGCCCAGGGACTAAATCATGTACAAGTGCAAAGTAACAAGCCCATACCTGCAGGATGGAGCCACAGACTGGGTCAATACAGATCCAGAAATAGAAGGCACCAGAGGTAACAACTTCCATACATTGTCTTCACTCACAGCTGTCATAATTTACCCACAAATTGATTCAATCTTTAGCAGTGAACAGTGAAATCCGGTAACTGAGGACATCCTCTCCTAAGGGTTCAGTGACCTCTGATTTTCTAATTCTCAGACAAGTCATCCTGGTGAGGTGACTTGTCCTTGAGGAACCTGCAGACAAAATGACTATATGGAGGTGCTACTGTGGAAGGGGAGGGCTGTGAGTCCAGCACTGGCCGGAGGGACATTTCCGAGGGTGACCGCGTGTGTACGTGTGTGTGATATGAACATCCACCAGGCCCTCCTTGACCCACAGAAGCAATGTCTCTGTAACATGAGACCTGGGGTTGGGGGAGACATCCTCCAGAGGGTCCCCCTAGGCTGGCCTGGACATCACCTGTGCTTGTCTCTCCCACTTCAGCATCCTGTAGGAACACACCAGACAGTCAAGGGAAATGAAACAGAGAGGCTGGAAGATCAGACATAACAGAGCCAAGTGGATGGAGAGCTTAGAGATGGATGAAGGCGTGTGACCCATTCCTGCTTCAGTGAGGAGAAACGAGGACACTGCTTCCTAGGGAAGCCCACGAGTTCACGGTGCAGTCAGGCTCACACTTTGATTCTGTCAGTGCACCAAAGGCGCAGGGGCCCTGGGAATCAGGTCGGGATGGGAGGCACAAAAGTGAATGCCAAGGTGCCCTGTATGGCAGGGTAGCTGGCTTGGCCCTTTCTTCCTAGGGGATAGGTCTGCTCTGGAAATCAAATTCCTAAGACACTGAATGAGCAGAGTTAAGAAAAGTAACTCTACTCTGAGAATCCTAATTTCCTCACTGGTAAAATAAAGGGGTTTATTCTACAGCTTCTAGAGTCTTTTCCATTCTTATTGTTTTAACTCATAAACAACAGAAATTTCTCATCGTTCTGGAGTCTGAGAAGTCCAAGATCAAGGCGCTGGCTGATCCAGTGTCTGGTGAGGGCCCATTTTCTCATAGACAGCACCTTCTCACTGCATCCTCACATGGTGGAGGGGCCTTTCTCTAGAACAAGGCACCTGTTTGTAGGGCACTGCAGCTGCACCAACAGTTCTCCATAAGGAGGGAAATACATAGCAAATAAAGTAGCAAATGAAATGAGCCAACTTTGGCACCATCAGGAAAGAGCTCCATTTCTCTCATTGCTATTGCCTTTAGTCACAGTCTCTCAGATCTAAGTACTCCAACCCTAGATGACGGCTCTTCTTGTCCCCTTTAGAAAGTTTACCAATCTCTTAGGTGTGGTGGTTTGAGCCTATAGTCCCGTCTACCCAGGAGGCTGAGTGGGGAGGATCATTTGAGGCCGGGAGCCTGGGCAACATAGCGAGACCTGGTCTCTAAAAATGTAAAATAAAATATATTAGCCAGGCAAAATGGTGCACACCTCTTTCCCATCTAGTCGGGTGGCTGAAGTGGGAGGATTGCTTGAGGCCAGGAGTATGAGACCAGCCTGAGCAATAGAGAGAGACCTTGTCTCCAAAAAAATAAAATAAAGTAGCCAGGTATGGTGGTGCATGCCGGTCATCCCATCTACTTGGAGGCTGAGGCGGATGGATTGCTTGAGCCCAAGAGCTCGAGACTGCAGTGAACTATGATCATGCCACTGCACTTCAGATTAGGTGACAGTGAGACCCCATCCCTTAAATAAAGAAATCATTAGAAAGCATAACAGTCTCATTTTCAATTGTTAAAAAATCCCATACAACCTAACCCCAAAAATTAATTTCTCATCAATTCAAACTTCTGCCTTTCTTCCTCTCTGCTCCAGTGCATCTGCAGAAACTCAGAGATAACAGAGACACCATCAACTAGCACTCTCTTATGTATACGGAGAGCACAATTGACTCAGCATTATGTTCTGTCACATTTTACTAAGTTTTGTGTGGGAATAAATGGCCCAAGATCTCACTGGCTTAAAGCAAGGAGATTTACTTCTCACTCACATTTCATGTACCTGCAGGTGTAGCCCTGCTCCACATGTCTTTATTCCAGGGCTCAGGTTGAAGGAGAAGCCCCCATCTGGAACATGCCATTCTTGTGGTAGAGGGAAAAACACAATAACCAAACCAGGCAATGCCTTTTAAGTCTTCCATTCAGACATAGTATACACCACTTCCTACTCACATTCCATTGGCTAAAGCAAGTCACATGGCCAGGCCCAACAACGAAGCCAGGTATTATACTTCTCCCAAAGGGGACACCGTGTGCCACCTGGCAACAAATATAGATTTATAGTTCTCGTACAGGCAAGTGGCAAATAACTGGAAATGATAATATCAATTACCACAAATAATCCTTACCACAAATAATCAAAATCTATAACTTCACTTGAGTCTATTTAATTAATATGAGGTAAACCACAGTTTATCTTAAAATAATCACATTTTAAATTGTGACTTCTTCTAATGTTCTAAAGTGGTCTCAAATCCTGATTCATATCTTAAGGTGGGCTGTTCCTGAGAACATTTTCTCGAGATGAACCATCACATACATGTAATTATAGTTTCTGTTTCCAAAAGATACATTTCTCACTGTGTCCCCATGTTCTTAGATCTATATGCTCCTCAACTCTGTCTGACATTCAGTTTAGGAAAGAGAAGGTAGGAAAAAAGGATTTAGGATTGGTGCCTTACTCACAGCCTGGCACACAGTAAGTGCTAAACTGGTCAGCAAATGAACAAGTGAATGGGCCATGGTAACTATTGACCATGTCCCTGGAGGGCCTGATGATGAGAAGGATCAGGCTTTGATTTCATCAGGAAGAAATGGTGTTCAGTGTTTGAACACACTTCCTGGCTTGGAGAGGATTGGGGGCTATGGAGAACAGACTCATAAGGTGGTCCACGTGCCTGCTGCCTCCTGGTATTCATGTTCTTGGGTGACCTCCACGCCTTCAGTGTGGGACCTGTGACTTGCTTCTTTTTTTTTTTTTTTTTTTTTGAGATGGAGTTTTGCTCTTGTTGCTCAGGCTGGAGTGCAATGGTGTGATCTCGGCTGACTGCAACCTCCACCTCTTGGGTTCAGGAGATTCTTCTCCTCAGCCTCCCGAGTAGCTGGGATTACAGGGTGCGCCACCATGCCCAGCTAATTTTGTACTTTTAGTAGAGACGGGGTTTCCCCATGTTGGTCAGGCTGGTCTCGAGCTCCCGGCCTCAGGTGATCCACCTGCCTCAGCCTCCCAAAGTGCTGGGATTACAGGTGTGAGCCACCACACCTGGCCGACTTGCTTCTAACTAGTAGAATACAGTAAACATGATAGCTTGTTTTGGTTACATGTACGTGATTACGAGAGTTACATTACATAAAACTGTAACAGCTGTCTTGCTGGAGTCTCTCACTTCCTTGCCAGCTTTGAAGAAGCAAGCTGCCATGTTGTGGGCTGCCTATGTTGGAAGGCCCATGTGGCAGGGAACTGAGAGTGACCTCTAGGAACTGAGGATAGATTGCAGCTAACAGCCAGCAAGAAGCTGAAGACTTCACTCCTATAGCTGCAAGGAGCTGAATGAAAGTGATCCTTCCCCAAACAAGCCTCAGGTGAGACTGAGCCCCAGCCAATATCCTGATTGCAGCCTTGTGAAATTTTGCAGAGGACTTAGCCAAGTCATGTCCAGACTCCTGACCCACAAAAACTGATATTATAAATGTGTTTTGTAAGCCACTAAGTATGTGGGGTCTTGTTATGCAGTAATAGAGAACAAATATGGGCACATTAGCTCTACAGATTCTCCCTACAGAGCTTATCCACATTGTACACCAGAAGACTAAGCTCATGGGGTAGAATGACTTGCCTGAAGCCACACAAATATCTGGTGTCAAAGCCAGGGTGAGAATTCACTCTTCCTGTCTTCCTCCTCTGTAAATTTGTAAACACTGGAAGCAGCTCCCATCCTCAGTTCCTTGGGGTGGTGGAAGTCCATTTCTCTGCTAAGAATTCTGGGATTTTCTGATCAAAGACTGACCACCCAGCAGCAGGAAAATCTTACTCTAGTGTTTAGCCTGATCTGCCTTGGATACAGAAGACTCCACGTAAGCTACCTCTGACCCAAAACCTTCCCCTTCCTCAGGCCCAGGAGAATTAGCTGGAAACCAACAATTAACCATTACCCAGAGTGCCAATTAATTGCCTAATAGGGCTTGACAGCCAGGAGCCCAGCAACTTTGCTCCACCACCTGCTTTATAATTAGCCCGACAGGTGAACCACAAATCACTCAGGATGACCCAACAACTTCATTCAAACCTCCCTTTTAGAAGACTGTGAGATGCTGTTGGTATCAGAAGGGCCTATAGAAGTAGTCTGCAAAGAGGAAAGGCATATGCCACAGAGAGAAGAACCCAAGATCGTCAGAACATCTGTACTTTCCTGAAGAGCAGCAGGCTGTGAGAGCAGAGGTGAGCTTAGAGCACCCCTGGAGGAGTCGGGGCTCCCAGCTTTCAACTACCAGGATCCATTTTCAATGCAGAAGTTGTTGATAGTAGTTATATTTTTTATATCTGGGGTAGACAAAATTCCTAAAGATGAAAAACTACTAAAAGTTCAGTAACATGTTTCAACTGATTAATGGTGGCTTGCTTTCAACAGGACCCACGTTTGTCATGTGCCTAAGTGCAATAACAGTATTTCTCTAGTCTCCATCAAAACATGGGCCTGCTTATGCTGGAGTCATTTAGTGAACCCATTGCTGCTGCTTTGTAGCTTTCATGAATTTGAAGATTGGTTGAAACAACGAACATTTCTAACCTTAAGACTGGTCACACACCCAGCTTGTTTCAGAATTTAAGTTTTGGTGCCACGGCACTAAAAAACACAGCATCACTTTACAATGGAAAGCCCAGAAGAAGTTCATAAATGCCAAGAATTAGCACCCCACATGGTACAGAACAGGCGAGGTACCTTGTCACAGATAAAAGTCATAATTTCATCTCCTAATGCCAGGAAAAAAAAAACCTTCTATCAGGCACAAATGGAGTACTCACAATAAAAAATAACATCGAATGTATTATTCATGCTTGTCAGTTGGGAAGCAGTAGAGTGTAATGGTTAAAAATGCAGATTTGGAGGTAGACTTTAGTTGGAATCCCAGCTCTGCCATTTATTAGCTCTCTGACCTTGGTGGTTTTCTTAAATTCTCTGAGCTCCAATTCTCTCAAATAGAGATGTACCTGTTTTCCATTGCTGCCTAACAAATTGCCACAAGCAGCAGCCTTTAAAAAGCCCATTTATTATCTCACAGTTTCTGTAGGTCAGAATCCAGGCAGAGCTCTCTGCTCATGGATTTATAAGACTAGAATCAAGGTGTCGGCCAGTCTGAGAAGGAATCTGCTTCCAAGCTCCATTCGGGCATTGGCAGAATTCAGCTTGTAGCAGCTGTGTGATTGAGGTCCTCATTTTCTTGCTGGCTCTTGGACTGGACTGCCCTCAGCTCCTTGCCATGTGGTCCCCTCCACAGGTAGTTCACAACACAATGGCTTACTTCTTCAAGCCAGCAGCGGAATCTCTCTCCCAGTCAGCTAAGATGAAGTCTTACATAACTTAATTTTGAGTGCAACTATCCCATCACTTTTTTTTTTTTTTTTTTTTTTGAGACAGAGTTTTGCTCTTTTGCCCAGGCTGGAGTGCAGTGGCGAGATCTTGGCTCACTGCAACCTCCACCTTCTGGTTTCAAGCGATTCTCCTGCCTTGGCCTCCCGAGTAGCTGGGATTACAGGCATCCGCCACCATGCCCAGCTAATTTTTGTATTTTCAGTAGAGACGGGGTTTCGCCATGTTGGCCAGGCTGGTCTCGAGCTCCTGACCTCATGATCTGCCCACCTCAGCCTCCTAAAGTACTGGGATTACAGGCGTGAGCCACTGCGCCCAGCCTATCTCATCATTTTTGCCTTCTTGCCATGTTACTTAATGACTGGAGTGAAATTCCATCTTATACATAGGCCCTGCCCACACATTTGAGAGGAGCGCATTGATTATATAGGGTATGCACACCAGGGGGCAGAACTCTTGGGGCCATCTTAAAATTCTGCCTATCACAGGAGATAATATTATCTATACCTTGGGGCTGCTATGGGGTTAAATAAGACACTGCATATAAAGTTCTTAGTTCAGTGCATGGCCTTCAGAAAGCCTCAATAAATAATAGTCATTGTCCCCATCATCAATATCTGTGTCAGTGTGTTAGTTCATTCTTCCATTGCTATAAAGGATTACCTGAGACTGGATAATTTATAAAGAAAAGAGGTCTAATTGGCTCAGGCTTCTGCAGGCTGCACAAGCCCAGCACCAATATCCGCTCGGCTTCTGGTGAGGCCTCAGGGGGCTTTTACTCATGGTGAAAGGCCAAGTGGGAACAGGCACATCACACAGTGAGATGGAGCAAGAAAGAGAGAAGGAAGAGGTCCTAGACTCTTGTAAACAACTAGATCTCTCATGAACTGAGTAGGAACTCACTCATCACCAAGCGGATGATGCAAAGCCATTCACAAGGGATCCGGGGATCTGCCCCCATGATCCAACACCTCCCACCAGGCCCCACCTCCAACATTGGATGTCACATTTCTAAATGAGATTTGGAGGGGACAAACATCTAAACCACATCCCTCAGGAAGAATAAAGGCCTCCCAAAGAAGTCTACAGAACCCATGAATATGTTATGCTACATGGCAAAAGGGAATGAGGATTGCAAATGGAATCGAAGTTGCTAATCAGCTGACCTTAACATATGGGCGCCCTCTGGATTAGCTCCTTGTGTTAGCACAAGGGCCCTTCAGGGTAGAAGAGGGAGGCAGAAGAGGATTCAGAACCAGATAGATGGCGGCGTGAAAAGACCTGGCCCACTATGGCTGGTTTTGAAGATGTTAGAAGATGATGAGCCAAGGAATGTGGGTGCCTCTAGAAGCTGGAAAGGGCAAGGAATAGATTCCCCCCTAGAGCCTCTGGAAAGGAGCTCAGCCCTGCTGTCACTTTGATTTTAGCCCAGTGAGACCGATTTCTGGTCTACATGACCTCCAGAACTATAATGCAATAAAATGGTGGTGATTTAAGCCACTGCGTTTGTAGCAATTTGTTGCAGCATCTTTAGAAAATGAATACAATATGTTATATATTCTATTGGGGCTGAAGAAAAGTTGCAAATGACAGCATTCAGGGCTGACCTGAAGTGATTCACTGACCACTTTTAAAAGCTGGTTGTGAAAGTTTGAAGTGAAAAATCTGAAATAGAGTAAGTGACATTCTGCCTGTGTCCAATCTGCTTGGCCTGGAGTGTACATGGTGTGAGGCCTCAAAGGAGGAAAACAGATGGAACACAGGTGTCATAGGGAGTGGCAGGTCCTACAGAGAGCAGTGGAGAATCGGGAGCTGAGAGATGATGTGCTGTGGGCATATGGCTTAGGGGGATGCCATGCTTGTTGGGAAACCACCAATGGACTGTGTTTGGAAGAGGATTTAGAAATGTTGTGTATAGGCACAAGGGGAACCTACTAAGGTGGGGAGCTATAGGCGCTCAGCACTCGGCTCAGTGGAAGTAATTGCTTTTTGCATTGTATCATTTAGGAATAGATTCAACCGTGGATAACAGAGACCAGAGTGAACAGTGGCTTTGACAGAAGTGTCTTTCTGTCACGGTAAATGGCTTCTGCAGGGGAGCAGGCCGGGGCTGGTTTGATGACTCCATGATGTCACAGACCCAGGCTCCTTCTCCCCTGATGCTCTGCCTCCCCAAGGTTGCTGCTGTGGCCCACATGTTCCAAGATGGAGCAACATTGCATCCACATTCCAGGCTGCTGCCAAGGGGAAGGGCACAGCCTTTAAGTTTATATCCCAGATGATGCATATACCACTTTTGCTCTCATCCCAATGACAAGAACTTCATCAGATGCCCTCACCAGGCTGCAAGGGAAACCGGGAAACTCACCCTTATTCTGGGTGGCCATGCAACCTGCTAAAACCTGAAGTTACCCTGGGAGAGGAGGGGAGAACTGACTGGGGGCAACCAGCAGGCTTTGCACAGTGCTGCCTAGGTTACTTTGGAGGCAGGTATTTTCCTCTCTGTAATGAACTTGCATGGTCTCAGCACTCCAGTAGCACCTGACATCCTTTTGGGGACTGAACCTTTCTCCCCATGGAACTGTCAGATGAGACTATTTACGAAGGTGCTGCCCTCCCATAGCCAAGAGCCCTATGATTCATTCCACCTCTAGCCTCAGGGAGAGACTGGTTTCTGTTATCCCCCCAAGCTGCCTAGTTCTTGCCCTTTCCCAGACCAGTTTTCAAACCTTTCCTTGTCTGTCCAAAAAACTTTCTTTCTGCTTAGATCAGTTAGAGTATGTTTCTGTTGCTTGCAACCTGTAACCCTTCACCAACACCCTCCCCACTGCATCTTTAAGCAGAAACTTGCAGTCTCAGGGCAGAACCAGAAGCAATCCTTGTAGGGCAGTGCACATTTTAGTATTACATTGGAGAATCAGAAAGCAAAACACTAAGTTAAATACCTTAAGTAAGATTTAGATTTTATCACTAAGACACTTAGGATAAGTAATTCAGAGTTGGTACAGGACACAATAATCCCATTATGTGGGAGTCAGCAACTTTTTCTGAAAAGGCCAGATTGTAAATAGTTTAGGCTTTGGGAAGTTCCCATTCTCTTTGCAATTACTCCATTCTGCCATTGTAGTGCAAAAGTAGCCACAGATAATACACAAAGGAATGGGCATGGCTGTGTTCCAATAAAGCTTTATTGACAAATCAGATGACAAGCAAAATCTGACCTATGAGTCCTACTTTGCTGTCTCCTGCCATTAAGGACACCTCTCTCTTGCTGCTGTGCCTTAGCATAAGGCTTTTGTTATCATGCTTGTCTCGTCATTGTCACAGGTGAATACCCTACCTCTAGCATCATCTCCTTTTGAAGAGTCTTGGTAGATCCCACCCAATGACTTCCACCTACATCTTATTGGCCCAAACTGTATTGTATGGCCACCTCTACGAGCCAAAAAAAAGGGGGTATATGTAGTTTTTAGAAGGATACTGAATAAACCCATGGTTCATCATGGAAAGAAGAAAGAACAGGAAGGAGAAAGGGAGGGAGGGAGACGGACTGGATAAAGCATAGGCAATGAGCAGTGTGTACTACAGGCTGGGATTGTGTCTTGTTCTGTCTGATGCCCCCACACCCAACACAGTGCCAGGCACATGAGGAGGAGGAGAAGGAGGATGGTCACTATTATTGAAGGCTTCACCTTGAGCCAGGTGCTGGGCTAATTAGTTTCCATTCACTTTCTTATTTAGCCCTAAAAACAACCCTCTGGCATTGGTACCATTCTTTTTCCAGGTTTACCAATTGTGGAGATTGAAGTTAAGCAACTTGCCCAAGGTCACTGTTAGGAAGTGGATGGCCAGGATTCAAACCTACATCTGTCTGACTTTGAGCCAGTGCAAAATGCCGTGGGATGGCCAGGACATGGTTATGGAAAGACTGAGGCTGAACCAGATGACCCTGACAGCCTTCCACCCTGATCGGCTATGATAGCTACTGTTGCTTAAGCAAACTGAAATGAAGCCTCTCTGTGGTCTCCTTCTCATACTCAGAACTGGGCTCCAATTACTGTCCTTTCCAATTTCTCTCTCCCCAATTATGCTGACCATATTTTCTGAAACAAAAATCAGAACACATTTGTCTGGCACTATCCTGACACGTGGTCTCCCAACACAGCCGACTGTTTGAAATCAAGACTTTCTTGGAAATTGGGACACAGAGGCACCACCCAGGATGCCTGTGCCCCAGGGATGTGGGCCCCACCCAGCCCAGATAAAGGGACCAGGGCCACTGCTTCTGACTCTTGTGTTCATTCAAGACAGAAGATGCGGGGTGGCTGTGGACATTTTGGAAGTTGCAGAACCTACAGCTTTTTCTGCCTCAAAGTAGAGGAATGGCAACCAGAAATCTGGAAAATTTGGATCTAGGACCTCAGCTCTAGGGTGTGAGACCCTATTTCGCTGAGGCCAAGATTCTCAGAGGAATTGGAAGGTGAGAGCACTGTCATTCCATACAGGTTCACGTTTGCCATCTAGGCCAGAGTTCTCTCTGGGGAGCCAGGAAGGAAACCCACAGAGACCAGTTTCAACAGGAGCTGGCCAGAATGGACCGGGTGGTTTGGACTCACTCAGCTTGCTGACCCCAGGAGTAGGAGTGAGGAGGGAGCCGTGACTGCCTTTTTTCCCCTGTCAGAGTCCTCCTCCCCTTTAGAAACAAGCCCTCTTTGGCTCCAGCATGTCTCCAGGTTACTTCCATGTTGCCCCTGGTAAGCCCACCTCCTCCTGGAAACCACCTGGACACAACGCCTCTCCCCCAGGAAGCCCCTGCCATGATCTCAGCTGCCCTCCTCAGTAAGCACCTAACCTCACACTTACATTGATTCCATTCCAGGGAAACAGAGTCACAGGAGACTGAGTGGTCCCCCATTGTCATCCAGAGGAGAGGCTGGAAAATAAGGCCTGGTCTCCCTGACCCCACTTGAAAAGCAGGCCCAGAGGTAGAGGAGAAGGCTTTCTAACCAGGGCAGGTGTGTGAGGTGCTCTTGTGAGGGTGGTATGAGGACTAACGGGATCACCATAGCCCACGGAGACACTTAAAGATTCCCCAAAGGGCCCTGATGCCTCAGAGCTTCTACCCACACGGCTCCTTTACATGGAATAATCTCCCCTAGAATAAAGGACCCTTGAGGAAGGGAAGCCATGTTGGGTGATTCAAAGAAGAGCTGCCGGGAGGATTTGCTAAGAAGATGCAATCAGGGGGCCTCAATGTACGCAAGGCATGCAGGAGCCAAGGGGCACCACGGTGGAGAAGTTGAAGGATTCCGGGTATCTGGACCATCACACACACAGAAAAGCAGACAGTCCAATAGAGAGGACTAGGTCTCCATGGCAAACTGTGTCAATGTGACAATTTTACAGGGCAAGGAGGGATAGGATTTATTTCTAGCCTTGATAAAAATTTTATATAGCAAGCATGGGGTCTGTAGCTGCCCACCTGGGTTCAGATCCCAGCTCTGCCACACACTGGCAAGATACAGAACCTCTCTGTACTCCACTGGGCCATTCTGTATGGCAGTTTCCTCATCTGTGAAATGGGCTGATGGGACAATGGGCTGCGATGTGGATGTTGCTCTGCAGGACTCCTGATGCTGGTGAGCACTGAGACAGCCCTTCCTATTATCACTCAGGCCAATATTCACAGCCACTGGCTCGGAGGACTCCGAGCGCTGACAACATGACTGGCACAGAGCCAGGTACACACATTGTCTTCACGCTTCACACAGACCTGCCGTCCACTGCTGAGAAGATCAAGGCTCAGAGGTGGGAAGACTTGCCCAAGGCCATCCAAATAGAAGCGACTGAACAGGGATTGGACACATCGTTTGGCTCAAGAACAAAAGCCAGCATATAAGATTTGATGGTAACTTTTAGGAGCAGGTTAGGGAGAACCAAAATCCCTCAGTCCAAATTCGTCTGCTTTTACCATCTGTTTCTTGCTTCCCACCAGTAAAATGATACAGTGTAGAGAGAAGCAGCTCCCTGGGTACTTTGGGAATTAGAGCAATAAATTTTTATAAGCTAATCAAAACACTGGGACTGGTTCTCAGATTTTCCTTCTTGCCCCACCATGTCATTGCCTCGCTGGACCTATCTGGAAGCCTCATTCTCATGGCTGGGGAGAGGAACTATTGAGGCCCAGACACACCCTTCTGTCAGGCAGGAGCCTGGGCCTGCATGCAGTGCCTCATGCCATCTAAAGGGTGCCCTGCACCTCCTCTGCCTGCCCTCTGTCCGCTCCACTCCTCCCCTATGGATTCTGCCACTCATCTTGTGCAAAAGGCTTTATCAAATTCCACTTGTCTTTATATGAGAAACCTCCCTTTATTAGTATCCCTAAGACCTCTCCTGGAATCAGATATGCTCTTGTTTGTCTCCGCTTCTCCCTTTTTTCACCAGCCCTGCTCTCTTTCTCAACTGATTCATAACCCTTGCTAGTCCCAAGGTTCATCTCTCTGCAACCAATCCTCAGAAGGCCTAAGTGTGAGACCAAGACTGAGACCCATACTCCCAGACGGCTCCCCTCTGGCCTGCCCTTGGCCCTGCTGGAGAGGCCCAAGCTGGAAACATTTTAATCGGGTGATGGTGATCTTCAGTGAGGACTTTGAAGGAGACAATACAGCCACATCCCATTCCCTTCCTGCTGTCAGCCACATCTTCTCCCAAAAAGAGGCCCCTCCCCTCTCATTAGCAACTCCCAGTATTGCAACCTGCCCACAGCAGAGGCCCTATAGCCTGAATTTGTTCTCTATACCCAGAGTCAGCACCTCTGAAGCGAACTCAGCAAATGGAAGTCATCGAACCCCCCATGAGAGCCATCCAACATGGAACCAGCCTGCAAGGAGGTTCTGACCTCCCCGTCACCACAGAGTCTACAGGTCCAGGAGAGGAAAGACCAGAGGTTTCAACTCCAGCCCACATATTAGAACCCC